>NC_000002.12:13997827-14304583 GCF_000001405.40 Homo sapiens
AAATAGATTGTTATAACTATAAAATGTTTTGTGTAACTCCCATGGTAACCACAAAGCAAAAGTTTATAGTATATATACAATTTCTTTTAAAAGGAAATAAAGTATACCACAACAGAAAATTATGAAAGCACAAGGGAAAATGGAGGGAGAAAGGAACAAATAATCTACAAAACAGAGAGAAAACAATAACCAAAATGACAACAGTAAGTCTTTACCTATCGATAATTACTTTAAATGTATAGTAATTAAATTCACCAAAAGACTGGGTGAATGAATTTTTTAAAAAACCAACTATATGCTGCTTACAAGAGACACATTTCAGCTTTAAGAACACACGTTGAAAATGAAGGGATTGGGAAGAGATTACCTATGCTAATAGAAACAAATGGTGCAGAGTTAGCTACACTTATGTAAGATACACTAGACTCTAGGTAAAATATTGTAAGAGTCAAATAAAGTCATTATATAAGGATAAAAATCAACTCATTAAGAATATCTCTGTAAATTAGTTCAACCATTGTGGAAGACAGTGTGGCAATTCCTCAAGGATATAGAAACAGAAATACCATTTGACCCAGCAACCCTATTACTGAGAATATACCAAAAGGATTATAAATCATTCTACTATAAAGACACATGCACATGTATTGCAGCACTATTCACAATAGCAAAGACTTCAAACCAACCCAAATGCCCATCAATGATAGACTGGATAAAGAAAATGTGGCACATATACACCATGGAATACTATGCAGCCATAAAAAAGATGAGCTCATGTCCTTTGCAGGAACATGAATGGAGATGGAAGCCATCATTCTCAGCAAACTAACACTGGAAGAGAAAACCAAACACTGCATATTCTCATTTATAAGTGGGAGTTGAACAATGAGAACACATGGACATAAGCAGGGGAACATCACACACCGGGGCCTGTCGGGGAGTGGGGGGCTGGGGGGAGATAGCATTAGGAGAAATACCTAATGTAGATGATGGGTTGATGGGTGCAACAAATCACCATGGCACGTATATACCTATGTAACAAACCTGCACATTCTACACATGTATCCCAGAACTTAAAGTATAATAATAAATAAAAAGTAATTATGACTAACTAAACACTGAGGGGAAAAAGAGTTTGAAGAGAAATGGGTAGAATTTATTCAAGTTATAATTTTTATTTAAAAGTTGCCATTTGCTCATTGCCTTCCCCAGTGGAAGGCTGATAAGCGATCCTATATTTCCGCACATGACCACTAGCAGGATCCCACTTAACAGTCAAGCTGTTAGATGTTGCATTGTACACTTGAAGTTTTCATGGGTCACTTTTGGGAGCTGAAAGAAGATTGTTGAAAAATAGAGTAAGCAGACAGAACAATGCCTCCCCCTAAAATACATAGAGTTCCCAAGGCAATCAGAGAATTCTATGCCTCTGGGTTTATCATTAAATTTGACCCCTTAATAAAAATGGTTATTAATTCTTAAATGAAAAAAAGAATATATAGTCATTATATATATACATGCACCTAACATAAGAGTAGCTAAGATATAAAGCAACTATAAACAAATCTGATGGGAGAAATAGACAAAAATACAATAATAATAGGGAAATTCAGTACCTCACTTTTAAAAATAGATTGATCACCCAGACCTCACTTTTAAAAATAGATTGATCACCCAGACAATATTACTAAGGAAATATTGGATTTGAACTACACTCTAGACCAAATAAACATAATAGGCATATACAGAATATACCATCCAATACCAGCAGAATACATGTGATTCTTAAGTACACAGAGAACATTCCCCAAGATAAATCGTGTTTGGTCACAAAATAAGTTTTAACAAATTTTAAAATATTGAAATTGCATGAAGTGTATTCTCTGACCACAGAGGTATGAAACTAGAAATCAATAACAGGTGGAAAGTTGGAAAATTCAAAAACACTAGAAAATTAAACAACATACTCTCAACCAATTAGTCAAAGAAGAAATAATGAGGGAAATAAAAAAACATATTAAAACAAATGAAAATAGAAACCCAACATACCAAAACCTATGGGTTGAAACCAAAGCAGTTCTAATAAGGAATTTTATATCAATTAATGCCTACTTTAATAAAAAGGGAGAATCACCAATAAACAATTTACTCTTCAAAGAACTTTAAAAAATAAGCCCAAAATTTGTAGGTAGGAGGAAGGAAATAAAGATCAGAGCAAAAATAAATGAAATAGAGACTAAAAAATAATAATAGGAAAGATCAATGAAACTAAGAGTTGTTTTTCTTGAAAAGATGAAGTTGACAAACCTATAGCTTTGGCAAACCTTTTTTTCTCCACTAAAAAAGAAAGAAAACTCAAATAAATAAGAGACACAAAATAGGAGACATTACAACTGATACCACAGAAATATAAGGGATCATGAGAGATTGGTATAAACAATTTTATGCCAAAAAGTGGGTTAACTTGGAAAAAGCTGATAAACTTCTAGAAATATAAAACTTATCACAACTGAATAATATAGAAATATGAAATATGGACAGGCTAATAACAAATATCAGATTGAATCAGTAATAAAACATCCCCCATGAAAAAAGATTAGGAACTAATGACTTCCCTAGTGAATTCTAACAAATATTGAAATAAGAAATAATATTACTCTCTCAAACTTTTCCAAAAAAGGAAGAGAAGAAAACCCTTTTAAACTTATTGTAGAAAGTTAGCATTACACAAATACCAAAGCTAGACAAAGATGTTATAAGAAAAGAAAACTACAAGCCAATATACCTAATGAACATAGATGCTTAATACTCAACAAGATACTAGCAAAACACATTCAATAACAAATTAATGTTATCCTTAGTGTGATCTAATGTTATCCCCTGTGTGATTGCATTACAAGATAAGGCCTTTGGAAAGTAATTAGGTTCATACACTATGATCAAATGGGATTTGTTTTAGGGATGCAAGGATGGCTCAAAATATACAAAGTGATAAATGTAATAAAGTACATTAATGGAATGAAATCACATGATGATGTCAAAAGATACAGAAAAATCATTTGACAAAACTTAACATCTTTATATGATAAATACTCCAAAAATTAATTATAGAGGAAATGTACCTCCACACAATAAAGGTCATATATGACAAGCCCACAGCTAACATTTTACTCAATGGTGAAAGCTGAAAGCTTTTCCTTTAATATCAAGAACAAGACAAAGTTATCCACTCTCCCCACTTACATTCAACATAGTGCAGGCAGTCCTAGCCTAATGATTAGGCAGGAAAAAGAAAAGCATTAAAATGAGAAAATAAAAAGTTATGTCTATAGATGATGGAACTCTGTGTGTAGAATATTCTAAAGACTCCACCAAAAACAGTTAGAATTAATAAACAAATTAAGTAAAGTTGCAAGATACAAATTTAACATACAAAAATTAGTAGAGTTTCCATACACTATCAATTAACTATCTGGAAAAGAAATTAAGAAAACAACTCCATTCACAATTGCATCAAAATACTTGAACTACTTAAGAATAACTCAAATAGGTGAAAAATCTATACCCTAAACAATATAAAACATTGGTGAAAAATCTATACACTGAAAACTATAAAACACTGGTGAAAAAATCTATACACTGAAACCTATAAAACATTGGTGAAAGAAATTAAAGAAGATTTAAGTAAATGGAAAGATACTCTATGTTTCTTTATTGTTAATATGTAAACATTAATGAAAGCAATCTACAGATGCAATAAAACCCTTACAATATTTCAATGGTATTTTACACAGAACTAGGAAAAAAAAATTCTAAAATTGCTATGGAACCAGAAAAGATCTTGCACAGCTAAAGCAATCTTGAGCAAGAAGAACAAAGTTGGGAAAATAAAATGTATTGATTTTAAATTATATTACAAAGCTACAATAATTAAAAGAGTACAGTACTGTCATAAAAACAGAGATATAATCCAATGGAACAGAACGGAAAACTCATAGATAAACCCAAGCATATATGGCCAATAAATTGTCAACAGGGGCACTCAGAAAACACAATGGGGAAAAACAGTTTCTTTAATAAATGGTGTTAGAAATCTAGATATTCACATAAAAAGAAAATTGCATTCTTATCTCACACTATACAAGAAAATGAACTCAAGATGGGTTAATGACTTAAATGTAATTTCTGAATTCATAATACTTCTTGAAGTAAACTTAGGGTAAGAGCTCTATGACAATGGTCCTGGCAATTGTTTTTTGAATATAACACAAGCAATAAAAGCAAAAATAAACAAGTGGGACTATATTAAACTGCAAAGCTTTGCAGCAGCAAGGGAAACAACAGAGTACAAGCACAACCTATGAAATGGGGGAAAATATTTGCAAACCATATACTCCATTATGGTTTTAATAGCCACAATATTTAAATGACTCATAAACTCAATAGCAATAAAACAAAAAACCCAATTAAAAAGTGGGCAAGGATGTAAATTGATTTTTTTCTAAGAAGACATAAAAATAGCCAACAGGTATATGCAAAGGTGCTCAATATTGCTAATCATCAAGGAAATGCAAATCAAAGCCCCTATGATGTATAACCTTACAACTACTAGGATGGCTATTGTCAAAAGATATCAAGTGTTGGAGAGGATGTGGGGAGAAGGGACCCTTATACATTGTTGGTGGAATGTAAATTGGTACAAACATGAGAAACAGTGTGAAGATTCCTTATAAAATTAAAAAGAGAACTACCGTATAATCTACCAATTGTCTTTTTTGGTATATATGCAAAGGAAATGAAATCAATATAGCAAATATTAAACATATGTGTACATACACAGAGTGGAATGTTATTTAGCCTTAAGAAAGAAGAAAATCCTGCCATTTGCCACAATGTAGATAATCTTGGAGAACATCATGCTAAGTGAAATAGAGACACACAAAGACAAATATTCAATGATCTCATTCACAGTAAAATTTAATAAGTCAGACTCATAGTATAGAGTAGAAGGCAGAGGGCGGTTACCAGGGCTCAAATGGTGGGGAAAATGGGGAGAATTTGGTTAAAGGATACAAACTTTTAGTTATAAGATGAGTAAGTTCTGGCAACCAAATGAACAGTATGGTCATGATAGTTAGTAATGTATTATATATATATATATGTATATATATATATACACATACATATGTATATATACACACATATATATGTGTATATATACATATGTATGTGTATATATATATATACATATATATATATTTCAGGTTTGTTAAAGGGTAGGTATTAAGTATTCTCACCACAAAAATAAAAGTATGTGAGGTGATACTTATGTAAATTAGCTTGATTTTGATAAAATTCTCAAAATGTATAGATACATGAAGACATCATGTTGCATACTTTAGATGTATACAATTTGTATCAATCAATTATACCTCAGTAAAGCTGGAAAATGGCATATTTGTCTTGCAGAATTGTTAGGATAATTAGAAACAATGTTTATATAAGGTATGCAAGTAGAAAAAGCAAATTACTATCTGCAAGTAGTGGTAAATTCCAAAAAGGATGAGGATCTACAACAGAGGGTGGCAAAGAAGCAGCCAGATGGAACAAGACAAAAGAGGAAAATGATAAACTGTGAACCAGAGTCATTGGTTTTAATTCACTCCCTACCACTTACTCCCTAGCAGTGTGACCTCGAACAAGGTCCTTCAACAACTTGAGTCTTAGTTTTTTCCTAAGTTGAGATAACACCTGTTATGAATTGTCAGATTGAATAAGCGATCTGAATAAAGCATCAGTATCACAATTAAAAAAACATTAGGTCCTATTCCAATTCTCCACCACTCTTCCCCACTAAATTTAGCCCAAGACATTATTACAACTTTCCACTTGTGAATACCAACTAATTTAAAGGGATGGTGGCATTGTTCATGAATAGAGTCAAAGACTCTTCAATGCAGATGAGACAGACCCAAGTGTATAATGCAACCCTGTGCTTTACTGGAGAAGAAATGTGGGGTTTAGGTGGTGAAGAGATTTTCACAAGGATGTGAAACCAACCAGTGAAGATCAAAGAATGTTTTCCCAATGGAGATACCAATTCTTTTTCATAGACACTCCACCCAGACAAAGTTTAAAAATACACCTGAACAGGAAAAACTCCCCATGCCTCCTGATTAAATGCAAAACAAAAACCAGTAAAATAATAATGCCATTAACCCATTCGTTAATATTAACATTCTCTTATAGTTTTTTAAAAATTTCTTAGAGTTCTTAATTCTTAAAAAGGTGGCCTCAAACCTTCCCTATACATGACACAGGAGGAAAATCATACTTACAATTCAGATCAACAAACTACCTTTCAGTAGTTAGAGATGTTCCCCAAACTCAAATTTACGAGTAAGTGCTGGAGCAGGAACTTGAGCTCCTGGTCAAGTTATTTTGTCCCCTACAAATTGGGTATCAGTCACCTTACACAGAGCTAGCTGAATCAAGGTTTTTTTTTTTTTTTCTTCAAAGACAAGAAATACATTTAAAGGCAACTTTTCTGTCTCTCTAACTTCCTTGAGCTACATCTTTAGGAGAAGCTTTTGCTAAATCTTGCCTAGCATTTTAAATAAATGACTTAACTCTATTGAAAGTGAAGTGTAATTTGTACACATTTTCCATTTAGAAAATTTCTAACATGATACAAATGAATACTTAAGGAATTAAACTTAGAGAACTAGGAGCTTTCAGTCTCTGTGAGTATTTGGAATCAGAAAATAAACAGGAAAATTTGTCACATAATTTAAACTATCCTAACGGCTCTTAAGAAGGCAAATAGGAATCTTTGTGTCAGTATATACCTTTTATTTTATATTTTAAATGTGCACAAAACCTACCGGTAGACAAATATAGTGAAAACAGTATAAATTCCACAGAGCGTGTTGTTTATACTTTATGACTTATCCTCCATGAATTGTAGCAAGGATATTCACAAATAATGTGTTTAATAAAAGAAAATATTCCTTTTCATCTCTATGCTGTATAGGGAACATAAATATTTGGAAGGAGGTATTGAATTGGAGTAACCTAATAAAAATAAAAACGTGATCAAACACTGCAGACCACAAACCAGTGTTAACAATTTTAAAATGGTGTTAAATTCTCTTAGAAAGGAAACTTGGCTCCTTCAAGGAATAATGGGTGTTGTAAGTGAGAACAAGTTGGAAATACACAAAAATCCCACTGCCATCTGAAGTTTTTAGTATTGTACAAGACACAAAGTTAAAGGTAGCATTCCAATTAATGTTCAGGTCACAGGATGGTGAACACTGTCTATTTATTACGACTTTAAGACAAATTTCTTATTGTTAGAATAAATAGTAACATAGCCAGCGAGAGGAAGGGTGTGAAATGAACCATTCTAGATATTCTGTCAGTTCCCGTGAAAGATTGAGAGTTTTTAATTCTTTTATGTATACCCAATTATAAATATACTAAGTATTTGTCTCTAATTCTTAGAAAAAATATTTTGATACAAAAGTAAAATATATAGAATACAAATCATATGATCATACACATATATATGTATGATCATACATGAACATACATATGCATATACATATGTACTTATTTGTATATACATATGTACATATGTATATGCATGTGTATGTTTGTGTGTGTATAGCCACTGCATGCTTCTCTCTTTGGTTTCTTCTGCAGCACAGGCTGGGCCTTACCATTTGCCATATAAAGCAAAAGGACACTATGGAAAAAGCAATGATATGAAAGTTCAGTCCCAGTCTTTATTTAACAATCGAATGGTAGATTGGAAAAGGGCTTTAGGGTTAATGTTCTGAGTGAAAAAGATTCTTGTTGAAATCCAGGCCATATTAGCAATGCAACTTTAACCTTCCACCTCTCAATTTTTCCATCTGTAAAATGATAATATATTAAACAAGTCTATGAATAATATTTGTATAAGAATTAAATGGTACAAAACAGGAAAAAAGCCTTTGAAAAATATGTGCCACGCAATAGACACTCATTAAAGGTACGCTATTATCATTGTTATTTTAATTATTTTTAAAAGCATAAATTCCAGAATGTCTTCACCTCTTTCAGTTTTACAGTCTTCATCTTTGTAAATGTGGTTGTCAACCTGTGCTTTTCCTTTCATAATTTATAATTCCCAATGGACATGACTTAGAAAGGAACACAGAAAGTAGTATAATATGAAACGATGTTATGCAAATGGTATAATCATAGAATATTATATCATATGATCTTAAAATAACACAGAATGAGCATGACCCTCAGAATATCATAAAGCAAGTCTTTTTTTTTTTTTATCTCTCTGCTTTCAATAGAGGTCATTTCACCTTGCCCCTAGATAGAAAGGTAGGTAGACACTATAAATGTTCTGCACAATGTTAGATAATAGAGAGTCTTGTGACCACATTATCATAGAACTTACAGAGAGATGGTCCATATGATGGAATATTGCTCAGTAATATAAAGAAACAGACTGGTGATATGTGCAACAATACGGATGCATCTCACATTATGGGAAGGAAGCCAGATACAAAAAGGCTACTTATTGAATCTGTATGTTCCCCACCAAAGGTATACATTGTGGGACAGCATTAGAAGATAGGGCCTTTGAGAAGTAATTAGGTCCTAAGGGCACCCCCCTAATGAATGGAATTAGTGCTTTTATTAAAGAGATCCAAGGTAGATAGACAGCCCCTTTCACTATGTGAGAGCAAAGTCAGAGGGTGCCATCTATGAACCAGGAAGTGGGACACTCAATAGACTTTGAATCTGTCAGTGGCTTGATCTTGGACTTCCCAGCCTCCAAAACTATGATAAATACATTTTGGTTGCTTATAAGCTACCCAGTGGGTTAGATTTTGTTATAGAAGCCTAAGTGGACTAAGACAGTTCATTTATACTACCTTCTGGAAAAAGAAAATGAAGGGGAAACAGAAATAAGATCAGTAGTTTCCAGTGGCCAGGTGATGGGGAGATGGGGGATTGCCATAAAGGGGCGGGAGAAAACTTTCAAGGAGATGAAAATGTTCTTATTCCGATTTTGTTTGTGGTACAGGAATGTATGCATTTTACAACATTTATAGAACTATACACCTAAAAATTTTAATTTTCCTATATGTAAACTATCACTAAACTTGACTTACACACATACACACACAAAAACATGGTTGAGAAATGACTGTGTCAATCAAAGACACCCATCAATGTTCTGAACTCGATTTAAAGTAAAATATTTACCCTCTCTCCCATCCCCTTATCATAGTTAGAATTTGAGCATAGAACATAGAGATATGGTTGAATTATTCCTTTTCTTCTGCCCGGGAAATTACATCCTCCAGATTTTAAAAAAAAAGTGAAAGAAGAATATATGTTAAACTTCTTAACTGAACTAGTATCTTCATAGTAATTCTGAGAGATAATTCCTATTAAAATATTTTCAAAGCTTTCAGAAATAGGTTAGGTAGGAGTTTGGGGCTTAGAAAAGTCTGAATTGGACTGATATTATGATGATATTATTGATTTCTTACCATGTATTAATCACTGGAACTTTTATTATAACCATTTCTTGGAAGGAGAAACTGAAGGCATAAAGGATTACAGATTAAATCATTTTCAAGAGTCACTCAGCTTTTCCTTGGTTTTTGAACAAAATCAAATAGCCAGTATTTGATCCCAGAGAATCTGACCCAGGAGTCCATGCTTTTGCTGTGCGTCATACACTGCAGAGCTTTAGGTTTGCTAATGCTAGCAGATGTTGAAAACTGACTTTCTTGTAGGTGCTTTTCCATAATTTTGAAGTTTCCATTTGCAGATTTTCACTTATCCATTTCCCAGAAATCTGCTCGAAATGACTTTTCATCTCCTAGGGCATTCTCGCTAAGTTTCTGGATGACTGCTACCTCTGCCTCTCTGAGACAGGATGATCCTGTGAAACATGCATGCATCTCTGCCCCTCATGCCCTGACCTGCTCTAGGGGAGCCCCCATCCCCTGCTTCCACAGTCTGTTTTAGCATTATTAGTCAGGAGTCAGTGCTAGCTCTCCGTTTTTTTCAAAGAAGGAGGCATATTTAAATTCTGAATGATCCCAATAAAGCCTCCTCACAAGATTTTCTGTGAGGTAGGTAGATTTCAGCCCCTCCACCCCCACCAAGCATGCACATTTGTGCATACGAGGCTTGATCTGAAGAAGGTAGACCTCTCCTCTCACCCCCACACCCTTCCACCCCTGAGGTCAGCTTAATGGGCTGTGGCCAGTGCAGTTGTACAGGACACAATGCTCAGGAAGGGTTTCAAACCAGGATTTAATTCTCTATGTTCACCATTTGAAATGTTTGATAGTTTTGTTTGTAATTTGTGTTTTGCAAGTGAAGTCAAATGGGACAATAGAATATGTGCTGGGAGATTGAAGGCAGATGTTGGAAACTGACTTTTTCGTAGGTGCATTTATACGAAGAGATTGGAGCCTCAAGTAAGTTCCTATGTCCCTGCCTCCTCCACCTTCCGACCTCCTTGGCATGGGTCCTTCAACTCCAGCAGGGGCCTGAACAGGTACAGGGAGGGTCAGGTTGACACAGGCATCCCAAGAACAGTCATCACCTGTTCTTACTCAGTGATATTGCTATACCTGAGAGAATGCAATATTAAACAGCAGATAAAATACTCTATGATGCATCAAAAAGAAGAAAGTAAAAAGAACAAAACCACTTTTTTTTTTTTTGCTTCTTAAACAAGATCCCTGCATATTCATTTTGTATTAGGCCCTGAGAATTACGTAGCTAACCCTGTACCCACCCACTCCTTCCTTTTGGGCAGTGAAAGAGCCACACAGTCTGGCTACAGCCTTCTCCAAAAAGATTCTTATATGAGTCTAAATACTTTTTTCTCTTCACCCTTTTTTTTTTTAATATCCTTAATCTGTCTTGAGGTACAAGAGTTGTGGAATTACTTCTAAAATGTATTTTGGTTTACAAACTTCACATCTATTCTATTTGATCTCTTGTTCAAATTTCCATTTTTTACATTCTGTTAAAAAATGTGAAAGTATTATTTTTTTCTGTCTTTAACACGTCTCATTTTTTAGCTTAGCTCTACATCTGGGGATGCCGTTGTTATGTTTTTAGTTACTGTTGGTGAGCTGGAGGTTGAAGCCCTGTCTTGAGAAGGTTATGTTAAGGAAAATCAATGTTTGTCGTTGATTTCTAATTAAAATTAACATAGTAACCACTCATGAAGTCCTAATGCTGTGCATTTTCATATTTTAAGTAACAATAAAAATGCTTTAAAGCTGCTGAGCTAAAATTATAATTTTATTTTTTCCCTTTAATTTTTAGTTGAAATGTAATAATTACACATATTTATGGGATACAGAGTGATATCTGGATACATGTAAACATGCATATCCATCAGACAAAATTATAGCCAGGTAGGAGGAATAAATTATAGTGTTCTATAGACCTGGAATTGTTTCTTAAAGGGAAACTCTGTTGTATGAAAAGTAACAATAATAACAAGCACCATTTTAAGTGCATTACATACCTTAACTCATTTTAACTTCACGATGATTTGATGAGGTGAGTATGATTATTAACTCCATCTTGTAGATGAATTTGAGTGAGATAGAGGTTAATAAATTGCCATTTTACCAGATTAGCAAGTGGTCTAACCAGAATTTAAACCCAAACGCTTTAGCTCCAGAATCCAGGCCCTTGTTTACCTGGGTACACTACTAGTTGAAGGTACTAAAAATGTTTCTCTTTCTAAAAAATGTTTATTTATTTGATCTGAGAGTATCGGGGGAACCAGCCCCCAATATTTCAATGTAGGTTCTTTTCTATTTTCCCTAAGTGTCAGCCAGTCTCAGAAATAAAGAGAAAGAGTACAAAGAGAAGAATTTTACAGCTGGGCTGCTGGGGATGACATCACATATCAGCAGGTTCCATGATGCCCACTTGAGCTGCAAAACCAGCAAGTTTTTATTAGGGATTTTAGAAGGGGAGGGTATGTATGAACAGGGAGTAGGTCACAAGGATCACATGCTTCAAAGGGCAATAAAAGATCACAAAGCAGAGGGTAGAGCAAGATCACAAGGCAAGGGCGAAATTAGAATTATTGATGAAGGTCCATGTCTCACTGGGCACTCATTGTCTTGATAAACATCTTAACAGGAAACAGGGTTTGAGAGCAGACAACCAGTCTGACTAGAATTTACCAGGCTGGAACTTCCCAAGCCTAGTAAGCCTGAGGGCACTGCAGGAGACCAGGGCTTATTTCATCCCTTATCTCAACCACATAAGACAGACATTCCCAGAGCAGCCATGTATAGACCTACCCCTGGTAATGCATTCCTTCCCCAGAGTTATCAATTATTAATATTCCTTGCTGGGAAAAGAATTCAGCAATATTTTGCCTACTCACACATCCATCTATATGCTCCCTGCAAGAAGAAAAATATGGCTCTATTCTGCCCGACCCCGCAGGCAGTCAAACCTTATGGTTATCTCCCTTGTTCCCTGAAAATTGCTGTTATTCTTTCCTTTTTCAGGTTGCACTGATTTCATATTGTTCAAGCACACATGTTTTACAAACAATTTGTACAGTTAACACAATCATGACAGGGTCCTGAGGAGACATACATCCTCAGCTTACAAATGTGACAGGATTAAGAGATTAAAGTAAAAACAGGCAAAGGAAATTATAAGAGTATTTACTGGGGAAGTGATAAATGTCCATGAAATCTTCACAATTTATGTTCAGAGATTGCGGTTAAGACAGGCGTAAGAAATTATAAAAGTATTAATTTTGGGAACTAATAAATTTCCATGAAATCTTCACAATTTATGTTCTTCTGCCACGGCCTCAGCCGGTCCCTCCATTTGGGGTCCCTGATGTCCCGCAACATGAGAGACCAAAACATATGCCCCCTTCATCAACTAAGATAGTCCCTAAGATAAGGAAACAAAAGTAGCCTAAGGGTTCAGGGTTTGGGGCCTGGCTGGTATGGTAGCTTCCTAAATTCCTAAGGCTACAAGAAAAAAACACATTCTTTCTGAACTTCCTAACAATAGGAGCTATGGGTCAAATTCCTAACTCTAATTTACAAGCCAGACCACTAGAACAATGTTCTTTAGCACAGGAAAATTTCTTGCAGATTTATAAAGAGTAACATTAATACTATTTATTTATTCATGGAGGGGTCATTATGCAAAAAGCAATGGAACATGCTTTTCATATTTTATCTTTTAGTTTTCAAAACAACTCTCTTAAGTAGTATTAGTCCCAGTTTAAAATGAAGAAATTGAAGCTTAGAAAGGATGAGAACTTGAGCTCACTCATACAGCTACTAAATGTGGCAGCAATTTATTTCAAATCCAGGTCTGCATGAAATGCCGTGCATGTACTATAGTGCTGAAGAGCATTGCATCTTCACTATTACCGTGGCTTGCAAACAGCTTGCATTCAACCCCAGCCAGCTCTCTCCTGAGATCCCATTTTGTGCATCTATTACATCAGGTTGTTATCTTTAAATTAGCCACGGTGAGGGTATTTACACTACGGCAGTCCACAAAGACTACAAATCATGGTTCCCCCACTGCCTTCAGAGAGCTGGCTTACCAGCACACTATTGTGTATGACCTAGAGCAGATTACTTAACATTTATGCAGTCTTTCAATTTGCCACCACTTCCTGATTTACTTTTGTCATTTATACTCCCTGAGCTCTTTCCCACTTGACTAGAAAATTTTTCTCCATTGATTTCTTGTCTGGACTGTTGATACAACTGAAGTTAGTCTTCCTCTGTTTCTGTCTGTGCTCCACACTTCTGCCAGAACCATTATTTTTTCGGATTCATTTTTGTTTGACAATAAAAATTAAAATATCATGAAATGTCAAGTTTAATGTGTCAACGTCCATGTGGTTATGATATGGACAGGAGGCAGGAAAACACTGGGTAAAAGAGGGTGGTTCCCCAGCAAAGGTCCCACTCTCAAGCCTGGAAACCACAGCCCTAAGTAAGAACAGTTATCCCTGTTTTCCCACCCAAATGTTGCCTTTTTGACCCACCCCACTCCTGTATTCTGTGCCCATATAAGCCCCAGACCTCAGCTGGCAGAGAGATAAGTGGCTGAATGTCGAGAGGGGAAGGAGCAACTGAGTGTCAGAGACTACAGAGAGATGCGGCTCAACTTCAGAGGACATGACTTCAGAGTGGAGCCCAGCTGGAGCTGGCCGGGCTTTAGAGGAAGATCCCCTTCTTCCTGCACCATCTCCTTTCCAGCTCCCCTTCGGCTGAGAGCCATTTCCACTGTTTAATAAAATCCTCTGCATTCATCACCTTTCGAATCGTTCATGAGACCTGATTCTTCCTGAATGCCGAGCAAGAACTCAGGTGTCAAAAGGGCAGGTGCAGAAGGCTGTCACACTGATTCTTCACTGAGCTGTTTAACACTGAAGCCATCAGCTGAGAGCAAAGCTAAAAGAGCATTAATTGTAACACATCCCTACACACTGCCATGGGACTGGAGGCCAAAAAAGCTCACCCCGCCCCGGCACCCACTCAACTGTGTGCTGCCTCCCGTGAGGGGTTGAGCACAGTGGGTTTGAGTGAGTGAAGTTTGTCCCCGCCAGTGTTGAAATGGCTGGCTGGACCCAGAGCTGGTGCACTTCAGTTCTTGCCTACAAAAGGGTCAAGGAGACTCTCCCATCTCAGTTATCCCCAGTACTGTGATTCTTCACTAACGCAGAATGTATCACAAAATGTCTTGAAAATAAACCCTTTATTGACTCTCAATCTCAAGAAAATAAAAAAGAAGCTCAGTGGAATATAAAGACTCATTATAATCTGGCCCCTGTCTACCCTCAATCTGATATCCTGGCCAACCCTTCCACACTGACTTTCTGTGGCTGTGTTGCTTAATGGTTCAGAGCTCAGGCTCTAGAGCCAGATAGAGTGCTTGGGCTGGAAGCACTATATCTGTTGTGGTTTAAATATGCTTATAAGTTTTGTGAAGATTAATCAACCTAGGCAAATGGACTTGAAACAAACCTTAGCACATACTAAGTTATGTAAATGTAAGTCATTATTTTGTTTTTAGTTTTATTATCATCATTGTGAATAGCCTTTTCTTATTTGGTTTGATCATTTAAAATTGGAGGTAAGATATTGTTAAATACTTTCTGAAATTTAGCCATATGATTCAATTGAATTGAGTGTTCAATACCAGAATATTCATTTAATTACCAAGCTTTTGGAAAGATAATAGATCTATTTGAAGGACATAATGAAAAAGAAGACAGCAGCACAAAATGCTGGCCTCACTCTTCATCCCTATTAAGCTCCTACCTATGATACATGGATAGTTGGGGAGTGGGGGGTGGTGAAGGGAGAGAAATAGAACAAAACAAACCCAAACCAACTTTATATAAAACCATTTCATATGAAACTCTTCATAAGAATTTCCCTTGATAGCCCATGATGATACCATGTCTTTGGACATTGTTACTTGCCTCCTCTCTAATCAGAACAGCCTGTATTCCTCACCTTCTTTGGCTTTTATCTGACAAACCCATTTACCCCTCAAGCTCCAGTTCACGAGTAAACTATTCTTGGAAATCACCTCCGATCTCCTTAGATGTAGTATATCATTCCCTCCATCGTGTGCCCTGCACCAGGGGCATACCACTAACTTTAATTTATTAATTTGTATTGTGAGTTATTTGTAGGTGATCCAGTTTGTAAATAACAGAATGTGAGATCCCTTGGGACTGGGTTGTTTTATCCTAATTATCTAGAACAGTGGGAATGGATATACTCAACCAACATTTGTTAAATTGCATTGCAATACATCAAATGGTGTTTAAGTGAGAAGAAATCATACCACATAGGGGTTTTGTGTTTTGTCTATACCTAGGGAGCATTATATGTATGCAGGACACCAATAATGTATCTTCAGTGATGGGGTGGTAGATATTTACCGAGTTAAATTCATACTGACAAGTTGGGGGTTTTCCCCAGATATATTTATCTTGAGGCTCTACCTCTAGCACAAAATAGTAGAATGTTAGAGATAATTTATTTTTACTGACTAATTTTATAGAACAGAGACTGACTCAGGTTAATATATTGACAATTTTTACAGAGCTAAGTAGGAGAAGATCAAGTAGTTGAAACCAATTCTACCTGTCTCTAAAAAACACTTTAGGTTGTAATCTTTTGTTTCCCCCAAACTGTAAGTTTCATCTCAAATGGTTCACTTGTTTTGACTAGCCTTTTTTGTGCAATTCAGTACTGAATTTTAGACATCATATGTCTCATACCTAGCTCCAATCAGCTGCTATCTACTGTTATGTAATAAGTAGTGTGTAATATGCAATACATAGATATTGAACTTTCTTGACCCATTGTCCAAATATAATTTAGATAAGTTTCTCTAATGTATTTTTTCCTCAGCTTTGACCTTGACTCATCAAATTATTTCATGATTTTGTGGGTTTTCTTTTCCTTTTTTGAAGTTTTTATGTTAAGATTATGATTCTTAAGTCAATACTTAGACAACTGAAGATACATGTCCTTACAGGGCAAGCTGTTTATCTCAACTTTTTCCTCCCATAAATGACAATTATATGATTTTGCAATGTTTGCTGAAAAATAATAAGAATCAACAACAGTTAAGAGTTCAAGAAAGACTTAAAGCAGGTAACAAGATGATGCTAAGAGAATGTCAATAATGTGATTAATACTGTTTCTTGTGAAACATGTTTTTTTTTTCTGACCAAAAATCGTTCATTTCCTCTAACGTACACTCTGAAGAGATGAGAGAGAAAGAAATAGATATGTATCTAAATCTATGCACAACAGATTTATTGAAATATTATATACATCCCATAAAATACGTCTATTTAAAGTGTACAATTCAATGGTTTTTAGTATATACATTGAGTTATGCAGTCATAACCACAATCAATTTTGGAACATTTTTATCACCCCCCAAAAAACTCTTTATACATTAGCAGTCACTCCTATTACTCCTCCTACCTACCTGGCCCTAAGTAAGCACTAATCTACTTACTTTTCTACAAATCTGCCTATTCGGGATATTTCATGCAAAATAAATCATATAATATGTTTTCTTTTGTGAGTTATTTCTTTCAGTTAGCATAATGTTTTCAAGTTTCATTCATATTGTACCATGAATCAGTACTTTATTATTGCAGAATAATATTCTATTATATGGATGTACCCAATTTTATTTTTCTGTTTATAGACATTTGGGTAGTTTTTCACTTTTTGACTATTATGAATAATGTTATAGACATTTATGCACAAGTTTGCGGTGGATAGTTTTTTGTTTTTCTTGGATATATACCTAGGAGTTGAATTGCTGTCATATGGTAACTCTATGTTTAAACATTTGAGGAACGACAGACTGTTTTGCAAAGCAGCACTTTACATTCCAATCAAAAATTTATGAGGGTTTCAGTTTCTCCACATCCTTCCCAGTAATTGATACTCTGTTCCGTTTGTTACAACAGTTCTAGTGTGAGTGCAGTAGTATTTCATGTGATTTTGCTTTGCATTTCTTTCTTGGCTGATGATGCTGAGCATATGTTAATTTGCCTAATGGCCATTTGTATACCTTTTATGGAAAAATGTTTATTCTGCTCCTTTGCCCATTTTTAAATTGGGTTATTCGTCTTTTCTTGAGTTGAGTTCTAAGAGTAGAGTTCTTTATATATCCTGAATCTAAGTACCTTAACAGATATATGATTTGCAAATATTTTGTCTCATTCTTTCGCTGCACTGTTTCTACTTTCTCAATGGTACTATTTATAGCATGATGGTTTTTAATTTAGATAAAGCACACTTTATTCTTTTTTTATTTTCTCAATTTCACTTTTGGTAGCATATCTAAGAAAGCTTTGGCTAACCTGAAGTCACAAGTATTTACTATTACGGCTTGTTATTGTGAATTTTTAGTTGTTTTAGCTCTTACATTTAAGTCTATTATGTATTTTGAATTACTTTTTGTGTATAGTATGGGAAAGGTATTTTGACTTTATTCTTTCACATGTGAATATCTAGTTGTCTCAGGACTGTTTGTTGAAAAGATTATTTTTTCCTTAGGGAACTGGCTTTGTACTCTTGTTAAATATCATGCAATCTTGAATAAATAGAAGGAACTAATTTATTAAAGGAGAATATTTACAGATATATACTAAATATATTAAAGATAACTGGTTAAAATATTTTAAAAATGCCAAAATTATGTTTGTAACTTGTTAACATGATCAGGATTCTGAATTCTACTTGTATTAAAATAAATATTTTAATGCATACATCATATTTAATAATTATAAATTAATATTTATTTATTGCTATGTTTAGCTGATGACATTAGATAAACACAAAAGATTATATTTCTTAGTCATAAGTACTAAAAAATGGTTATGTTAAAGA
Organism: Homo sapiens; assembly: GCF_000001405.40. Lineage (NCBI taxonomy): Eukaryota > Metazoa > Chordata > Mammalia > Primates > Hominidae > Homo > Homo sapiens. The sequence continues at coordinate 14,016,322 of NC_000002.12, forward strand.
CATGGTTATGTTAAATTTGGGCTTATTTTAGGCAGCTGGTTCCAGCACAAAACAAAATTAAACTTAGCAGTCCTCACAATGTATTTAGCTTTTCTGATAGTATAATAGCCATGTTAAAAGTCACACAGTGACCAGAAATTGAATCAAACATCCCTGTTGTTTGCTGATTAGATCTGGGCAAGTTTCAAATTTGCTGAACCCAGGAGCACTGGAAGAACATTTTGTGTGACTTTCTTCTGCTTTGAGATCATAAGGGATCAGGTAGTGGCAACTGCAAACATGGGAAGGGAAGTTAACTTAGAGGGAGGTGGGAATAGGGAAAATGAAGATGAATCAAAGTAGGAGAAGCTTCTTACAGCAGACCTGTATTCCAGAGCAGGCTACCCACCCACTCTACACCTCCTTTCTCCTTCCACAATCACAAGTTTAGCTGGGCACTTTGCCACCCATAAAGTAAACCACATTTTCCAGGCTCTCTTCCAGAGAAGTGTGGCCATGAGACTGAGTTCTGGCAAAGATTTAAGCATACTTAATACATTTATTTAAGCAATTATATAAAGATAATGGGAGATTTTTAAGAGCCCTCTATAAAGGAAGTGATACATTAAAGAAGGAAACTAGTCATTAATATTAATGAGAGAGAGGGAGAGAGAGAGAGAGACAGACAGATAACAAGGAAATATAAATGCAACAAATTACAGGTGGTGAATCTGGACAAAGGATATGCGGAGGTTCTTTGTACTATTCTTGCAATCTTCTGTAAGATTGAAATTACCTCTAAATAAAATCATGTTAACAAAAGAAGTTTAAAAAAAAACAAAAACAAAAGAAGTTGTACTGGTAACTAAAATTCTTCCTTCCCAAAGACGCTAGGAAAAAAAAAAGTTTCCATTTAAAATAATTCAAATTTACAGGAAAGTTGCAAAAATAATACAGAGTTTATGTGTATATTTTCTCTGCTTGCTCTACTACTCACATCTTGCATAATCATATGTACTTGTCACAAGGTGTTAATACTAGGACAACACTACTAACACACCAGCAGATTTTATTCAGATCAATTTTGCTGGGTTTTCCACCAATCTACTTTTTTTTTTTTCTCCTTTTTTTTGGAGACAGAGTCCCACTCTGTCCCCCAGGCTGAAGTGCAGTGAGTGGCGTGATCTCGGCTCACTGCAATCTCCGCCTCCCGGGTTCAAGCAATTCTCCCACCTCAGCCTCCCAAGAAGCTGGGATTACAGGTGCCTGCTGCCACACTCAGCTAATTTCTTTTTTTTTTTTTGTATTTGTAGTACAGATGGGGTTTCACCATGTTAGCCAGGCTGGTCTTGAACTCCTGACCTCAGGTGATCCGCCTGCCTCAGCCTCCCAAAATGCTGGGATTACAGGAGTGAGCCACTGCGCCTGGTCCTCACCAAACTACTTTTGTATCCCACATTTATTATGCCTTCTTACTGTCCTCTAATCTATAAACATTCCTCAGTTATTCTGTGTTTTTCCTGACCTCGACACTTTTGAAGAATACTGGTCGGGTCTTTAAAAAAAATATCCCTCAGCTTCGATTTATTTGCTGTTTCTCACAATTAGGCTGGACTCATGCAGTTGTGGCAAGGAATACCCAAAGAGTGATGTACTTTTCTCAGTGGCTCATGTAAGGAGGTATGTGGTGGCAACCCAGCTTAATGCTGGTGATATTAAGCTTGATCACTTATCTAAGGCTGGGAATGTTGGTTTTCTCTGATGTAGAGTTATTATTTTTCCTTTGTAATTAATAAATATCATGGGTAATTGCAGACTACAACAGGAGTTACACCTCAAAATTATACCCACTAATTATAGGTTTCATCGGTGGATCCGTCTTGAAACAATTGCTACTGTAATGTTCTAGTGTTGATTTTTAATCCTCCTCTTTCATTTTTTAAGGATGAACTGATTTTTCCGACTCATTTATTTATTTACCCAATTATTTATTTATTTAGATCAATGCAAATTCATGTACCTTGATTTTAACCTATTTTAAATGCTCTTTTTTTGAAGGTGAGTTTAAATAATTATTTAAAAAGCAGATTTCCTTTGTTTTATGCAATGTGTTATGGACAATAAAAATTGAGAGTAATTTATTTAACTCATGTTATGAGCCAGGCATGACTCCAGAGAGCCTGAGGAGACTTCCAGCTTAGCTAACATTTAGCTGTGGGCTTCTCATAGGGTACCTATTGCCTTGACTGCATGAAGGAGGACACTATGACACAAATCTCCCTCTGACAGGTGAATGGGAGTCACCCCAGCCCTCAAGGAACTCATGGTCTAGTCTGGTGTGAGTGAGACATAAAACCAAAACAAGTTACCAGAGATTTGGGAGAAATTTTGGTGTCAAACTCCTACAAAAACTATTTTGATTTTTTTCTGAGCATTTTTTTTCCTGTAATTTTGAACATCGTGAATTATTAAATTGACTTTAAAAATTCCTCTCAGTGATTGCTTGAGCATGGTTCGTGATGCCATGTCAGCAAATATATTAGATCATTACACCAAGGTTTCTATTTTTATTTTTGTGACTTATTTTCCATCACTCCCCCTTTCTTTTTGCCGCTTCAATTTTTTACGGATTTGAGATTTTTTTTATATTTAATGTATTTTCATAAGCTGACAATTATTTTGTGGAGAAGAGGTGTGATCAATGAATAGATACTAGTATGACTATAATGATTACAGTGTAATATATTAACAGTAAACTAAATGTTCATAAATGATAATGGATGACAAATAGATGAAGAAGATGGATGTAATGAATTTTCTGGTGACTCTAAAGACGACTTGACAAAGGTTTAACTACAATTTGGACCTGGAATTGTAACTAAGAATTTAGTGGGCTGACTGGGGGCTGAGGATGTCTCTGATTTAAGGGCAAAGTCACAGTGCAGAACAACACAGAAAACTTCCTTTAATCTGTAATGAAAATATTTTTCTTTTTCTTACCTACCTAATATATTTACTCCAAGACCAATTATTAGAATGTAAACAAAGCATGTTGAGCACTTTTATAAACTTTATGTAGCATTATTAGCACATCTTTTTTTTTTTTTTCCCAAAAATGTGCTCGTTTGCAGGCAAACAATTTGTAGTTGGAAACACAAAATCTGACCTTTTATTTCTGTAAAATACAACTACAAACTTTTAGGGATGCATTTTTATTAAAAAAAAAAGTAAGTGACAACAGTCAGTATCTGATTTACTTTGAATCTAATTTTGAAAAATATTAATATTTAAATAAAAAAAAGATTTGCCAGTCTCTAAAACCTGGAATACATGTAATTTGACTCTCTTCAAATTGTTAACATTCAAAGTAACTGAATTATTGACATCAACAGTTGAATGGTGACTTCTCTATTTCTACAAATTATTTGATTACACGCCCTTAAGACAGCAAAATCAATTTGTCCTCTGACACTGTTCTGACGGATACTGTCTGATTGGTCTCACCTTGTCAATGGACAGCGCCTTTCTCTAAGAACAGACTTAATAGGAACTTCTTTGAATTCACTGAATTTCTTTCCAGCAAAAACACATATTCTTTCAAACCTTTATGGGGGAGTTAAATATTTTTTGTTTTGTTTCTTTGTAAGTTTTTTTTTCTTCCTTTGTTTTTGTTTTGGAGCATTCAAATTGTATTCTCCTTTGAAAGAAATTGCCCTACTTAAATATCAATTATTGATGTAAGCAGGTAGATAAGGCCAGTGCTGCAGTCATCTGTGTATCTAAAGTAGTCCATTTGATAGAAGGAGAAACTGTTTAGCATGTGATGGTGAGAACAAGGGCCTTATGTTCAGACAATTTGTATTCTGGCTGCCCCTCTTGAAAATAGCCCCAGGTGCAGTGGCTCACACCTGTAATCCCAGCACTTTGGGAGGCTGAGGTGGGTGAATCACCTGAGGTCAGTTTGAGACCAGCCTAGTCAACATGGTGAAACCCTTTCTGTACTAAAAATACAAAAAAAATTAGCCAGACATGATGGCACATGCTTGTAACAGGAGGCTGAGGCAGAGGGAATCTCTTGAACCTGGGAGGCAGAGTTTGCAGTGAGCTGAGATCACACCACTGCACTCCAGGATGGGCAACAGAGGGAGACTCTTGTCTCAAAAAAAAAAAAGGAAAAGAAAAAGGAAAAAGAAAACAACGTCACGTTCGGAAAATCACTTGCTCTACATTAGCATTGGTTTCCTTATTTATTTAATAAAGATTCTACATGTAGGCTGCCTGGCTAACAGGCACATTATTAGCAATTCTTTTTAAAATTATTATTAAATTGTCATGTTGAATCTGGTGCCTTAAAGGGTCAAAGATATCAAGCTGAGTTATACAAGTCAATATGAAAATAAAATTAGTAGTTATTTCGTTGAGCTTTCCTTTCCCCCATGGAGAAAACTAAACCCCAGAAATAGCTGTAGTTAGTCAGAAGGCTCTCATCAAACTGGGGCCAAAGCGAAGGCTCGAAAATCAATATGCTTACCCAAGCCAAAGCAACGTTGCACGGATTTTGTTGTGTTTCAATGTATCTTTTCTTTTCAGATTGTGTGATATGAAAAGAATGACCAAATGTACAAGTAGATATGTAAGTGGCATTTTGTAAGTGACAATGAAGCACTACCAGAACTCTGAGAGTTAATGTGCCAATGGATTCATCCACGACATGGTGAATGAGACCCTAGAGCTACAAAAGCTCTCTTAGAGATACACATTATCGCAATCCCAAAGCAAAGGTAGGAACACAAAACCTTATGTATATCGTAAATCAGTTTTGAGACAACTATACAGATAATATATCTAAAAAAGAGAGATCTTTCAGCACATAACATAAAAAGCAGTAGTGTTAGGCATGCTGGACTGTTAATGGAACAGCTCTTACTTTTGTTATTTGTTTTATATGGTTGTTGATTTTGATTCTAGGCATAGATGCATCAGGTTATTTTACTGGTATGTCACTAGCTATTCATCTCTTCCATTTGACACTTCTTGATTCATTTCAGGGATCATCCAATAACCATTTGATCATCGTTAGGCATCCTGTACAGCTTTTCTACATTGTGAGGCCTGTTTCAAATGGCAATTGTTTTCTCGATGAGAAGTAATAATGATCACCTGGATAAATAAATTATTAACCTGTTTTACTAGGAATCGATCTCCTTAAATTTATTTACTGAGAGAAGTAGGTGACTAGATATGTTGGAATAGCTGAGTGTGTCAGAGAACAAGGGCATTAGACCAGGCCAGAGAACACCAAGACCCTACTGTGAGGATTCTAAGACAGCCTAGGAGGGCCTGAGAATGAAGTCTGAGATTCCTCCTCTGACCAGCAAGGACAAGAGGTGGACTGGGTCACTGAAAAATGTGCCTCTTGTCTATGATTTAAACTTGTGGAGCAGATGGGGATTTAGGAAAACAACATTCTGGGCAAATTCAAGGTCAGAATCAGGGAAATGAGTAAAAAAATTACCTCTAAAAATAAGACCAAGTGAAGAGGAGTAGCCTTTGTATAAAGATAAAAGTTGTTTAAATCAAATTGTGCAGAGAAAATTTCTAGTTTAATATATGAAAAAGAAAAGTATACACAGTGGTTAAGAAAATAGGCAGAAAAATAACTGTGAGTTCAAAATCCAGCCCTTCAACTTTTGTGAGTTCAAAATCCAGCTCTTCAACTTTTCTGCATACTGAACACTTACCCATGGAACTCTGTTATTATAGATATATACGTATATCTATAATAATATATATTATATATATATTTCCCCATTTTTAAATAGTTCTGACTCATAGTAAATACTTAATAAATGCAAAATGCAGAAAGAGATGTGTCCATGGTTCTCTCAGCTGCTGAGTTATACATGCTCAAAACTTTTAAAGAGGTCAAAGTAGAACAGATGGCAGCCTGGAAATAACTGAAAATAACAGGCCACAAACAAATGAAGGTATAGAACTGGGCCAGTACATAATTGGACCAGATTGGAATGATTATAATATGACCCAAGAAGCCAGCTTCAGGCCTCAAGGCTTAGAGGGAACAACCAACTATGAGTGAAGATGAAATGAACAACATGTATATTTCTTCATGTTCACACAGTAATTCTTTATCAGTTATATCTGTTAAGTGTCATATATTAAAATTTCCATTTCATGGACAAGGAGTCTAAGCAAGAGAAAATAGAATAACTTGCCCAATATTAAGAAAATTATTTAAGAAACATAAAAAATTAGCTCTGTTGTGGTAGAGAAATAATACAGAAATAATATTCATTCATTCCACAAAGAATAAGAAAAGCATCTTAGTAAACAAGGCAAATTAACTCCCTTCCCTTATAGATAATATTTCTCTGCTGTGATGGCACAGAATATAAACACACAGTCATTTGAAAAAGTAGTGCCACTTATTTGCTAGATGACATTTATTGGGCAGAGTGAGGTTGGGACAGGAGATAGTTCTGTGATCATTCCTGTTCGTTAAGCATGAATTTAAATGCATACTTTGCTAAGTTTTTTAAAATTCTGTTGTATAAAAGGAATATTTGTTTTTTCTATTATAGGACTAGGGAAAAGCTTAAGAACCATTTAAGGGCCTTCCATTCAGAGAGAATCATCAGTTAAAAATTCTTAACATGTTATTTCAAGCTGCCTAGAGTTGAATGTCTACAAAATATGATGTTTGGGGATACCACGTAGCTTTGGCAGTAGAGAGTTATGGCAGAAATACATTGTACTGGTTTTCTGAGATAGGTAGCTGCTTGTGAATATGCTGAAGATCTTGGAGAACAAAAATGGCAAACTTGGGTGTTTATAGTTTCAGTCCAAGACATATATAGAAAATAGACATTTTCTATGACAGCTCTGTTATATCGACATAGGATTTCATGAAACCAAATTCTAAGTTGTACTCATCAAGTGTCTGAATTACAATGTTAATTGAATTTATAGCCTCTTTAGGTCTCTTATGTTCAGATCAGAAATAAATGTGACTCTAATAATTGGTATTGAGATCTTAAATCCCAAAATCCCAGTGGTGAAGGAAGAAATCTTTTCTCCCCATAGGAGGAGATTTGCTTCCCCAAGACCAAAAAGCTTAATAATAAATCTCCCAGAGGCAGCTGCCTTGCACAGGCAAGTTGAATCTCCTTAACACTCACTGTATCCCTCTCACTTTTCAAAACCTATGTTGAGATCCAAATCTGAGTAGATACCGAAGAGTATAAACACAAAGTCTGAGAAGCGTTGCCATACATACAAAAATATTGCAAAATTTACCAACTCACATATGTAGAAAACTGGGAAATATGTATTAGAATGGACTCCAAAGGCATTTGATGAAGGCGAGAAGAATGTAAGGTTGGATTAGCATCACAGTAACCAGAGTGTTGGGATTCAAAGTTTATGGAAGCAGCTTGAATGAAACCCAGATTGAATGGCAACATTGCTTCCATTGTTTCAATCACACTATCCCACTTCTGCCACTGGATTGCTTTAGCCGTATTCTGCTGTTTTTGCGTGTTTTGTTGAGTCTCGGAAATTCTTGTTCTAGTCTCAGTATTACTGAAGCAAATTTCCTGTTGGAGATACTTTGACAACATCCGTATTCTATTGGAGGTCTGAGAATTGTTCGTTGTTTCTCAGCAGGCTTCTCATGTTGAAATCATTATAAGAATATGCAGGTGTTACTCATGATTTGTGGAATGCGTTTAAGAAATTTTCTTTTAAATTATTCTATTTTTTCTCTAGTTCTGTTTTCTGTGTGTTTTAACTATATAGGGTAATAGTGGATTTATTCTGCTGGCTTTAACTACATGATATTTTAAATAAGAACAGAGGCTTAGTGAGATTAAATAGTTTGACTAAATGCACACAGCAGCTGAGAATTAAAAACTTGTCTGTCTGGATCCATAATATTTTTTATTAGAAAGAAAATAACCCAGTCTTTCGCCAAGGGAAAAAATCTTATATACCAGCATGTGACAAGACTAGGGTTCTTACTAAACTTTTTGGCATGAACATTGGCAATGGGAAATGTCCTAACCTCACAGATAATGCCGTCTAGCTCAGCATCTCTAAACTTGCATTCATGGTGGGACTTAAATTTCAAGCTTAATAAGATTAAGAAGAAAATATTTAGAATTAAAGTAATGCTGGTAACACAGTGACATCAAATTTAAAATTTCTTACTTTGAACTCTAGCTTATCTACTTATTTATTTTATAGTACTCTTCTCTGCTTCCTACTATATCTTTTCCTCCAAACAGGATTGCACAGTGTAGCAACCAAATATAAATATCATAAATTTTATATGCAAATCCACCTTTATCTGTGACTATTATCCACACTACATGAAGCAGCATGGATTTGAAGAAAAATGATGCAAATGGGGAAAACACCTTACTGCTTTTTTGCTTTGCTTACCTCAGGCTCAACATCTTTAAACTCCTGTTTTAATGTCTGTAAAATGAGAATAACATTCTGCAGTGTTGTGGAAGATTAAACATGCTTGGTATAAAGTATTCACACAACATTAATATTAACACTGTACTGCGTATACAATCTTGGGCACCTTGACCTTTTGGAATCTGTTTCCTCACCTTCTAAACATAAACAGTCCCATTTACGCGTAGAGTGTTGTCGTGACAAATGCAACATAACCAGCACTCTCATGAACTAAGTGTAAAATTGACACAAACGCCCATGACTGTCTCTATCCAACCCACATATCTTTTATAAGGAAGTGAAAAAGGAGAGCAAAATATTAATTTAACCCAGAGGGGATTATTTTCATTAAGTGTTGTCTCCAAATGATGAGGTTTACATGTCATTCCTGAAACAGGTGTAGTTAGAGGTCTTGCTGAAGACAAAAACAAAACATACAGTAGATGCAGTGGATGAGAGAGTAATTCACAAGCCATGCCTCCTTGATGTAAAAAGCTCTACAATATGTCTGTTGGGGGATATAGAAAGAGTAGGTACTTTCTTTGCCCTTTATAAAGTAGTTAGGAGGCAAAGTAAAGTGGACATTTTTATAACATTTAGGACAGGCATTATGGCAAATTATATCAGAAGCCTTCAAGAATGTATTACCTTTAACCCAAGAAAATTTTGTCAATCACTAAGAAAATAATCAAGGTTTTATGCACAGATTCACTTCAATGTAACTAAATAAAATTATTATAAAATTTAAAATATAAATGTTATAACTTAGAGTGTAACATAAATATCCGTACATTTAAACTGAGATAAATAAATACTTGAATAAACATATACATAGGGGAGGATAAACAAATTTCCCATGTAGAATCATTCCAAATAATTTTTTACCTCAGAAACTATCTTGGGAGCAATGATCAAAGTTAGCATCGTCAGTGACAAGTCATGGTAATAGTATAGACCCTTGATATGATGTGATGGAATGACACTTTACCTCTGTGGTCTTCCTCCCAAAAGCCCATTACTCAAGTCTAATAATAAGAAAATTATCAGACTCATTTCAATTCAGGGACATTTTACAAAATATCTGACTAGTGCTGCTCAACATTGTCAAGTTCATCAAAAACATGGAAAGTCTGAGAAACGGTCACAATTATTAGTCCTTTTAATCAGAGGACTGTTAGGCTCTAATTAATTAGAGTCTGTTTAGGCTCCGAATAAGAGCCTAAATACTAAATACTATATAAAACATTACATACTAAATGTAATGTAGCATTCTAGATGAGGTCATAGAACAATAAAAAGACATGAAGTAAGGTTTAAGGAAGTTAAAATAAAAAATGGATGTTGGTTAATAGTAATAATAATTCAATATTGGTTAACTAAATGTGACATATGTACCTTAATAGTATCAGAAGTTACTAATAGGAGAAACTGCATATATGGAAATTCTGTACTATCTTCACAAGAATTCTGTGAATCTAAAACTGTCCTATAATAATAAAGGTTATTAAAAAATAAAAGCTAGAAAAATTGAATTATAAATAATATAGTCTGTTCGCTAGTAGAAAAAATATTTGTCTTCCAAATGTTTAAGAGTGATAAATCTGTACTATAGGATTATGAATAATTTTAAATTTTCACATATATATAGATACACTATATATATATATATATATACACTCTCTATATATATATACACTCTCTCTCTCAATATATATATATACATACTCTCTCTCTCATATATATATATACACAAATGCAGGAATATAATTTTAGTTAAAATCTATACTATAGGATTATGAATAGTTGTAAATTTTTCATATATATAAACATACAAATAGGATTTTGTTAGTCAAGAAACTTAATAACTTTACTAATTTTGACCCATCAAGTCAGTTTACAGGAATTTATTCTAAGGAAAAATAAAATATAAGTATAAAGTACATGCTCATATACGATTTCTACCACCTTAACAATTAGAAATAATATAATCTCAAAAAAATTTGATTTTTAAGGTAATACATTGAGAAAAGACAGTCATTAAAATATTTTTTTCAAAAAAACCCAGAAATTATGGTAGAGAAGAATGCTTTCAACAATTTTAAGATACAAAGAGCCTTCAAGTATATACACTAAATGCTTACAATGAAAAATGTTCGCATATTCATATTAAGCACATAGAAGAAAAGTAAGGTTTTGCCCACCTATCAGCTTGTCAACCCTTCCTGGTTTGCTTATACCTCAGTGTACTGGGGGAGGGAGTCTGTCATTACAGATTAATTTTAAAGGCTTCCAAATGGGTTTGGCCAATGGGATGTACTGGTGGGAAATTGGAAGGTGGGAAGGGAGGTAAGGCCAAAGTTATTTCTTCCCTTCCTTTTCTGTCTTGCACAGCATCTCAAGTTGCCAGTAAATCTCCTCTTCAAATTCTGGTTATGCCAGGGTTCTGGGCTCCAATAAAATCTCCCCCTTCCCTATATCCCTCCAATCTAAGGGTAATACTGTCTTCTGCTATTGTTAATCTCTTGTTAGCTTAAGATCTGCTGTTTCAAACTCTTTCAACTTCTGTGTAATTCATCCAGTGCATTGAATTCCTCCTTTTTAAATACTCAGAGTTAATTCTGTTTGATTGTGCCCCTGCTTATATAGAAACAAAATTACACTTGTTAATTTGGGGTGATCTGTTTACTGATATAAGTTCAAAAATGGCGTCATTAAAGACACTATTATATTTAACAATCCATTGTTTCTCAATAAGATTTTGGAGTATTTCTTCCATCAGAACTGCATGTTGTTCTCATCTCTGTGTATATATGGTTATTGTAGATGGTTGTCTTCTCATTAGCTGTTATAACTAGCTATTATATATACATATGTGTGTGTGTGTTCAGAATTCTCAGAGTAGACTTATTTTTCTTCCTCTGGATAGACTATTGAGACAGGTCCACATCTCATCTGTCTATGTCTGAGATACAGAAATTTTTTTAAAGCATTTTCCTTATTGTTGTATATCCTTATATATATATATATATATATATATATATATATATATATGAGAAATATGTGTATTATATATATATTTATATATATAATAGAAACCGATTTCTTTTGATTATGTATGTCAAACAACTTACTCTTTTGCAATAAAGTTTTATTTTATACTCTAGGATTCTGAAAAATTTCTGTCCTGCCACCCACCTGCCAATTTTCAACATAAATTATAGTTTAAGAATATAGGTTTGGAGTCAAAGATGCATAAATATGAGTGTCAGTTTGGGCACCTTATTTATGAAGCACTTGGTAGACAAAAAGTTACCCTCTTCATGTTTGACTTCTACCTATATAACTTGATAATTTCTATTAGTAGATATCCTAATATTGATCATTTTTAACCTCAGAAAGATTGAAATAGATGTATTAATTTCTTCTAGTTAAAATGCATATTTGTTCTTTTTTATTTATAATAGCTTTTCTCTGTAAGCTTATATTCTGTAAAATTCATTCACACATGTTTAAGATGGTAAAAAGCCTGTAAGTTATTTGATGCCTGCAAAACTGCTCTCATAGATGTTTCATGAGGTCTCTGTGTCCCTTGCATCAGTACATTTTTCTGCATGGACATCAGGACATGATTTCTTTGTATCAATTGTAACTACTCAATATTAAACATTCATTCCTCAAGTATTTAATAAATACTTAATCAGTGTCAAAGATTGTCTTACACATTGGGAATACATCAATAAGAAAAATACCTTAAAAATTTCTATACCTCAGGCACAGACAGAGGAGATATGCACAGGTCTCAATATCTATAAAGAGGAAGAAAAAAATGTCCACCCTGAGAATTCTTAAACACGTACTCAAGTTGAGTTTTCTTTTTTTTTTTTTTTTCTGAGACACAGTCTTACTCTGTCGCCAGGGCTGGAATGCAGTGGTGCAATCCCAGCTCACTGCAACCTCTGCCTCCCGGGTTCAGGTGATTCTCCTGCCTCAGCCTCCCGAGTAGCTGGGATTACAGGCACCTGCCACTACGCCCAGCTGATTTTTTGTATTTTTAGTAGAGACGGGGTTTCACCATGTTGGCCAGTCTGGTCTCGAACTCCTGACCTCGTGATTCACCCGCCTTGGCCTCCGAAAGTGCTGGGGTTACAGGTGCAAGCCACCGCACCCGGCCTCAAGTTGAGTTTTATGATTGAATTCACATTACCCATATGCTCTTACTCTCATGCATAAAAATGGAAAATTAAGTTTAGAAAAAGTCTCAAACTAGTTGTATCAAAGTAATCAAGTGCATTTTTTATCTAAAGGCAAACATTGAATACTGGGTCTAAAAATAAAGTTCTATTAAATATAAGCTCATAATTTCATAATTTTAAAAAATGCTAGGTAGGCTCTCAAGGTAGAATTTCCTCAATCCCATGAATGATAGTAAACAAACAAACTGCAAGATAAATCTCAAAAGCCTGTACTTATCAGAGTTCTCAGACATAAAATATTAATATTTCAAAATATGTTTAAAATTACATAAGCAATAAAAGGATGATGATAGAGCAGAGAATTATCAGAAGAGTTCAGGTATATTTTAAAAGTTAAAAAGAATTTCTAGAAATTAAAAATTTAATATTTGACATAATACAGTCATTGGATTCATTAAATGAGCAAATTAAACATATATGAAAAATAGATTAGAGCAGAAAAAGTATTTTAGAATGTAGCAGAAAGAAGCAATAAACAGAAATTATGAAAAACATCAAACAAATGGACAATTAAGTAAGAGTCTTCAGGATATAATTAAGTAGAATCCAGAGAGAAAGCAAATACAGAGGCAATAAATAGAAATTGACTATATTCCAGAATTGATAATAATAAGCAACCCTGAAATTCACAGTTTAGTCAACTTTAACAAGATAAATAGAAAGAAATTCATAAATAAGAAGTTTACTCTCAGGCTATAGAACATAAGAAAATAAACCTTGGAGGAATAGCAACTAAAATTCTATCAGTATAGACATTGAAAATGCATGAATTTTAGAGCTATTTTAAAATGTGAAGTGCACCTGACTATATGATGATTTGAACATGGAGTGTTAGAAAGACTGAGGTACCAATGGTGGCAGTTAGGTTTGTAACTTGCTTCACCTACTGGATGTGGAAGCTACGCTATGACATGAGAAACAATGGGAAGGAATCCAATCTGGCATGCAAAGCAGGAGAAGAAAGCAAATAAATAGGGGTCGAGAAATGTTGTCTTTGAGGTACTTATGTTTATTCAAATTGAGAAATCAAGCAGTCAGGTAGCTAGACAGGTAAGGGATAATCAAAGGAAGCTCTTAAGTGTGGATTTATATTTGAGAGTAATCAGCATCAAGGTGGTGATTAAAATGTTGGGAAAGCATAAAATTGTCTGGAAACAGATTATAGAGAAGGAAAGTTGAAGGTCTGGGGAAAAATGTTAAGGGACTCTAAAATCTAATGGCTAAATGTTGGAGAAGCCTATAAAGATAATCATAAAATGGGAACCAACAGAGATGGATAAAACAGTGACATTTTCATTCTGGTTAAGCCTGGAGTGCATGGTGTAATTGAAACCAGGTGTGTTTAGAGAAAGACGAAATAGAAAAATCAATATGTGGAATAAAAAAGATGTCCTTTGGATTTAGCAAGCTGGAGGTATTTCAAGAATTTATCAAAATGTGTTTCAGTTGGGTGGATCAGGGAAATAGCCACACTGGAAAGAGATGAGGGGTTAGAGGGAAATGAATGAATGTGGACAATAAATTGGAAAATTATTTCAAAAAAATTACTTGTCAAAGGGAGATTTATGAAGGGTATTGGTTCACAGAAAAGTTTGTTTCAAATGTCCATATATATGTATGTTTATGGGGTTGGAAAAAAGAAGAGTAATAAATATCCTGATAATCCTAATAATGGGAAAGGGTTGGAGTCCAGGGCACAAGGGGAGGGATTTTTACTACACCAATCAGTAATATGTTCTGTATCACAGTAATCCTCAAAATAGTTTTCAGACCAGCAACAACAGCATCACTTTGGAATGCCTTAAAAGTCAAAGTAGGGACCAAAAATCAATAATTTAACAAACTCTCCAGGTAATTCTGATACATGCTAAAGTTTGAGACTTACTGATCTATTGCAACAAAACAGAAAAATGAAAGGATGAGTGTGACGTAACCAAGGTTTATGTGTTTGCTGAATGGAAGTAAAGAGATTTCCCATCTGACAGCTTACATGTTCTTAGTTAAGAAGGAAATATCAGTAATATTGAAAGAGGAAATGAGTTGGTCACATTTCAAGGAGGAAAAAAAATGTTTCATTCAGAGAATGAGTTGACTCAACTATTATAGTTTCCTGGGAAACTGAGGTCCTGTTTGAGGTTTGCAATCATTAAATAATAGTGATACACTGTTGTGTGTGTGAACTTTTCCAGTACTGTTAAGAAGTTAATTTGAAAATGGGAAAATAGACACTATTATCTGTTACTGTAAAATTCAAATGTCAATGATAAGAAGGTATGTCCAAGAGCAATAGTGGAATGATAGACTCTAAAATTTAAGTTGAATAAGAAAATAATTAAAAGTAAATAGTGCTGGAAATTGAGCAAATGTACATTTCTTTTTTTATTATAATTTCTGGGGTACACGTGCACAAGGTGCAGCTTCGTTACATAGGTATACATGTGCCGTGTTGGTTTGCTGCACCCATCAACTCATCATTTACATCAGGTATTTCTCCTAATGCTATCCCTCCCCCAGCGCCCACCCTCTGACAGGCCCCTGTGTGTGATGCTCAACTCCCTGTTTCCATGTGTTCTCATTGTTCAACTCCCACTTATGAGTGAGAACATGCAGTGTTTGGTTTTCCCTTCTTGTGTTACTTTGCTAAGAACGATGGTTTCCAGTTTTATCCATGTCCCTGCAAGGGACATGAACTCATCCTTTTTTATGGCTGCATAGTATTCCATGGTGTATATGTGGCACATTTTCTTTATCCAGTCTATCATTGATGGGCATCTGGGTTTGGTTCCAAGACTTTGCTATTGTGAACAGTGCTGCAATAAACATATGTGTGCACGTGCCTTTATAGTAGAATGATTTATAATCCTTTGGTTATATACCCAGTAATGGGATTGCTGGGCCAAATGGTATTTCTAGTTCTAGATCCTTGAGGAATTGCCACACTGTCTTCCACAATGGTTGAACTAATTTACACTCCCAATAGTGTAAAAGTGTTCCTATTTCTCCACATCCTCTCCAGCATCTGCTGTTTCCTGACTTTTTAATGATCGCCATTCTAACTGGTGTGAGATGGTATCTCATTGTGATTTTGATTGAGCAAATGTACACTTCTTAATATGAGGAGTTGATTAAGTAAAATTTAAGGAGAACTGGTTGAATTAGACAGCTGATTAAGTGAATTGGTGATCTTATAGTTGGAGTTTTTTCAGATTTTTAGAATGTAACCTGCGAGTGGGTGCTAACTTGAAGTAAAGAAATCCACTGAAGATGGCCAGGAAATTGGAAGAATTATTTGTAGTAGATAAACAGCCATGACGATGGATCCTGATGATTCTTGATTTCTGGTTTTTACAACCTTGTGTACTTTCCTCCTCATATGGTTTGGCTGTGTCCCCGCTCAAATCTCATCTTGAATTCCCACATATTGTGGGAGGGACCTGGTAGGAGGTAATTGCATCATGGGGGCAGGTCTTTCCCGTGCTGTTCTCATAATAGTGAGCAAGTCTCACAATATCTGATGGTTATAGAAAGGGGAGTTTCCCTGAACAAGTGCTCCTTTTTTGGCCTGCCGCCATACACGTAAGATGTGACTTGCTCTCCTTGCCTTCTGCGGTGACTGTGAGGCCTCCCCAGCTGCATGGAACTGTAAGTCCAATTAAACCTCTTTCTTTTGTAAATTGCCCAGTCTCAGGTATGTCTTTATCAGCAGCATGAAAACTAACAACAATACAGTAATACAGTAAATTGGCATCAGTAGAGTTAGGTGCTGCTGAAAAGATGCCTGAAAATGTGGCAGTGACTTTGGAACAGTTTGGAGGGCTCAGAAGAAGACAGGCATGCAAAAAGATTAATACACCTCCCATATTGAATCATGGCCTATCTGCATGACCAAGTGAATATTGAGGAAGTGATAGTGTGTGATTTTTCAGGTTTTGCCTATTTTTTATAATTTATTTTGACTAACTTAAGTTAGCCACTTGCCATGTAAACAATCCAGCAGCTCCCTGGAGAGGTCTGTGGTGAGAAACTGACATCTCCTGACAAACGCAGGAAGGAACTTGCCAGTCATATGAGAGAGCCCCTTTGGAAGTAGATTCCTCCAGCCCCTGTCAAGCCTTCAAATGACTGCAGACCCAATTGACATCTGACTGAAATTGATGAGAGCCCTCAAGCCAGAACCACACAACCAAGTTCCTCCCTAATTTCTGACCCACAGGGAATGTAAGAGATAATGTATGTTTATTGTCATATTATGCCACAAAATTTTGGAACAACAATAGAAACAATTTCTATTGTTGTTATACAAGAATAGAAAATGAATGCAGCATTCATGTAAATATTGTGGTTGTATATTATGATTACAAGGAAAAAATGGAATAAAAAGAATTAACCAGTTTCTAAAATCTTTGAAAAATATTACATCTTGCATAGATTATTATGGAAAACCAGGAAAGGGAAGGGGGAGGGAAGGGTATTCAAGTTAATTTTATAAAGTGGGTGATGAGAATTCTTTAGATTTCTGTTTTCTTACCCTTGGTTAAATGCAGTTGACAAAATCTACAAACTAAAGCAATCTTATAGTCAGTTTTGGCTGAGCAGATCAAGACAATTATATTTACTTTTTTTTTTTAAAGAATAGTTACTGACAATAAACAAATTTGTTGTTCCCTTCATTTCCTCTCATAAGCAAAGGCAAGATGATACCAAATATTGCAATGTATTAAGTACTTATAGTAAGCTCTTCCAGATCAGGGTAGTTTAATCTGTGCTATGAAAAGGATATATTTTTCAGGCTGGAGTAAAAGAGAATATTAGAGAAAACGCAGCAGCATTTTTTTCTAATCTGCACTTTTGCCTCTAAGACCAGCTTCCTGCAAAAGTATTTGGGAATTAGAGTGTAACATCCTGGAGAGGGAAAGAGGTAGAGTGGAGATGGTGGAATGGAAGCCACTGACCGTGCCATGCCTCTTCACTGGGATGTACCTAACAGTGAACACTTACTTTACCTCCTGTGCTTTATTTAATTTTTTAAGTGTTCCTTTAATTTTTAACAATGTAAGATATATCGTGATTTGACTTCATGTTTAAGCCCCTTTATCTTTTTTAGCCAGTTGGGTTTAATAAAACGCCCCTTTATTCTTGCACAGTAAGCATTCTTCACAGACTTCTGAAGATAACTCTGAACATCAAAATCAATATGATGGAAAGCTTGGTAAATTAATACTCCCAAAATTCTAAACCTTAATTAAAATAACCACTATGTAAATTAAAAATGGAGGTGAAGGGCAAACAAGAGTTTTTATGCATACTTGTTTTTGTAAATTCTAAAATAAATTCTGATAGTCGTTGCCTTCCAAAAATGAACACCTATTGAAAAGTTGAAACTCAAAGTGTTTATATGTTCTAAAATTGTAGCACTGAGAAAAAGAAGGTGAGAAATTAGTTTCATAAACAATGTAATGACATTATAAGGGATGAGGTGAAAGGAATGACACTGATCCTTGTAATTAATATTTATGATACGGTTATATTTGTTGTCAATATGGGAATAATGAATTAATCTTGAAAACCTTAACCATATGGATATGAGAAATAGGAAATCTCTTGGGCATTTATGAAGGAGACCTTGCTAGAATTGATAGAATATTGTTATTTCATTATTATGTCAGATAAATATTTATGAGGATAAGCAAGCATTAAACATGTGAATTTAACAATGGAATTTTGAAAAGTGTGTCTACCAAACAAAGTTTAAAACCAAAAAGACAGGCAAAATTCTGTGATTGTCACAGGAACAAAATACATATTTAAACAATTTTTGTTCACAAGAAAATATTTCAAAGTTTTGAAGATGTGATCTTTTTTTAGGATGCTCAACAGGAAGTTAACATGTATTTCACAGATGCCTCTTGAAAATATCCTTTATATACAATATGAGGAAACAGAGATATAGATATGAATTTGATTATCTGCTGTCCCCAAGGCACCTGTAATCCAGTTAGAGGTAGGCATGAAAATAATTAAGGATAAAACCGAATGGAATAAGAGATACATAAAGGAAAAAGCGAAATGCTACAGAATGCAGGAATAGCATACATCAATAGTCAAGTGAAATCGCATAGAAAAATAGACATTTGAACCTAAATTACAGAAAACAGAAAATAATTGTTGCTGTTTTGTGAATTGCTTCTTTTATAGTCTATACTTGAAAGCAGGCTTCTCCATTCCTGTCTCATGTCCAACTCCATCTTAGCACCATCAGTGTGTGAAATTATCTCAACCCTGACACTGAAATTCTCATCTTATTTAATAATTTGAGTCTTTTTATTCATGCTTGCTTTACTATGAATGAAATTTTGTATTCCCTAGACCTTCCTTCCTACTCCTTTTATTCAAGCCTGAGATTACACTTATTTCTATGAAGAAAAGTACTCTTTATTCACTTATCTTTTTCAAAGCAAATAGCAGCTTTATATAGTAGTATACCTTTCCCACTTAATCCTGATGAGAAAAACTGTAGTTTCTGTTGAGAGAGAGATCTAGATTTCCTAAAGGAAGATGAATTTATGGATTCATGAACAGAACGGACTAGTTGAGATAGGAGTTTCAGTGCTTTAAAATGTATTAAGCTACCAAAAGTGGCCTACAGATTCAATGCAAGCCCTATCAAAGTCCCAGTGCCATTTTTTTTTCAGAAATAGGAGAAAACAATTCTAAAACTCATATGGAACTGCAAAGGACCCTAAATAGCAATAATAATCTTATGTTCTCTGCCTCAGTTTCCTATGTTGATGTTTATGCAGGGGACGTACACCTTACATAATTCAGGGAAAGTATGAGAGCTGACTTAACATTCTTGTTTGCCAACTGTAACAGCTGGGTCATCTGGATTGGTCTCAGTTTCTTATCTTTTATTTTGAGAGGTTCATGTTTTCCTTTTACTTCACATATCAGATAATTTTGGATTGTATCCTGGAAATCAAAAATGTAGATTCTGTTATTTTTCTGTTGTGAGTATGCTGCTTTTGTTTTATAAATAATTGGCTTGGTTGGACCCAGACTACAAACTATTTCTTGGGTGGCAAACACAGTTCAATCTTTTGTCTTTAACTGAGCAGCTGGGTCTGCTCCATATGTGCCTTGATCTGACATCAGTCAGGAATGTGAAAGACAGAATTTGGGGAATCCCTCTCTGGCTAATTTACTTCTGAAATCCCCCATCTCTTTCAAAACTTCCATAACTTCCCTGAAGAACACATTCTTCATGAGGAAACCCCATGGTTCCGTGAGTGGTAACTTATTCTGTCTCCCAAATGGAAGAGACAAAAACAGACAACTTAGTCCTGAAAGTATTTCTGCTCACAAGAGGACTCTGTGTCAGATTATAACTGCTTCTCTTTATTATTCAGGTAGCTGCTTTCTGTATTTCAAGATCTGCAGAGGGGTCATTTTAGTAGACTCTTAGTCATTCTCTGAGGACATTTAAAAACCCTTCTGAACTTAAATTGATATCTTTTTTTTTGGTCTTGCTCTGTAGGAGCAATGATGCCTGTCAAAACAGATCTGTTAATATTTTGTCAGGAAAATATGTCCTTAGGGAAAGACACATTTTTCTATTTCAGGTGTTGGAAAAGACTTCATATGTATTTAATATTTTAGTAAATGTGAAATGAAGCCTGCTATTTATTAGATATTTTTTCTAAGTCCATGCAGATATGATTGGGATGGTATAGAGAAAGAAAAGTAAATTACATGCACATTTTGTTTTCAAATAGTTTTCAGTTTAATACAACAGGGAAGAAATATGCTTTGATATAGATGATAAGTAGGTAGGTAGGTATATAGATAGATAGATTTAAGTGTAAAAAGAATAGTTCAGATGAGCTGAGCTCAGTGACACATGCCTGTGGTCCCAGCTACTCAGGAAGCTGAGGCAGAAGAATCATTTGGGCCTAGGAGTTTGAGGCTAGCCTGAGCAACATAGCAAGACCCTGTCTCACACAAACAGAATAGTTCAGATGAAGTGTTGTAGGAAAGCAGAGAAGAATGTGATAAGCAGAATAGAATCACCTCTTCCTGTGTCAAGATGCCTATTCTCTAATCACTGGAATCTGTGAATATATTACCTTAAAGGACATAAGGGATATATATATATCCCTTATAATATATATGTATATATATATCATATATATATGATATATATATCATATATATGATATATATGATATATATATCATATATATGATATATATGATATATATATCATATATATGATATATATGATATATAGTGTATATATGTGTATATATTATACATATATATGTATATGTATTGTGTATATATGTGTATATATATGATATATATATGTATATATACTCAGATATATTAAGATTATAGATCTCAAAATGGGAAGATTTCACTGGATTTTACATGACCCCAATGCCCACTGTAATTACAAAATCCTTACATGCACAGAACTTTTCTTGGTTGCAATCAGAGAGACATTTAAAGGCAGAAGAAGGGTCAAAGAGATGCAACATTGCTAGCTCTGAATATCACTCTGAGATATTAACAATTGAGCTGAGGTTTGAAGGAGGCAATTTGAGAAGGAAATAGCATTGCAGGCAGAAAGGGGATGTACAAACACTCTGATGTGGAAGAGTACATTGAGCTTTCCAATAAATTAAATTCCAGGAAAACTAGAGATCTGAAAACAAAATTGTGAGAATTACTATGGAAGAAGGCAAGGGTCTAGCATACAAATGCTTTTGTCTACATTAAAAATTATGTCCCTTATTCTTAGAATAATGAGGAGTTTTATTTTTCAAGATATGAGCAGTCAAAACTGGAGGATAGGGTCAGTTCAGGAATGACCCTCATATTCAGACTAGAAACACTGGGTCCAAAGGAAAAGACTGGCTTCTTATGGGCCACCATAATGTTCTTTTTATTAAAACTGTTCCTCTAGTTGTCTTTATTCAGAGATAAAGACAGGCTGCAGTAGTCAAAACTATATTTTTATTATGGATGGATTTCTTTATGTACAATGAAAGAAACAGACTGGAAGAAAAAACCCTAGAATCTAGGAGAGCAATCAGGATGAGGTTGCACTAATAGAAGAGAAAAACTGAAATAATGGAAGTGAACATAGAGAAAAGTGGATAAATTTTAAGAAGATATTTAGCAGACAAAACCATAGGACAGTCCATTTGATTGGATAAGGTGCATTACAAAAATATGAAAGGGTTATTTGCAGGTAAAAATACAGTTCAGAGGCTGGGCGCAGTGGCTCATGCCTGTCATCCCAGCACTTCAGGAAGCCAAGGCAGGTGGATCGTCTGAGCTCAGGAGTTCGAGACCAGCCTGGCCAATATGGTGGAACCCCTTCTCTACTAAATATGCAAAAATTAGCCGGGTGTGGTGGCTGACACCTATAATCCCAGCTACTCGGGAGGCTGAGGCAGGAGACACTCTTCAACCCTGGAGGCCGAGGTTACGATGAGCAAACTTAACAAGGATAAGGAGAGGGATTACAATTATTAAGTGTTGGATGTTCACATCCACAGAGTCACTGAGACATTTAAAAGTAGATAAGGTTTACAAATCTAGAAACAATCCAAGAATGTACTATCTCACTTGATTATAGATGATCCTTATACAATGTGATACTCTTAAAACAGAAATGCTTACAGTATACCAATAGAAGCCATGTTTCTCAGAGTAATGGCAAAAACCAAAGGGTAGGGTGGAAGTTCCACAACTGTCTGAAACCCAAGCCTAGGCTTCTGCACACTGCAGGAAATTTTTGACCCTATTACTACTTGCCAATTAGTGAGTGATTTGGCAAAAGCAAAGTGCAAAGAACTCAGAACTGTAACTTCTTTAAGTGCAACTCAGAACTGTAACTTCCTTAACTATAAAAGTGACCTTTTGCCTCAAGTCAGGAGTAAATTGTGACAGGAAGATGCCTGGCTATCAACCTCCAGACAGTTGTTTTCTAGCCTGGACTGACCCAGCTTCACCAGAGCCAGGCCCAGACTGAAATCAATTACAGATACTGTTATGAGAGAGGCACTCAGAGAGTTTCAAGTCCTGAAGAAAAGAAGGCTAAAGATGAGCTGGTACTTAGTGCAAGTGACAGGGCTGAGATGTTTCTTTAAAAGGGGAAAGTGGCAGATATTAAGAAGCCAGGGAGCTTCAAGCATCAAAGAAAAGAGTGGTTAATAAGAGAGCAGAGGTCTTGAGACAAGGAGCAAATGGCATCTGAGAAAAATTGACAGTACTCATTTTAAGAGACAGAAAGATTTCTCAATTGCTAGTGGAGAGGTAGGGATGGGACCAAACAGGCAGAAATGGCACAGCTCAGAGGAGGGGTTGCAGGTGGAAAACACTAGGAGGAAAATTCCACTCGCTCCCGTTTGACAGGCACAGTGTAATGTAAAAATATCCCAGGCTAGAGGACAGCTGCTACCTCTGGTTCAGGGTTAGAGAAAAATGCCTCTATTAAGGATCTTTAGTAGAGTATGCCTTTGCCAAATGTGTGGAGATTCCAGAATTGATATGCATGATCCATGCTGAGATTTTAAAAACAGATCCACGTATGTATTCATTTGTTTAGGTATTAATGTATTCATTTGTTTAGGTATTAATCCATTCATTCATAAACATATGCTGTGACACTGTTATGGAAGACAGACAAATACTGTACATCTCAGTAAGAATAGATACGCTGTTGAGGGAACACATATGAGTTGTAGCCTAGGGGGTGGGTGTCAGAAAATGTTTAGAGGAGGAAATTTGCCTGAACTGAAGGTTAAGAAATGTACAGAAGTGAGAGAAACAACAGCAAATGCCAAGACCCAGACAGGTGAAAAGAACAATTGACTAAGCTACCTACATAAAGTAACATTCTGGTGACTATTTCCGAAAAGCAGTATTTCAGTAGTGGAACTTCAACAGTGTATATAGTCAGATGAACATGAATTTCAACTCTTGTCCTACCACTTACAAGCTTGTTAACTTTGGTCTTATTAGATAAAATAATTGAGTCAATTCTCTTATCTCTAAATAAGAATGTTCACATTTTCCTCACTAGGTTGTACGAGGAAAATGAGATTTTGTATATCTAGACTCTTGGACGCTACTTGTGGATAACCACTGTGATCCTAGCCATCAATGTATGGCTTTGATGATGATAGAAGACGCTTAGGGAGTATTTCCCATAAGCCCACTCTTTGCTTCCAAATGACAAGGGTGGAAATTGACGGCTGCAGCTTTCAGTGCTGCCCTCTGTACAAGGACGTGAGTTGGATTGATTGAAAACAGGAGAATCTGGCTAAGTGAAATGCAGATCACGATTCCAGTGACTATCATAAAGGAGCAAAAGGTGTCCAGAGGAACAGTAGGATTAAGATATTGGGATGAAGGGCTAAAAGAACAAAGGGGATTGTTATGGCAATGTGGTTTTGACTACCGCGTGTTGGAGTAGTTGTCAGATTAAGTAACTTTGTGGTATTTAGAAAAAAACGGGGAGATATTTAACATAGGGTGTGGAAATGAGGACTCAGTATTTTGACTTTGGAAATTTGTTTTTGTTTCCATTGAACCTATCTGGCACAAAGGACCCTAGCATTCAGTTGATGGAAGAAATAAAAGTCCCCTCCGTTTTATATAATTACAACTTAAAAGTATTTCCCAAGTACGAGGACAGGTTGGAGCCACAATTCCACAGAAAGCTTTTACTAAAGGAGCTGTGGCACTTAATACTTGTAGAGGTAGCTCCTGAGAAACAGTGCCTTGTACAGCTTGAGGAACTGTGCCTTGTACAGGATCTTAGGTCCTCACAAAGAATTTATGGCAGTGGCCTCTGAGGAACACCAAGCTAAACCTGTGAGGGCCCTAGAGTCCACTTAGTGTCTGGGGTAGGAGGACAGGCTCTTCAGGGATGGAACAGGTGAGTGGCAGGCTGATTGGGATACAATCCGTGCACTCCAAATTAGGGAGCTTTGAGTGAGAGGGAATCTACTACCAAGGCCCACAGATATCCCTCCCATTAGTGAGGAAAATAGAAATCCTCCTGAAACATAGGTCCTTTTATAATTTACCGGAGGCATTGCCTCCAGGTATTGTTTCCACTTCCCTACTCCCATTCTTTCTCAATATCCTGTAATTGGACTTCTATTCCGTCACTGAAATGTTTGCTGGCAAGGTCACTCATCATTCCAGCTCTCCAAATTCAATGATAGCTTCTCCGTTCTCATAAAGATCTTGCAGCATTCAAACTGAAGACCAATTTCTTCTGGATTTTATTTTATTTTCCCAGCTTGTATGATGCTACCATTTTTTAATTGTATTATAATCTTTTCAAGCTGTTCCATCCAGTCTCCAAGAATTCAGTAGAGGAACAATCCCTTCCCCTTCTCTTATTATATGTACTCTCGCTAGGTCAGTTAATTAAGACCTGTGACACAAATTATATCTCAAGCCTTAAACTTTCCCTTTTCTCCAGTTGACTTGTCACACTGCGTATCTAGGTGTTTCAGAACCTCTCAGTTAACATGTCTAAACCAGAGCTCTCAATTCTCTCCACCTGAAATGTGTTCCTTCTCCAGCCTTGCCAGTGGCACCAGCACGCTTCCCTTTGCTCAAGCCCCAGACTTTTGATGATTGTTCTTTCACTAATATTCCATAGCCATTCTATTTTGAAATATTATTTTCTTCATCTCGACAATATGGCAAAAACCCCATAGTCTCACTCTATCTTAGTTGATATAATAATGTCATTTTCCCTCATTCCAGTGACTTCCTAACAGCACTCAAAATAAAATTACTGTTCTTTGTCATGCTTCCAAACCCATTCCAAACCATACCATTTTCCTCCTTAGTCACTCTAGAAAAGTATTTCCGTCTATTTGCCAACCAAACCTCTAGTGATTTTTCAAGTTTTTATTAAAATGTCCCTCACTGGGACATCGTTCTTGGACACATAAGTTTTGTTAATTTTTATTGCTGACTAATATGATAGAGTTAGAGTATACCACAGTTTGTTTCTTCATCCATTACATACTAGAAGTTTGGGTTGATTCAAATTTTTCACTTTTATGAAAAAAAGTTCATATGCAAATTCAAATACATGTCTTTATGAATATATATCTCTTTAATTCTTTTGGCAAAAACCTAGAAGTAATATTTCTGGGATGTACAGTGATGATATACTTAACTTCTCAAAATGGCTCAACTGTTTTTCAAAGGGATGGTACCATTCCTGCATGATGGTTTCAGTTGCTACTTATTCTTGTCAGCACTTGAAATTGGCAGTCTTTAATTATAGCAATTCCTGTGGGTGTGTATTGGTATGTTATTTTGGTTTTAATTTATGTATAACGATGAATAATATTAAGCATCTATTTTATGTGAATATTTTCATTTATATATTTTCTTTGGTGAAATAAATGTTCAAGTATTTTGCTCCTTCTATCATTTATTTATTTAGTTAGTTTTTACTGCTTGATTTTAAATTGCTAAAGTCCTTCAAATAATCTAGTTATAAGCCTTTGTCAGATAAATATTTTGAAAATATTTTCTCCATGTTTGCTGTTTTCCTTTTAATTTTTTAGTATTGATTTCGATGATTTAAAAAAAAATTTGGTAAAGTTCAATGTGCCTAATTGTTTCTTTTATACTTTATCATATTTGTGTATTTTAGCAAACTATTGCTGAACACAATGTCACAAAGCTTTACTCCTAGATTTTCTTCTAGAAATGCTTTGGTCTTAGCTCTTAGATTTAAACCTTTGAAATATTAGAGTATTAGAACATATCTTAAAATCAAATAATACAAATCCTCACTGTTCTTTTTTAAAGATTGTTTCTGCTATTTTAGATATGTTTTTATTATAGTTAAGTTTGAAACCAGCTTGCAATTTTTTTATTATTTATTTATTTTTTGAGATGAAGTCTCCCTCTGTCGCCCAGGCTGGAGCGCAGTGGTGCAATCTCAGCTCACTGCAACCCCTCCTTCCCGGGTTCAAGAGATTCTCATGCCTCAGCGTCCCTAGGTAGCTGGGATTACAGTTGCCCGCCACCCTGCCCACCTAACTTTTGTATTTTTAGTAGAGATGGGGTTTCACCACGTTGGCCAGGCTGGTTTCGAACTTCTGACCTCAGGTGATCTGCCTGCCTCGGCCTCCCAAAGTGCTGGGATTACAGGCGTGAGCCACTGTGCCCGTCCGCCAGCTTGCTAATTTTTTAAAGAAAGGTTGCTTAAGTTTCCTGGGATTGGGGGAAGATTGCATCAAATCTATAGATACATTTGGAAAGAATACTATATTATCAATATTTAGTCCTGCAATTCAACAAGACGTAACTCTCAATTTATTTTGAACTCTTTAATTTTCCTTTGCAATATTTTGGACTTTTAAGTGAAAAGTCTTGTATATATATTTTTTAATTTGACAAGTAATACTGCATATATTCAAGGTGTACAATTTGTTTTGATATTTATATACATTGGAAAATGATTTTCATTGTCAAACTAATTAGCACATCCATTACATTTGCACATCTATTTTTAAAGTGTTTCTTAAGTGTTTTAAATGCTATTTTAATTTTTCTAAAGTTTATTTTTCCAATTGTTCATTTTAGATATAGAATGTCAATTTAATATTGATTTTTAATATGCAATTAGTAAATATTCTATAGATTCCTTTTGTTGCTATTCATACACAATCATATCTTATGCAAGGAAATATGGTTTCATTTATTTCTTTCGAATGTTTATGCATTATACTTCTTTTTCTTGTTTTATTGCAAGAGTTAGAAGCTCCAATACAATTTTTTCTTTGCTTTTAAGTTCTTAAAAATTTGTTGCATATTTTCTTCTTTTTTTAATTTTTTAATATTTTATTTTTATTATACTTTAAGTTTTAGGGTACATGTGCACAATGTGCAGGTTAGTTACATATGTATACATGTGGCATGCTCGTGTGCTGCACCCATTAACTCGTCATTTAGCATTAGGTATATCTCCTAATGCTATCCCTCCCCCCTCCCCCCACCCCACAACAGTCCCCAGAGTGTGATGTTCCCCTTCCTGTGTCCATGTGTTCTCATCGTTCAATTCCCACCTATGAGTGAGAACATGTGGTGTTTGGTTTTTTGTCCTTGTGATAGTTTACTGAGAATGATGATTTCCAATTTCATCCATGTCCCTACAAAGGATATGAACTCATCATTTTTTATGGCTGCATAGTATTCCATGGTGTATATGTGCCACATTTTCTTAACCCAGTCCATCATTGTTGGACATTTGGGTTGGTTCCAAGTCTTTGCTATTGTGAATAGTGCTGCAATAAACATACGTGTGCATGTGTCTTTATAGCAGCATGATTTATAGTCCTTTGGGTATATACCCAGTAATGGGATGGATGGGTCAAATGGTATTTCTAGTTCTAGATCCCCGAGGAATCACCACACTGACTTCCACAATGGTTTAACTAATTTACAGTCCCACCAACAGTGTAAAAGTGTTCCTATTTCTCCACATCCTCTCCAGCACCTGTTGTTTCCTGACTTTTTAATGATCGTACAATGTTAAATAGAAGCACTGATAGTGGACATCATGGTTCTCCAATCTCAGGGAGAAATCATTCAGCCTTTAAAAAAATAAGTGTATTAATGTAGATGTTTGCCCTTTATCAGGACAAGAAGTATCTATCCTATCCCTAGTTTGTTGATAGTATTTATTTTCTTTTTTTAAGCCTAAATGGGTGATAGATTTTTTTCAAAGATTTTCTACACTTACGGAAATGATCATCCACTTTTGCTTCTTTATTCTCTTAATATCGCAAACTGCATTAATTGGCTTTTAAATGTTTAACTTTCTTTCCCAGAATCCATCTCAATTTGATTTTCTAGCCATGATTTTAATGGTTATCGTAAAGATTACAATGTTATTAATTTTCCACTACCTCCTTAGAATTAGTATTATACTGATTCATTTAGGTTTGTATTTTATAATGGTTAATACTGAGTGTCAACTTGATTGAATTGAAGGATACAAAGTACTGATCCTGGGTGTGTCTGTGAGGGTGTTGCCAGAGGAGATTAACATTTGAGTCAGTGGACTAGGAAAGGCAGACCCACACTTAATCTGGGTGAGCACCATCTAATCAGCTGCCAGCAGGGCTAGAATATAAGCAGGCAGAAAAATATGAAAAGAGAGACTGCCTAGCCTCCCAGCCAACATCTTTCTCCCGTGCTGGTTGCTTCCTGCCCTCGAATATCAGACTCCAGGTTCTTCAGATTTTGGAACTTGGACTGGCTCTCCTTGCTCCTCAGCCTACAGAAGGCCTATTGTGGAACCTTTTGATCATACTAGTTAATACTTAATAAACATGTCTTTTAAATCCTTCAGAATAATGTTGTCATTTTTGCTACAAGCAGTTTGCTTAAGAAGAAATTAATATAAAAACAAAATATAAAGAAAAAATAACTGTTTGCATTTACTGAGATATTTACCATTTTTGATACTCTTTTTTCTTTGTATGGTCTGAGATTCCATCTGATACACTAATCCTTAAAGCTAAAGAATTTTCTTTACAATTTTTTATAATGCATGACCACTTAGTAGAAATTCATTTCATTTTATTTTGTATATCTGTTTTTCTCATTTCTAAAGAATATTTTTACTAGATGTAGAATTCTGAATTAATAGTTTATATTTTCATCTTTTAGCCCTTTTAAAGTGCAGTTACATTCTCTTTTAATTTTCATGATTTCTACCGAGATGCCAGCATATAAATATATTGTCGTTCCTTTCTGTTTCATACATAATTTTTTTCTTGCTGCTTTCAACATTTGCTCTTTATATTTTACTCTCAAAAATTTAACTATGCTGTTACGTTTTTATTTTCTGTGATTAACTAAATTTTTATTTGTATGTTGTATGATTATTTATATTTATTTTTCTTAGTATCCATTAAGCATGTATTATATCTATAAATGACTCTTAAAATGTCTCTCTTAAAATATAGAATTTTTTTTTACTTTTTTTAAAAATAATTTTTAAACCCAATTCTTCCTAACTGCTGCTTTGGAGTTTCACATATATGTATGTAGGGCCATTTGAAATGATATAATAGGCATTTGAGGGTTTGTTCTTTATTTTATTTTATTTTTCAGTCTTTTTTGTCTATTCTTTATTTTGGAAAATTTCTTATTGACAACATCAAGTTTATTTAATCTTTTTTCCATCATCTCCAGTCAAATGAAAAATCCATTATATTATTATTGTTTGAATTTTAGCCACAGTGTTTTCCAATTCTAGAATTTCTGTTTTGTCCCTTTTTCTATTTATATGCTGATATTTTCTAACTTTTATTACATTAAAAACATATTTTGCTTTCCTTTTTTAAAGGTAATTTTAACAGCCATTTTAAAATTCTTGTCTGGTAGTTTTTATGTTTCATTCATCTCAGGGTCAGAGTGACTTGATTTTATTTCCCCTTGAGTTTTTTTAATGTTTTGTGTTTTGATGAATTTTGATTTTATGTTTGACAGTATATAAGTTATATTGTAAATATTTAGAATGATGCTCATTTTTTTTTCTCTGATGAGTATTTTTTTAGCAGGTAATTTTCTTGCTGTATTTAAAATGCAAACCTTACAGCATAGGCAGCAACTCTCATCTTTGATATGTGTTATTTAGCAGAATAAGTCCATTCTGCAAACACATGGTTCAAAGATTAGTCAGAAATGTCAGTAGACAGCATGGAAGAATTTTCACTGGCTCTTTCCTTTTTAAGATTCCCCCATTCATGTTACTAATGGTTCCCCCTGGCCTTAGGTTTCTAATTCTTCTCATCCAAAAGATTGTGCCTTTTCACACTGATGCCTCCTACATTTCTGGGCAGGGCATGTGGCTGGCACTTATCCTCTGGCCTAAATCTGTGCAGCTGGGGAAGTATTTTATTCCCATATCCCTCATCTCACTGGAATCTGACACCTTCTGTTTTCTCCAAGTGACTTCAAGTGGTTACCTTTCATTTAACGTTTGAATTTTATAGGGTTGATATCTATTTGGGAATTACTCTTTAGTCAGCATGCCGTAAGTTTTACTCAAAAATATCTTGTTACTACTGAAAAAGGCATTGTTTTCATTTTAATTTCAATTTTCAACTGTTTGTTGTTATATGTAGTAGCACAACAGATTTTTGTATATTGAGCTTGTATTCTGCAACATTACTAAACTCATTTATTAGATGATACCTTCAGATTTTCTGGAAACATAGCCATGTCATCTGAAAATAAATTCAGTTTCATGCCTTGTTTCCCTAATGTGTACTTTTTTTATTACCTTATTGTGCTGAGTTGAATCTCCAGAAAAATATTGCACAAAACTTGTGGGCATGAACATATTTGTCCTGTTTTCAATCTTAGAAAAAACATTTATTCTTTCACATTTAATGTTGTTATGTCCTCTCAATGAACTCATGCCTTTTCATTATGAAATTTTATCTCAGGTTCTAAAATGCACTTTCTCTGTTATCAACATAGCCAGTCTACTGTTCATTTCAGTAGCGTTTGCAGAGTATAGCTTTTTCCATCCATCTTTACTTTTAACCTATTTGTGTTTAGGTTGATAATTTCCATTGCCCACCCCCCACTCTGGTGCCTTTTAGTACTCTATTTTCTTCTGGCTTTCATCATTTTTGACTTAAATACTGCTCTAACTTGAATCTTGTTCCTTTCTATGTAATTATTCTTTCCATTGCTGGCTGCTTTTACCACCCCCCCCTTTTTTTTAAATCACCGATTTTAGCAATTTGATTTTAATGTGCCTTAGCATGGTTTTCTTTAATTTAATTGTACTCATGTTTTATGGACCTTCTTGGATATGTTGGTTTATGTTTGCCATCAAATTCTGAAAAGTCTCCACTATTACTTCTTTAACTGTTTTTATTGTCTTACCTTATCTTCATCTCTCCATTCATTCTCAGACTACAGTTTCACAATTTAGATTGTTAGGTACTGTCCCAAAGCTCACTGATGTTATGTTCATTTATTTTAGGTCATTTGTCTCTCTATGATTCATTTTTAATAGTACTATTTCTGCCTTCAAGTGTGCTGAATACTTTCTTCTGCAATGTGCAATTTGCTACTAATTTCATCCAGTATATTTTCCATTTTAGATAATGTATTTTTATATCGCAAAGTTCTGTTTTATTGTTAATGTCTTTATTTCCTTTCTTCAATGTGCTTAATTTTTTCCTATAGTCTTAAACATGTGAAGTATCTTCATAATGACTGTTCTTAAAGTTCCTATCTACTAGTTCTATAAACTCTGTTATTCCAGTGACTTTTCTGTTGGTTGTTATTTTGTTCTGGATATGGGGCATATTCTCCTGCTACTTTGCATATCTGATCATTTATTGCATGCCATCTCTTTTAATTGTGTGTATTGTATTTATTTATGGACGTTAAGTATTGTTGTGTTTTTTTAAAAAATAAATTTGTATTTTGTTTGGATGCACAAATAAATTACTTTTAACCAATTGGCTCCTTTTGAAGTCTGCTTTTAAGCTTTCTCTTGGCTGGTCCAGAGTGACCTTTAGTGCTGACCTACTAACATAGGCAGTCTCTGAGGATTCCACTCAATGTTTTGAAGATTTCAAGATCTTTCTACCCCGGCCGATAGAGAGCATTTTCTTCCCTTGGTAAAATATTCCAGCCTTGCTTAAGTTCCAGGAATTTTAAATTTTTCGACCTATTCCTCTGCTGTGGTTTATCTTCTGGCCCTGGATAGTTTATTCTCACATTTGTACATACATATAAATACAAAGGAGGGATCTTCAAAAAGTTCGTGGGAAACACATATTATCATAACAACTATGCATGGATTTTAATATTTTTGCACCATTATAAACTCATACTGACTTGTTAAAACATGTCTGAAGGATCTAGTTTGAGGCATTAAGAAGGATAAGATATAAGTTTGAAAAGAGCCCCTAAAAAACCAACATGAATTCTGCTAACATTGACATGAGAACAAATATCAAATTCGTGGGCAGACGTGGGTGAAAGAGGGTTAAAATTATTGATGCTCTATGAAAAGTTTATGAGGCTGATGCCCCAAATAAATCAGCAGTTTTGTTACATGGATAACTTGTTCTAATAAGGAACAAGACAATTTTAAAGATAAAGCCTGAAATGACAGATCATTCACATCGATTTGCAAAGAAAAAATTAATCTTGTGTGTGCCCCAAATGAAGAGGATTGACAATTAATAGCAGAAACAATGGCCAACACTGTAGACATCTGAATTGGTTCAGCTTACACAGTTCTGACTACAAAATTGAAGTGGAGCACACTTCCCATTCAATGGGTTCCAAAACTATTGCGTCCAGATTAGCTTCAGATGAGAGTAGAGCTTTTAGTGAAAATTTTAGATAAGTGAAATCAAGATCCTGAAGCTTTTTTTTTTAAATTTCCAACTTAATTTTAGGTTCAAGGGGTACATGAGCAGGTTTGTTACAAGGGTAAATTTCATGTTGCAGGGGTTTGGTGTACAGATTATTTTGTCACCCAGGTAATAAGCATGGTACCAGAGAGGTAGTTTTTTTGTCTTCACCCTCCTCCCACCCTCTGCCCTCAAGGCCCATGTCTATTGTTCCCTTCCTTGTGTCCTAACGCATGTCTTCAAAGAATTATAACAGGAGGTGAAATGTGGCTCTACCAGCAGGACCCTGAAAACAATGCACAGGCGAAGCAATGGCTACCAAGTGGCGAAGGTTGTCCAATCAAAGCAAAAGCAGACCAGCCAAGAGCACAGGGCATAGCAACAGTTTTTTGGGATGTCCCAGGCGTTTGGGTGTTGAGCAGCTGGTGGGCCAAATAATGTTAACATCTGATTATTATGAGAGTGTGTTGAGAAAGTTAGCCCCAGCTTTAGCAGAAAAACACCCAGGAATGCTTCACTATATAGTCTTTCTCCACCACGACAGTGCTTTTGCTCATTCCTCTCATCAAACAAAAGCAGTTTTGTGAGAGTTTTGATGAGAAATCATTAGACATCCAGCTTACAATCTTGATTTGGCTCCTTGTGACTTATTTTTGTTTCCTAATCTTAAAAAATTTGTTAAAGGGAAGCGATTTTTCTTTAATTAACAATGTAAAACAGATTGCATTGACTTGGTTTAATTCCCAGAACCCTAAGTTCTTTAGCAACGGACTAAATGGCTGGCATCATCATTTACAAGTGTCTTGAACTTGATGGAGCTTATATTGAGAAATAATATTTATATTTTCAAAATCAATTTTCTATGAAGTTTTTGAAGTCCCTTCATACAGTATCACAAAACTACATGATCTGTACATATACAAAGAATAATATATGGTATATTTTTATTAGCAATATTCTCCATGTTGTATAATCGATCTCAAAAATGTATTCTTCCTGTCTAACTGATACTTGTACCCTTTGACCACATCCCCCCATTCTCTCTCCTCCAACACCCAACCCCTGATAATCATCATTCTACTCTCTACTTACATGAGTTCTACATTTTTAGATTCCTTAATGTCTTACCAGAAAAAAATGATAAGTAGATGAAATTATGGATATATTAATTAGATTAAAATCATTCCACATTGTATACATATGTCAAAACATCACATTATACCCATAAATGTATATAATTATGATTTAATTAAGATATTAATTTTAAAAAGAAAAACAATATATAATCATATGGAAATATTGGCATTACGAATTTTTGATACCTATTTTTTCTCCATCCATCTACAGTGTTGGACAGAGAAGAGGATCACTCTCTCTCTAGCAAGCCAAGTAGTTCCCTGATCTTCTTTCCCCAAGGCTGTCACTGTCAGTAGAATCTAGAGGACTGAGCCATGAGTTGTCCACAAACCTAATAACATCCTTGTTGTCTTCAGCACAACAAGTTTACTTACTATGCAATGTCAACAAAGTTTTATGATAAAATATTTGGACTGAAATAAACACAGTCTCGCCTGACTTTTTCAAACAGTTGTTTTTCTAATATGTTTATCCAAATAGAACTCTGCTTTAAGGAAAAGGGTGAGTACATGGGTGGAAAAACATGTTATTACAGTAATTGGGATTGTTTTCAAGGACTGCCTCATACACAGATACAGTAGAATACTGCCTACCTGCTGATATTTTAGAAGAGATGAATAGTTTCCCTTGCCTGACAAAACACTCTCACCTACTAGTCAATCCATTGAATTATACTTTTTAAGGTCACTTAAACCTTTGAGCCCAGGAAGAGACTATTAACCTGGGAAATGTCTCAACCCTGGCCATTATTAATAAGGATATACTTCCAAAAAATAAATTTTTAAAAAGGAATCAGCAGAGTCTTACATACCTGAAAATTTAAAAACATTGGTTTAATATTTAACCCTCAGTACTCATTCTAATACTCAGTGTTTCTTTAGTGATGAAGCCTGATGATCTTTTCTCCGCTTTGATCTATTACATCTGACACATCTTCAGCCTACTGATTTGGGTCCTGGCATTAATAAAAAAGGCCCTCTCTCCTGTAAGTGGGGCAGAAGTCCAGACATCAAAGGGATCAGTCATCAGAGAAGAGGTCTGAAACACTAAAAAGAAAAATGCCAGGTGCAGTGGCTCACACCTGTAATCACAGCACTTTGAGAGGCTGAGGCAGGTGGATCACTTGAGGTAAGGAGTTCGAGATCAGCCTGGCCAACATGGTGAAACCCTGTCTCTACAAAAAACACGAAAATTAGCCAGGTGTGATGCTGCACACATGTAATCCCAGAAACTTGGGAGGTTGAGGTAATAGAAATGCTTGAACCCGGGAGGTAGAGGTTGCAATCAGTCGAAATAGCACCACTGCACTCCAGCCTGGGTGACAGAGAGAGACTGTCTCAAAATAAATAAATAAATAAATAATTTAATAATAAAAAGAAAATATCATGTATCTTAGAATTTTTCACATGAAATTTTACTGTTTCATGCAATTCAAGTGAGTTAATACCTGGTGATACGGTCTAATACTTATGTTTATTTATGGTATATTTCAGTTGTTTATGAAACAATAGCGCTTTTCAGATTGTAAATTTCAAAGTTAATACAGTTTCAGAGGTTTGTGTTTTACATCATTTTGCAAAGCAATATTCTCCTCTCTTCTAGACTATTATGCCTCAACCGTGGCTGTGTAGTGGAATCACCTGGAGAGGCAACAAGTTCTCCAACTTACACCAATCTTTGAGCACCTCCATTCAATATATGCAAAAGCATCTGGTGTATTGAAATGAGTCAGAAAAAATATAGAAATAAAAACATATATATCAATGACGGTGACATGACAGCAGGCGGGAATTTCCAATCATTCTTAACAGAATGTAAAAAGCTTATATCTGGACAATGCCCCGAGAAAGGCAGTACAAAGAAAGAAATTAACCGATAGCTGAGACCTGATTCTATGAGAAATATGCAGTATCACACAGGGATAAACAGTGCAGGTTCTGAAGCTCTGCGTCCTGGGTTTGAATTTGGTTTCTAGTAGTTAATAACAGTATGTTGAACAAATTATTTAATCTCATGTTTTTATGTTTTTAATCTGTAAAATGGTCATAGTAATAATAGCACAGATATCATACTGTTGCTGTACGATAGGTATTGAAATGACTTGGTAAACATGAACGTTCAAAACACATCAGCCATGTGTGAAATGCAGAGAGTGATATTAACATATTTTATCTTTTTGTTGAAAAGGTGTCATTGTATTATTTGTTACCATTAGAGTCCATAATTTTGGTGATCCAGAGCACCTTTTATATTAAAAATGCATAAATGCATTATTTTTCATATGAGTCAATCCCTCCTCACCATGATATCTGTCATGTATGTATCAAATATAATATGCCTTAATTGAGATGTATTTTTGTTTAAATAGAAATACTACAAAATATGTTTTCAATATCTCACTTATAATTGGATACTAATATTATAATTACTTTGCAGAAATAGATTACAATATAGCTGATAAAATGATGTAAAATTTCCATGAAAAATTTGATGTTGTTCCTTTGTTTTTCTTTTGTATACAAGAGTTGCATCAAGTCTTTGGATCCAGCGTTTACGTATCTAGCATGTAAATGTCTAATTGACTTTATCTGAATTTGTTTGTGGCATTTCAAGATTGGTGGATATTATTCCATTCAAATGTTCTAATTAAATAGTGATAACAGTAAAACTTTATGCTGTATCAGCAAATCCACTCTTAGGTATATACCCAAGAGAAACATATATACCCACGAAGACATAAACAATAATGTTCCTAGCAGCATTACTTATAACAGCCAAAAACTCAACCTAATGATCTATCACCTGATAGATGGACAAATAAAATGTAGTACATCCAAACAATCATATATTATTCAGCGATGAAAATGAATGTAGTACTAATTGATGCTACAACATGGATCAGCCTCCTAAACACTAGGCTAATGAAAGGGACCACTTGCAGAAAAGCACATATTGTATAATTTCATTTATATGAAATGCTCAGAATAGGAAAATTGATAGAAACAGATTATTGGCTGCATGAGATTTGATGTGTGTGATTAGAAGGTGACTACAAATGGTACAGGGTTTCTCCTGGGGGTGATGAAAATGTTATAAACTTTGATTATGGTGATAGTTGCACAACTCTGCGAATATAGTAGAAAAACGGTATTGTACAATTTAAATGAATGAAATTCATTTTAAATGAAGTACATTTTAACAAACCTGTTTGGAAAGTATATTGTTGATAATTAAATGATTTTAAACACTTCTTTTACATCTCAGCTAATGCAATTACCATTCATTTAATTATGTGAAATCAGTAAGTTATTGGATTTTCCCATTTTTGTCATTTTTGTCACCTCATTGTTGATTTTATCTTCTACACTTCTCTTAATCCTGCCTTCTTTTCTCTGCATTTACACCTCCCCACAGGACTAATCCCTCCTTTCTCTGAGTTTCTGGTTCAGAAACCTATTGCTGTGTAAGAAATCACTACAAAACTTACAGATATAAAACAATAACCACTTATTTACTCATGATAGCATATTGGGCCAGTCTCAAAGGGGAAAAATTATTTCTGGTCAATTCCCCAGTGTTACTTAGGGAAGTCTGGCTATAGCTAAAGGATCCAACATGTCGTTACTCCCTTCATTGGCCCCTCAGCTCGGGTGAAGTAAATGCCTCAGAGTGGCTAGACCTCTCTCTCCACGTAGTCAGATTTTCTTTGGTGATTTAGGTAAGGAACAAAAGTGGAAGTCTCCAGGATTCTGCCAGGCTAGGCCTAGAACTTATACTAAGTCTAGTCTGCCTCATTCTATTGGTTATACACTGTAAGACCAGATCAAAGTGGTGGAGGAATAGATTCAACTTTTTAGGAGAAGAGTTAGAGGGATGAGGGGAATTGTTGGCTTCCACCTTTGCAGACAATCAGCCATAGCTCACTTCACAATTGTACTCAATTTAACTAAATTTTCCAAGAGTTATTATGATAACACACTCAAGAGTCTATTTTTAAAAACACACAAATACTCACACACACCTTTCTGTCACATCCTTAAGAGAAAGTTTTATTGAATTTTGTTTCCACAATGCCTAAGAAAGTGACTAACATAGAGCAAGTATTCAATAAAAATCTGTTGACTACAATGCATTAATAAATGCTCTCTAGGTGGCAAACACTAATCTATCTTTGGAAAATGCACTGGTCACACCTCACAGAGATAATATTTAAAAGAAAATACTAAATATATATATAATATATAATATATATTATATATATTATAATATATATTATATATATAATATATATTATATATTATATATATTATATAATATATAATATATATAATATATAATATATATTATATATATAATATATATTATATATAAAATATATATTATATATTATATATAAAATATATTATATATTATATAAAATATATATAATATATAATATATGAAATATATTATATATTATATAAAATATATTATATATAATATATAATATATTAAATATATATTATATATATATTATATATATACTATATATATACACAATGATAAAGGTTGTGATAGAAGAAATGTCAGAAGCCAGCACAGTATCTTACTCCATTTAGTGTTGCTATAACAGAATACCTGAGATGGGGTAGTTTATAAAGAAAACAGGTTTATAAGGTTCACAATTCTGGTGCTGTAAAGTTAAAAACTGTGCATCTCCATCTGGTGAGGACCTCCGGGGCTGCTCCAATTGATGGTGGAAAGTGGAAAAAGAGGCAGCACTGTGTGCGGAAATTACACTTGAGGGGGTGGGGTGTCAAACTAATAGAGTGAGAACTCCCCCTGATGGAGGGCTTTCACCTATTTATGAGGGATTTGCCCCAAGGACCCAAACACCTCCCACCAGCCTCCACTTTCCACTGCTACACTAGAGACTGAATTTCAACTTAAGGTTTGAAGAGGACAAACAACCAAACCACAGCACATATAACAGAAAGTAAGAGTATAAATCAGGCTAGTCTAGGAAGTGTTCGGTAAGATTTCCCAGAGGAGTTGATAACAAAGCACAAACTAAAAAGCTGAGTAGAATAAGCATTATATTGTATGCTTGTTCACGTTGGCTGAATGTGTGACCTCTAATCGACATGTTATAATCTGATCTGTATCAAACTTAGTTTATTGTCTTCAGTCTGGTCTAGCCTGACATAGCTTTATCCTCAACTTTAGAATTCATTTCCAGCTACTT
Organism: Homo sapiens; assembly: GCF_000001405.40. Lineage (NCBI taxonomy): Eukaryota > Metazoa > Chordata > Mammalia > Primates > Hominidae > Homo > Homo sapiens. The sequence goes on from NC_000002.12 coordinate 14,055,852, forward strand.
TGGAAAAATACCCTGACAGAAAACCTAGCTTATGGCTATTGTCACCTAACTTGGGTTGAGTGATCAGAATTTTGGTCACTAAAAATGCAGAAAATATTAGAGCCCAGGAAAAAGAAAGTTGAGAAAAAGAGATTTATAAATCATCCTGAAATTATGTATCTGAAAAATTGCATATTTTTGTATTCAACTAGTATATGTAAGAAACAAAAAGAAATAATTATTGTATTTTTGCAAAAAACCCTAGGAATTATTTGTGATAAATTTCCTAGAGACAAGGTGAATAAAATCCATTTTCTATCCTATGAAGATGTTATTTTAATACATCTAAAATGTCAGACCTAATTCATATTTCATTTGTGTCAGAAGTGTCTAGCAGTCTCCTTAAAATGTAATAGGAGTATCAGTTATTTGATCACGTTTTCAAAGGAGTATGTGCATGTGTATATGTGTGTGTATATGTCTGTACTTAACACTCACTTGTGCACCTCGTGTGGGAAACTGATACTTCAAATGGTACTACAAGGCTACAGTAACCAAAACAGCATGGTACTGGTACAAAAACAGGCACATGGACCAATGGAACAAAGTAGAGAGCTCAGAAATAAAACTGCACATCTACAACCATCTGATCTTTGACAACCTGACAAAAACAAGCAATGGGGAAAGGATTCCCTGTTTAACAAATTGTGCTGAGAGAACTGGCTAACAATATGCAGAAAGTTGAAACTAGAACGCTTCCTTACAACTTATACAGAAATTAACTCAAGATGATTAAAGACTTAAATTTAAAACCCAAAACTATAAAAACCCTAGAAGAAAATCTAGGCAATACCATTCAGGACATAGTCATGGGCAAAGATATTGTGATGAAATCGCCTAAAGCAAATGCAACAAAAGCAAATATTGAAAAATAGGATCTAATTAAGCTAAACAGCTTCTGCACAGCAAAAGAAACTATCATCAAAGCAAACAGACAACCTACAGAATGGGAGAATTTTTTTGCAATCTGTCTATCTGACAAAGATCTAATATCCAGAATCTATAAGAAACAAGCAAATTTACAAGAAAAAAAACAAACAACCTAATTAAAAAGTGAGCAAAGGACATGAACAGACACTTCTCGAAAGAAGACATTTATGCAACCAACAAACGTATGAAAAAAAAGCTCAACATCACTTGTCGTTAGAGAAATGAGAGGTTGTGGAAAAACAGAAATACTTTTATACTGTTGGTGGGAATGCAAATTAGTTCAACCATTGTGGAAGACGGCATGGTGATTCCTCAAAGATTTAGAACTGGAAATACCATTTGACCCAGTAATAGCATTACTGGGTATATACCCAAAGGAATATAAATCATTCTATTATAAAGACACATGCATGTGTATGTTCATTGAAGCACTATTCACAATAGCAAAGGCATGGAATCAACCCAAATACCCATCAATGATAGACTAGATAAAGAAAATGTGGTACATATACACCATGGAATACTATGCAGCAACAGAAAGGAATTAGATCACGTCCTTTGCAGGGTCATGGATGGAGCTGGAAGCCATTACCCTCACCAACCTAATGTAGAAACAGAAAACCAAATACCACATGACCTCACTTATAAGTGAGAAACAATGAGAACACATGGACACAGGGAAGGGAACAACACACATTGGGGCCTGTCAGGGGAGGACGGGGTTGGAGAGAGCATTAGGGAAAAGAGCTAATGCATACCGGGTTTAATACCTAGGTGATGGGTTGATAGGTGCAGCAAACTCCCAGGGCACATATTTACCTTTGTAACATACCTGCATATCCTTCACATGTACCCTGGAATTGAAAAAAGAAAAGAAAGAAACAAATGCAGGCCAGAAAACACTAGTATGACATATTCAAAGTGCTGGAAAAAATAAAAAATAAAAACTGTCAGAATTGTCAGCCAAGTATTCTCATATCCAGCAAAACTAACTTCCCAAAAGAAGACCAAATAAAAATTTTAATTCACAAATGAAAATGAGATAATCCATTGCTAGTGGACCACTCTTAAAAGAAATACTGAAGAATCTCTTTAAGGAGAAAGCTTATGACCTCAAACAGTAATTACGGCAAGTCAACACACATGAAAAAACACAAAACACTGATAATGTTAATGATGTAATTAGAAATGACAGTCTAAATGCATATTTCCTCTCCCTTTTTAACTGATTTAAAAAGTAACGATGTAAAATAATATGTGCACAATTTATTGTTGTGACTATAACATATAGAAATGTAATAAATTTGACAGCAACAGCACAGGGAAGTGAATGGAAGTAGAGCTACAGTGAAGACGAAAAATGTCATTGGAAAAATAAAAGGAAACGCAGTGGAGCAAGGAAGTGATGGTAACTCAAACTAACAGAAATAAATGAAGAACCAGAAATGTGAATATAATTAATATAACAAATTTTATAAATAGGAAATATATCTTTGATTTTCTCTCAACTTCTTTAAAAGATATAAAACTATATATTTATTATAAGGTATTAGATTTAATATGTATAAAGTATATTTTTAAATTTAATATGTATAAAGTATATTTTTAAATTATAGCAAAAAAATAGGGAGGAAGGAACCACAACTATACAGAAATAGGTGTTTACATTTCACTGGAAATAAATCTGTACATTTAAAGGGCATTCTGGATAAGTTAATTTATATAGGGTAAGCCCTAAAACAACTATAAAAAAAAAACCCAGCAATTGTGTGAAAAAATAAAAAAAAATATGTTACATTAGAAAATATTTACTTATTGTGGAAGAAATCAGGGAAGGAGGCATAGAGGAGCAAAAGGACATGAGACACAAAGAAAACAAAAGTGTGTGTATACATATATATATATATATATGTATACACACACACATACACACATATACACACACACACCCAACAATATGGAAAATAGCATAGAATGCGACTTGATTTAACAATGAAAAACAGAGATTTTCACACTGAAGTAATAAACAAAAGCCAACTCCATGCAGTTCACAGTAGAAAAACCGTCTCAAAAGCAATTTTAATAAACATAAATAAGTTGAAAGACATCCATGATCATCAATTAGAGGACTTAATTTATTAAGATGGCAATACTCCTAAAATAGATCTATGGGCTTAATGAAATCTCTGTCAAAATCCTAAATCAAGTACTGCAGAAATTAACACACTGATCTTAAAATTCATATGGAAACTCAGGGACTCAGAGTAAACAAAACTATCTTTAAAGAGAACAGTTGGAGGACTCATATTGCCCCATTCTAAAAACTTGCTACAAATACACAGTGATAAATACAACGTGGTAGTTACATAATTATATTTATATAGATCAATGGGATAGAGTTGATAGTACAGAAATGGTCCCATACATCAGTGGCCAACTGACTTCAACAAATGTGCCAAGAAAATTCGATAGGGAAACAAAACCCTTCTCAAAAAATTGTTCTGTGGCAGCTTGATATCTACATGCAAAGAGTGAAGTGGAATGCCTACCTTACATCATGTAAAAAATTAGCTCAAATAGTCAAATACCTCGTTAGAGCTAAAGCTATACAATTCTTAGTAATAAATATTTATGACTTGGAATAGGCTGGTATATGTATAAATATATATTTATTACTATAGTTTTTATACTGTATACTATATATACTATATATCTGAATACTGTATGTATTTATATATGGTTTATATATAAAAACAAGCCCCATATATGGCTTATATAAGTCCAATTGATCTATATCTATATATCTATATATCTATAAAGCCATACATGTGGCTAATATTTTTGGTCATATACACACATATATATGAGAAAAGATTAATTGGACTTCATCAACATTTAAAGATTTTCTGCCTCAAAGGACACAATCAAGACAATGAAAAAGGAAGTCACTGAAAGGAAGAAATTGTTTTCAAATCCTATGTTTCATAAAAGACTTGTCTAGGATATTAAAAACATCTCTTATGACTCAATAATAGAGGTCAGATAACACAATTAAAAAATAGGCAAAAGATCTGAATAGGCATTTCTCCCAACAAGATATGCAAATGACCAATAAGCAAATGAAAAGATAATCGTTATCCATTGCAGAATATAAGTCAAAACTACAATGAGATTCTACTTTATACCTATAGGACGGTTATGATAAAAATTATAGACAATAACATGAATTTGCAATAGTTCCGAGAAATTAGAGCCCTCATACATTTCTGGTGTAAATGTAAAATTGTGCAGCTACATTGAGAAAACGTCTGAAAATCTCTCAAAAGTTTAAGCAAATAGTTACCATATGATCCAGCAATTCCACTCCTAAATTTATATTCAAGATAAAACACTTGCACACACAAAAACTTGTACATGAATATTCAGAGTGACATTACCACATTAAAACATTTGAAAAAGAGTCAGACATGGTGGCTCATGCCTGTAATCCCAGCACTTACAGTGGCCGAGGTGGGCAGATTGCTCGAGCTCAGGATTTCAAAACCAACCTGGGCAACATGGCAAAACCCCATCTCTACTAAAGATAGAAAAATTAGCAGGGCGTGGTGGCTCGTGCCTATGTCCCCAGCTCCTTGGTGGGGGCTGAGGCAGGAGGATCACTTGCACTGGGAGGTGGAGGCTGCAGTGAGCCTTGATCCAGCCACTGCATTCCAGCCTGGGTGACTAGGCAAGACCTTGTCTCACTAAATAAATAAATACATACATACATAAATACATAAATAAATAAATGAAACAACCCAAATATTCATCAACTGAAGAACAGAAGTGAAGTGTGTTATATCAGCAAAGTGGAATATTATTCTGAAATGAATAAGATACTGATACGTGTGACAGTATGCGTGAACCTTGAAAATATGCTATGTGCAACATAACCATCACAAAGAACCATATATGATATTGTTCCATTCACATGAAATGTCCAGTGTAGCCACATCTATTGACACAGAAAATATATTAACTGTTATCCACAGCTTGGGTGGTAGGGAGGGAAGTATTGAGAGGTAGAGGGTGACTTCTAAAGTGTACAGAGCTCCTTTTTGGGGAAGTAAAAATGAACTAAAATTTATTGTGGTGGTGGTTGCATAACTGTGAATATAATATCATTGAATTGTGTAATAGGTGAGTTGTGTTGTTATATATATATATATATATCCAGCAATTCCACTCCTAAATTTATATTCAAGATAAAATATTTTCACACGCAAAAACTTGTATATGAATATTCAGAGTTACATTATTTATCACAATAAAACATTTGAAACAGAGCCAGGCATGGTGGCTCATGCCTGTAATCCCAGCATATCTCATATGTACGAGATATTTCCATCTCAATACAGCTCTTATAAAAATATTTCATGAACATTCATGTAAAGGTTGTTGTGTGGGTATTTGTTTTCATTTCTCCTATATAAATATCTGAGTTAGATATTTGGGTTGTATAGATAGTGTTGTTTAACTTTATAAGAACCTAGGCTGCTTCTCCATGTAATTTTACCATTTGTGTTTCACACAGCAATGTGTAAAGTTTCCATTTACAATCTTAGCCACACTTTAATCCATTTTAGTTTTTTTTTTTGGTTTGTTTTTTCAGGGTTTTTTTTTCAATGATGGAAATCTGCTCCAAAAATGAGTAAGATGTTCGTCAGTTTCTCATGTATTTACTTGAGTTAGCAGTTATATTGATTCAGCAATCATTTTTAAACCATCTATTGTATTCTAGGAACTTTGCTAGCTTTTTGAGATATAAAAATAAATAACATGTAGTTCCTGTTTCCAAGGAACATATCGTTTTCTAAAAGAATAGACAACAAAGCAAATGGGACAAAATAAATTATGTTCAACAATTGCTGTGCAAAGAATAAACAAATAGCTCAGAAGAAAGAAGATTAATTTCTAATCACATTGAATGGGAAAATTTTATGAGACTCTTGTGTTGGAAAATAACTAGATAGAAATAAGTATACAAAAGGCAAAAAGCATGAAGAAAGTAACACAAATAATAATCTTTAAAAATCAGTGTGGCTGGTATATTCACAGGAAAAGATAAATTATTACCTAATGGAAGCATATTTATGCAGAGAAGCCTCATCAGATTCACTGTATATCACGATTCCTGAATATTCATGCTATCCTTTTGAGATAAAGGACCACTAATTGCTCTGCTCTGGTTTGCTAGGTTTCCTATCTGGGGGAAGGAAACTTAACGATAGAAGACATGTCATTAGGTTAGCTTCTAGCCGTGGATCCAGGTGGACAAAGGATCAACGTGTCCTTTTCTTAGCAGTGAAATAGGTTGGTAGAAGCTCACTGAAACCTCAGTCTCTCGTAGGAAGTCAGAACTACACAGCGGACACCGTAATCTAAAGTAGTGCATTCTGAAACATTTTCCCATTTGCAAATGCTAAAAATGTACATGTGTTTTCTAGTTTATTCCATTCCCTATGAAATTGATTAATAAATCCAATAAATCCCCTTATATGCAAAGAATCTGTGAAGTAGTTGGGTATACTGGTTCCCAATTAATGGTGACATTGAGTCACGGGGAAACCCCAAAAGTTACAGTGGTGTGTATAAAGATAAAAGTATTATAAGTTCTGGGGAGTTGACTAAAGGGTTTAAATAAGAAGAAAGTTTTTAAAAAGAGAGTAAAGAGTTTAGTAATAAAATTTAATCTTAAGGCATAAGAATCCAAAAGTTTATGTTTCCATTAGCTTAAAGAAAAAGGATGACAATCCAGTTAAAGGATTCAAGTAGTGTTTTACACACTGTTGCTGTAGAAGTCTAGATGAAGAAGCAGAGTTTATCTCTTCCTGAAAGTAGACAGTGAACCTCATTCTGATGCCACATCACTTTCAGTGTCCTTTAGGTGGGGTTTATGCTACATGCTACCATAATGTTTTAAAAAATATCAGTATGTTTAAACATGTATTACAGAAAAAGAAACCTAATATATATCCATGTAGGAAAAATAGATATTTTAATTATAATCTCTCCTTGGAGTCTGCCTGTTTACCTGAAACTTTGATGAAATGCTGAAGGGAATATTTATTCAGCTAGCTCTAATTTAAACATTGGTGAACTTTATCATTTTTAATTGGATCTGTTAATAACATTCATTTTAAACTTGGAGAAAATTAGAGCTGAATACATAAGTCTTATACACATGGAATCCTCAGTTTTCTGGATGTGAAGTGAATACTATTAATAGGAGGAAGTGGTTTAAAATACAAGAAAATCTATACCTTTTCCCTTAAATGTTTGGATGTGAATGAAAGATTTCCTTTAAGTATTTGTATGTGCTAGTTGTTCATGTGAAAATGAGCAGAATATTTCAAATTGGCTTTCCAAATTAAAATGGAGGAAAAAGAACATTGACATATATAAGAAAAGATGGTCTATGCCTAATTGAAGAATATAACCAAAATTTTCTTCCCTGCACCTTTTCAGTCTTCATATTCTTATTCTGAGAGATATTAAGTGACTTTAGACCCTCATGCCCAAATGATTTTCTCTTACAGTCAACTTCTCCCCCAAATTGTCTTGGTTTTACATTATTCCCTAAGATCCATATTACTTATAGCTTTATAGTTATATTGATTTACAATCATTCAAAAACCAAAGCCACAGTAAAACCTGATCTAATTTTGGCTTTATAGATTTGCCTATTCTGGACATTTCATATAAATAGTATCATACAATACATAGTCTTTTGTGTCTGGATTTTTTCATTTACCATAACATGTTCAAGTTTAATCTATATTGTACTGTGTATCACTTTATATCTTTTCACTGGCAAATTATGTTCTATCAGATAGATATATCATGCATTATTTATCCATTCATCATCTGATGGACATTTGTGTTGGTCATACTTTTTTGGCTATAAAGTAAAAATCAAACTAACTGCAGATATAATACTTACGCAATGTGGAACATTGCTATTAACCTTTTAAGAATGTGGACAGCAGGATTTCAGGGTTTCTGTTAACTCTAGAGTGATACAGTTCTATATTTTTTCTAAATAAAGAAAATCTTAAAGTAATGCAATTATTTATTAAAATATTTTACTTAAGTCAGACGGCATGTGTGTTGCAAGTTTCAGTAAGAATAGCAAACGGGTCTTCTGGAAGCCCCATCAAAATACTATGTAAGTAATAAAATAAGTATTCAGTATATTAGTGATTTTTTTTAACTAAAATAGGCCAAACTGATCATGCATATTATAGAATGTGTCACAAAGCCATTGAGAGCTAAAATACTGCCCTAATAATGTCTAAATAATTTTACTAATTTGGACTTCGAATTTTAGATCTTTAACTTTCTTTAGAAAAGATACACTTTTACTCTAAATAGTAGAAGGTGAATAACCTAAATTTACATATCTAGTTTGCATCTACAAAGGGTATCTGTTGTTTTTTTCCTGCCCATCATTTATTAATCCTTTTAATCAGAGCACTCTGATTTTTCTTTGAGGAACCACAAATTTCTCTCTATGTATTTCTGCTTGAGATAATGTCAGCTGCTGAACCCAGGTATGGCTAATTAGATTCATAGTGAATACATCAAAAACATTCAAATGGTCAAATTATTATACCAATGCCATGCTCAGAAACTTGTTGCACTTTTTAAGGAAATGGATACTAGATTGGTGCAAAAGTAATTGCGGTTTTGCCATTACTTTCCCACCAACCTAATACATGTTTACATAATGTTTTCTAAGCTGCTAAGATTTTATAAGACTAACAATGTTAGTGGTCATTTCTGTCACAACATAGGCAGAGCCTGCCTGAGAACGAAGCCAAACCAGAAAAAGTTGGCCCAAGTAAATCCTGTGGCATTACTTGAGCACCTCAATAAACTTTGCAGGGAGCCAGTCTATCATTAGACTGTAAATATCAAATGTGAGAACTATTAATTTCTTCCATGTTGTCTAAGGAACTTTCTCTTTGTTTTCTTTCACTTACATTAAGAGGAGTCTCTAGTTCCTGACAATGTCAAATCTAGAGTAAAACTCATATGTTTTGATTCTCAGATTCTGGGCTCCATGGTTTTCTTCTACATCATAATACTTAGACTACTTGACTTGCCTTTGTGATTGCCAGAATGAGACCCAATTCACACAGCACTTAATAGACCATATGTATTGAAACAATATATTTCATCAACAAAAACAAGCCCTTGATGTATTGTGATATCAAACATGTTATGATTCACAATAGCCAAAGTTTTCTGTTACCAGATTCAGAAAAATATTCTAGTATTTGATTTTACATTGGGTGAGAGTCAAGGTCTCTTCAATTTCCCATCAGAGGATATACGAAATATCAGAAAACTTTGAAAATAGTATTATTAATTGTCAGACTTTGATTCATTAGTGGGTAACAAATTCAATTTCGAAGGTCATGACAACTGCTTGTTTTCTTAAGAAAATTTTCCTAGTGATATAGAAGCAATTAGAAGGGTAGATAAAATATTCCATTATTTTAGTTACATATGTGTACGGATACTGAATCAGGAGCTATTTTTAAAAATTTTTAAATTATTCTTCTAAAAAATTTATTGAATTACGTACTATTCCATTTTGTTTATATGATATTTTAAAAATGCTAAATCTATAAGAATAAGAAAGCTATAGGGATGTTTTGTGTATGCATATGAATAGGTATGAGTGTACATATGCCTGTATGTAGCTGTGTGTATTTGTGTGGTTGTGTATGTGCAGAAGACGAAAAGCCAACAAAAATATAAAAGCATAGGAGAGTTTTTGGTGTGATGGAATTTTTCTGGACCATGATGATGGTGGTGGTTTTATAAATCTCTACATGTGTTAGAATTCATAGAACTGTACACTGAAAGTCAATTTTACTGTATAATTTGAAAGATTAGTAGAAAAGACTTGACTTATTTTGACAATAATTCAGACCTTTCCCTTACTTAGGAAAGATGTCAAATGTCCATAAAAATGACAGAAAGAGGAAATAGAAAATGTTTTCATGTTAGTTCCATTTGTTAGAGTACTTAGGCCTAAATACTTCTTTCAGCTCAGTTCTCATGTATTCTGTAGTTGTGAAAATAAATTTAATTTTCCTGATTTATCAGGAAAAAAGGCTTTCATGTTAAGCAGAGGTTAGATAGTTGGTGAAAACACATTTCATATGTTTTATTTTTGATGAAATAACTTGAAAATGGGATTTTATTCTTAAATGGTCATGGTAATTTTTCCCCTCCCAAAAAAATCCTACTCTAAGGAACGAGTATGATATACCAGGGCATTTGTGTAAGTCATCATTTAAAATTTAATGTAACTTAGTATCTAAATATCGAGGCTCTGAAAACATTTAATTAGGTCCAAATTATATTCTGACTATAAAATTGGGCAAGTCTATTTATCTCATTAGGTTGCTTAAATGTGATAATATATAAAGTGGCTTGAAACAACATCTGATATGAAGAATTCAATCTGCATTTCACAGATGAAGAAAATTAAACTCAATTATAAGTACGAAGCAGATGGCCTAAATTCACCCAACTAGTAAGTGACACAACTGGAGTGAAAAATAGCACTGGGTGACTTTGAAGCCAGTGGCCAGGCAGTTGTAACTTCAGCTTTACTCCCCTGACTTCTCAGATCTATCCTGAAACCATATAAAAGAAACTGCAAATGATTCCTTTATGTTTCTGAGCTGGCTTCTGAAGAGTAAGACACAACCAGCACCCCCATTACAGAATGTCCTGTGTCTCCTGGAAAACAATCAGCAGTAGCTATCTCATTATGTTTCAAGGCTCTTATATTTTAATTAATACATAGCTTAGTTACTTCCACTTTTGATCATTGTTCATCCTAGCAAGATCTCCAGCCTCTGACTGCAGTCAAGGAGCTCTGGTGAAGAATCCATGTCAACAAGGAAACACAATCTGAAAAAAGAAAAAAAATACTGTCCGGGAGCGGTGGCTCACGCTTGTAATCCCAGCACTTAGGGAGGACAAGGTGGGTGGGTCACAAGGTCAGGAGTTCGAGACCATCCTGGCTAACACAGTGAAACCCCATCTCCACTAAAAGTACAAAAATTGGCCGAGCATAGTGGTGGGTGCCTGTAGTCCCAGCTACTTGGGAGGCTGAGGCGGGAGAATCGCTTGAACCCAGGAGGTGGAAGTTGCAGTGAGCTCAGATTGCACCACTGCACTCCAGCCTGGGCAACAGGGCGAGGCTACGTCTCAAAAAATAAATAAATAAATAAATAAATAAATAAATAAATACGAAGACGTTTGCATTAGAGGTGGACCTCTCACTCTCTTCACCTTCATTTCACAAGTGGGATTAAGCATCAAGACTGACTTCTCCTCTTTTCCTCGTTCTCTTCTTCCTCCTCCTTTTCCTCTCCCTCTTCTTCACTATTTAATTACATAGTGAATATACAGACAATCCTAGACAATTCCTGATGTTACAATTTGTTTTATTAGAAGCAGTTATCTAAAGGAAGAAATTTTTATTAAAAAGACAAATAAGAAATTGTATAGGCCTCTTCCTCAAGCAATGATACCAGGAATCAAGATGCAATCTGCTTTAAGTAAACTTCAGAATGAAATAAGAACCAATGTGTTTCATTTCAAAATATAATAATTTGTTAAGTACATGTATACTCATCAGTGTAAAATGCATCATAACCGCATCTGTTCTTTGTATAGAACCTGTCCTCAGTACCTGATGATTCTTATGATCCCAAAGTAAGGAGAAGACAAATACAAGTCTAATCTGTATAGATTATGTATACTTTGTTATACCTAAGTACTATGTATAAAAAGTATGGAAATCATTTTGGCACTATGTTAATCAATACCAATGCAACCAATCTTTTCAAACAAAAAAATGAAGAATACTCCATAAAACATAAACAAAGCATTAATAAGTAAATTGCTAAATAAAAAGTAGACATAATAAATGAAGACATAAAAAACACATAGAAGTAATTCAAAATAAATCTATAAAGTATCTCCATCTTTTATATTAGATTTCAGTTCCAACATGAGCAATTTTTAGTTTATTATAATTTTCTCTATTTTATAATTTTTAAAAAGTCATTCTATATTAATGCATTTTTCAAAGTTATTTTGTAAAATATGTTTTAAAATATACAAGAGATTTGGAAATTATAGAATACATTTCATATTTCCTTTATTAAAAATTCTGTTTCTATTTATCAATCAACAAAAATAAGAATTCTATAGATTAAAGTAGTACAAAACTCCTGCATTTTGAGTTTTAAACAGTTAGATATTTATAGCGGATTCTAAAATATTTTTTCCGTTTATTTGATTAATCAGCATAAGCAAAAACTGAGATTTTATTACTAACTAATAAAGACTTATAAATGTCAAGGAAAAAATCTCACTTGTACATAATTTCTCAGAAAGAAGAGAAGAAAATTTGTATATTTTTATTCTGTCTCAAATAGGAACATTCAAATAGTCCATTACACATCCAGCATTATTTTAATGAACTTTAATGAGTCATTGATGCAGTCCAACAGTGCACAATAAATGCCAAAAATATTTGTGCCTGCTAAATTCACATATCTATTTTTTTAGTTTCTGAAATGATACTTCTATTTTTAATATGCACAGTTCCACATTTAAATGGGATACAATGAACTAAAATATGAAGCTTTTAAAATGAAATTAAAGGATATGTAAAAATCAGATGTGCTAAATTTAAATGGAAGTATTATTTTCATCCTAAAATTCTCATTTAATCAGGTTTAATTTGCTACAAAGTACATAGTCATTAAACTATATTAAGATGAGTCATAAGACTCTCAAGACTAATGGAAATTTTACAGATAATGTTGCAAACGAAAAAAACAACTTGGAAAACAGGAGAAAGAGAGCAGTATTACAATATTAAAATGATTCCTTAAATTTATCACAACCCCCACAAAAAATTATTCTTATATAAAGTTCAGATGATGTTTAAGATTATTTTTTAATTGAAATGTTTTTAAAATTAAATGTTGGAGAAAATCTTGCCTCATATAACTAAAAAATTTACACTCAATACAAAACTTTAATCTTGAAGAAAGTTTCCTAAAATTTTTTTTATTAATTTATATTTATTCCACCTCTCCTACAGTAAGTTTAAATTAAATTTAATATAATGCTAGTTTTTCCTTTAAAAAGAAGGGAAAACAGTAAAAATTAAAGTATGAAAATCTCCAAGTCCCCACTGAAATGAGTTAGAAATTCTGACATAAGGAGATCGGATTAATTTATTTAATTGAAGGTGTTGTATCCAGATGATACATTTCAGATATCAAATGTACTCGTTAGGTGTATTCATGAACATGCAGACCAGGGTGAGGTGCAGATGCCATTAATACCCATTAAGATGTTTTGTCTTTAAACCAAATGGAGGTTCAACAGAAAGGAGTAATACTTCAAGATTTTAACAGGGACAAATGGAGACTCACTGGAAGTTGTATCTCTGCCATAGAGAATGATCTTCAGTTTCTTCCGCTCCTTAAGAGTCTTGACTACAAATTTTCAAAAAATTCACTTCCTGAGCATTTATTCAACAGCATCATACTAGGAAATGCTGTGGATGTGGGTGGTGGACAAGTATTGCTGCATGCGGTTTTTTCCCCTCATGCTCACAGTATACCAGGAATAACAGGGAGTTATAATAAATAACTACTGTAGAGGAGAAAGCACCTCTATCTTGGATGCCTATCTGCCATGTTGACTTCTGATTAACCTCAGCTTCGGGAATGGCTTTAAGATTTCTACTTTCCTGTACTTACCATAAATCCCGTCTGTAGGTAAATCCTTGCCTTTCCCTGAAGAGTCGACTGTCCCACACATTCCTTCCCTGTGGAAGGAATAAGCTTTGGGTCTGGAGGATAACAGTGCTAGGATCCACCACCTCCTCTCGAGGCTGCCAGGACATAGCTTCTGTTCCTAAATCTCTATTAAATGTTTCTTTCTGAGAAACGGGATTTGTCAGCCTCTTTCTTAGGCCTCTCAACTCTCTCAGCCTTTGAGGGTAGTGTTGTGTATGTCTGCTCACCGTGGAAAAACTACATATAACGGAAACTGACTTGAAAGTATAAGGGCATACACATGATAGTCTAAGAACAAAGAAAATTAAAGACTGTATTCTGCTATTGAGAAATGGGAAGACAGATGCCCTGTAATTCTATGTGGCTGGAAGAGGAGTTCCCAGACTTACTTAGCAACAGCATTGTTTTACCTCATTGTCTCTGTTAATACCTGACAAAAGAAGAGTTCTTAGGTATGTTTTAGGAACTAGTACATAGGAATTGTTGTTCCCCAAACTGGTTGACCATTAGAAATGCCAAGGTATTTTTCAGACTCTTTCTGGAGATCCTAATTCAGTGATTCAGTATGTTTTTGGTAGGAACGCCTGTAATCCCAGCTACCCGGGAGGATGAGACAGGAGGATTGCTTGAATCCAGAAGGCAGAGGTTGCAGTGAGCTGAGATCGCATCACTGCACTCTAGCCTGGGTGACAAGAGTGAAACTCCATCTCAAAAATAATATTAACAACAATAATAATAATGAAAAGAAAATAAATAATATGAGAAGAGAAGGGATTAAAGAAACGATCCTGAGCACTGGATTCTAATCATTAGTCATAGTCATATTTTGAGCTAGTAATCTCAGTTGAAAATTGTATGGGAAAGAGTGACATGTAATCAGATTCTGCAGCTGGTTGGGCTCAAATCAACGAAGAGTCTTAGTTATCATAAAGCATGAAACGTATTCAGTAAATTTTTTTTTCAAAAACATGGTTTAATCAAGGCATGGTGTGATTATATTTGTTCTCTGGAATGACTGTTATGGTAATAACAAGATAGGAAGGGAGATGTATTGTAATAATCTTTGTATACTATGAACCACTTTTGGACCAGAATTGAGTCTGAAGGAGCTGAAAAAAAAACAGCAGATTTCAGAAGCAATTCTGAAAAGGAATCACTAATATGGACAATTTGGATTTCAGGGATCACACAAGAGATTTCAAGTCTTTAGCAGGAGCAAAAGAATTAATGGTAATGACATTGAGGAAAATGAAAGATGAAAATTTCAGTTTTGTGCATAATAATAGTTATTAACATTTATGGAGGGGTTTATTGTATACTTATTACCTTTCTAAGCTCTTAACATGTATTAAACGACCTATATCTGTCCTATGATGTAAGTACTATGTATAATACTATGTACTATATTTCTAGGATATCAGTAAAGAAATTGAGCACTTAGGGGTTTACTAATTCACCCAATATCAAGAGTTAGTAAGCGGCAGAACAGGAATTGAAACACAGTATAACTTTAGAACCTGTGCTACATATTATACTGATTCAGGGGTTGTTGACTTTCAGTAGACAATTTCCAACAGACAAATGTACATACTGGTTTTTTACTTCAGTTGGATATATGGATGTTAGTAAGATTTTATAAACTAAAGACACTTCTCATGTCCATAATGGCAAATCTGTTTTTTTTTTTTTTTTTTTTTTTTGAGACGGAGTCTCGCTCTGTCGCCCAGGCTGGAGTGCAGTGGCGCGATGTCAGCTCACTGCAAGATCCGCCTCCCACGTTCACGCCATTCTCCTGCCTCAGCGTCCCGAGTAGCTGGGACTACAGGCGTGCACCACCATGCCCGGCTAATTTTTTGTAATTTTAGTAGAGACGGGGTTTCACCATGTTATCCAGGATGGTCTTGATCTCCTGACCTGGTGATCTGCCTACCTCAGCCTCCCAAAGTGCTGGGATTACAGGCGTGAGCCACCGCGCCCAGCCCTTATAATGGCAAATCTTAATCTCCAGTGCTAGGATCAAGGCAGCATTAAGTCTTGGAGATATAATAATACTTAATTTGCTTACAATGATATTCAAATAAGGAAATGGTGATACTTTCACTGATAACTGAAGACTTGGAAATGAATAAGTTTGGCTACAGAGCATGTGACAACTCCTCTGAAAGATGACAGCCATCTTTTTAATGTTTTTCCTGCCAATATATCGATGCCATTCCCTCACTGACAGGTAGAGTTTTTCTTCTCTTCTTGAATCTGGGCTGGCCTTACTGACTTGTTTAATTAACAGAAAGTGGCAGAAGATACTTCAGAATCTAGGATATCAAAGCTGTACAGCTTCTGTTCTTGTCTCTTAAAAATCAATATTTGGGAGAAGCCAGCGCATTTATTCATCCTTCTTTTGCTCTTCAATTTTTCTTACATGCCTCTCTTCCTTTTGGCATTAACTTTCTGTCTGAGATCATACTTCAGTGATAGTTTATTGGTGATAAAGTCTGTTTGAGGTGTGTTTCTTTGGTTTCTGAAAATGTATTCATTCCTGCAGTATAATTTAACTTTCTATAAAATCATTGGTTGAAAAGTATTCTCCTATAACTTCCTGGAATTTTTTTAAAAGGATCCCATTGATTCTACTGAGAAGTCAGTTGCCAAGCAATTTATTCTTTGTAGAAAAAATAGGATATTTAAATATATTTTAAGATGTGCTCTCTTTTTTTCAGCTGTTTTCCCATTCTATGTCTGTCTTAGTATGTTTTTATTTGCATTTATGTGGCTTGTGGTTCATTGCATCATTTGCAACTGTAATTTTATGACTTTCATAAGCATGAGGGAATTCTCAGGCATTATGTCATCAAATATTTCTTCCTCATTCTCCTCTCCCCTTTCCGTCCAGGAAATGCAATATGTACAAACTTCACCTTTCAGTTGTTTCACAAATATCTTAATAATTTTTTCTGCCTTTGCAACAGTAATGACTCTATGCTTCAGTATGGATATTATATTCTGTTTGACTAACTCCTTTTTAGTTGGCAAATGCCTCTAGAATAAAAGTGATGGCAAAAGTAATTCTTATTTCTTGAGGCTTCTATTCTCTCCAGGAACTTGGCATCGTAAGTGTTTCATAAGTTAGTGACTTTACAATGTCTTATAAAATGGTTTTGAACATGTTTCAAATTCTATTAATAGGAGAATTAATTAAGAAGATCAATTAGTCTAATATGAAGTAGAGGAATTACCTAAAACAAGTTTCAATGTCATATCAAAAAAACAGTAAACTTTCACTTTAAAAACATTTATTTAATGGGAAATAGAGAAATAGATATATCTGCTGTTCAAATGAAACATGTTCATAAAAAGAAAAAGGAAAATGTAACAGATAACCTTACACCAGGAAGGAGCAACTATCATTAACATTTGGTGAATTTTATAATTTTATACCAAGCACTCACTATGTATAATTAAATGTAGAAATATAAAAATGAAGTAATTGATAGAAAGAAAAAATGAAGAAATTGAAGATATTTTAAATTGCATTTTATTATATATACTATTTTAATTAAAATAATTACGTTTTGAATTTATTTGAATTTACCCATAAGAAGAAAAACTAAAATATAATGGAAGGAATTTCAAAAGTTCATATAAATGCTTTTTCATCATTTTCACTTCACATTGTCAACTTTTATAATTTTTATATTATCTTTTTAAAGTTACTTGCATAGTTTTAATCTTCCTCCCATATTTCAATGTATACCTTACTTGCTGGTTTTCTTTAGTGAATATCTTATTATTTGTGAGTTACTTAAAGATGTATCTGCTGCTACAATTTATCATTTAATTGTATTTTAGGTGATAGAAAGGGTTTATTTTTTAAATTATTTTTCATTCAAGGATGCATTTATATGTATTTTTGTGTTTATGTTATATATTTGTGCTTTTTTTTCTTTTTTTCTTCTTTTTTTTTTTTTTTGAGATGGATTCTCCCTCTGTCATCCAGGCAGGAGTGCAATGGCGTGATCTCGGCTCACTGCCACCTCTGCCTCCAAGGTTCAAGCGATTCTCCTGCCTCAGCCTCCCGAGTAGCTGGGATTACAGGCGTCTGCCATGACGCCCGGCTAATTTTTGTATTTTTAGTATAGATGGAGTTTTGCCATATTGGCCAGGCTGGTCTTGAACTCCTGACCTCAGTTGATCCAATCAATACTTGAAAATAGTTTGTAAATTGTCTGAAAACAAAACAAAACAAAACAAAACCCTTTTTCTTTTGATGCTCGGTCTTTTCCACTCTTTAGCTTACTGTAAATATTATTTCTTTAAATGTGGCATTAGAACAGCCACATGCTATGTACTCGTAGATGTGTATAAGAAGATTAGGAGAGTTCTATAATGGCAGATACATAATAGGACCCTCTGAAAGATTCAAAATTCGTCCTGGCTTCTTCATCCTTAACTCTATTATATGGATAGCAGCTTCTGTGAATATCTGTGGTATAAGATTGGCCATTCTGCTACCTGAATTTCTACTTTCTGGGACCTTTGATTCTGTATTCAATACAGTTACATAAATTATCTTATAAAAGTATCACTACAAATTTATATGAAGACTTCCTATATTAATAATATTTTCCACTGGAAATATCTCAAATATCCAAATAATTACACAGCTGATTGTCGCACTAGATTGCCATGTTTTATGAAAATGAAAATTCAGACAGATTAACTTTCACAAATATTTATTAAGTGATTCCTATGACCAAGGCACAGATTTTTGTTGTTGTTGTTGTTAATATAAATTTCTTTATTAAATGTGCTGTAGCTACTAATCCTGACCTGGTCTATTTCTGTCATGCGTTGGCCAAGAAGCTTTTGGCCTAATGAGGAGAGTTAAGTCATTGGTTTTTGGAAAACTTTCCCTTTCCCTAAAGGCTGATTCTTAACTTTCTGTCTTCCGTCTTCAAAGATAAGAGAAATAAGTTAAACAGAAAATGAAAGATACCCTTCCACCTGCAGCATAATAATAAAGATTGTTTAGTTCACTCTCCTCTTGTTACTCTTTCAATCATTGAATCCCTAGTTTCTTCAACAAACAAGGGTGTTTTCTTTTGACAACATGTCATTGACCTACTTGTACTGTATCAGCCATATTTTTCAGGAAAAAAAAGTAAGAGACAAAGAGAGATAAAGTAGTCAAATGACAGCAAATCAAATGAAAGAAGGTCTTTGTTTCCATTCAGCTTCGTTTGTAATCATGTTTCCTCATGTCTAAAAGCCCTGTCTCTAGTGTGGTGAACTCATGTGGTCTTTAATTCATATCAAGAGCTTTCTTGAAAAATTTAATTTTGTTTTTGCTTTTCATCTTTGCTACTTTCCTTCTTCTAATTGCATGCTTCTAGATAGTATTGCTAGTTAGCTTTTACCAAACCATTCTTGGATGCTAATTCTGAATGCTTTTCAGAGGCAAAGTTAGAGTTCTGTTGGCCAAAAATGTTTAACTTCCACTCTATACTAATAAATTATTTTTTAGTGATAGCATTTCATTTTCTTAAAGCATTCTGAGCCTGTTTACTTCAGGACAAATATATCAAACATTTTCTTCCATAAAATGACCTCTCCAAGAGATCTTCTTTGAAATACAGACTAATAAGTCAGCCAGGTCTTTCTTGACACCAATAGCTCCATTCTTACTAACCTGAAGTGTTACAAAGTACCGTAAGAGGGCTACAATTGGGAAAATAAACTTTGTCAAGGAGTAGGCCAGGGAAGACTTAGCAGAAATCCCATTTTATATCGACCTTCAGAAAAGATGAAGATATTTATAAAAATAACAATAGAGTAATAGCAAAACATTATAGGTTGATAGTGAAATCATATGTAGACCTAGATACAGAAGCGGCAGGATGAGAGTAGAGAAGCACAATTATTTTGATTGGATGAAAATTTAAGTCGCATATATGAAAAGATAAGAAAGTAAGGCTGTATTTATGTCACCAACTAACTGCTAGTTTAATCAGTTCCTTAGTCCAAAGCAAAACATTATTTAAATTTGGAAGAGCCACGCATAGCTAGTGCATTAAAAGAATGTCACATTTTATACCGTAAAAAGGTGTTAAATTTATCTGTGAGAATAAGTGTTTAGCTTAGAAAAACTGAGTAACAGAGAATAATTGTACTTTCTGAGTCTGTTGTTGACCTTCTTTTGGGAAAACCATATGAAAATCTCTAGTTTCTAATAGAAAGGCTGTTTATGTAGTTCTGATCTCAATTATTTAGGGCCCCTATTTCATTTTATTGCATTTTATGCCTTGTACCACATGGTCACTTTTCTTGGCCATATGAAAATATTGTATAATAAAAATACTGGAATGTTGGACTTTCAGATTTAGATCCTTCTCAAGAAAAGCAGAAATTTAGAAAAAAGACATAGAAGGGCATTAATGTAACTATTTTATTATTCTATTTCTTAAAGTATAAACTGCTGATGGAGTGAATTAGATTTTTTCAAAAATCAAGAAATATGAAGTTGAATATAATTCTCATTGATTAATAGCTGTGGTTCAGTAAACTGTTGTTTCAAAATCTACATATATAAATATTACTACAAATATGTATCAAATACATATATATTTATATCTATCTATATATCTATATTTAAATATGACTTATTACATTTATCATATATACTTATCAACTATATATACTTATTTATATATTTGGTATATTTATATCATATATTATATAACATATATTTAATATCATATATTATATATTTAATATAAAGTATATATTTATATATATTTACATTTACCAAATACATATGTATAAAATTACCAAATATATATATGGTAAATATTTGTAGTAAGTCATATTTTATATAGATTTTATATACATATTATATATATATATTTATATGTGCCATATCCTTCAGGGGATATTTTAGTACCTAACTGGTATGCTTGATCTCATACAATATATACATTATGCATCTATATCAGAGTATTTTACACAAAATACACAGAAATAATTATAACATTGTTATTCAATACATGTATAATGAAATTAGGGACACTTTTTTGTTAATTTTAACATTCTTGTCACAAGATAATATATCAGGCAGAGAGTATGTTTCAGGAATGGAAACTAAAGACAGAGAACAAGACAGAAATAAAAGGATAATTCAGTATCTAAAATGTCCAGTTTTTAAAAAATGAGAGAGTAAACAAAACAGACAGGCAACTGCAACCCATACACAGAGTAAATTAAATAGACAATAGAAATTGCCTTTGAATGGGCCCAGATGGTGGTTTAACCAAACAAACCACCAAATAAGCTGTACTTTGGTGTGGAGAAGTGTTGATGGATGAATAAGTCAAGGTTCTTCAGAGAAACAGAACCAATAACACATATATGTGTGTACACACACACACATTATGAAAGATATATATAAAAAGTATGTATATAAATATTTTCTATCTCTTTCACACAATTATGGACTCTGGCAAGTCCAGTATCTGCATTGTATTTACCAGTTAGAATTCAAAGGCTGTCAGGCACTTATAGAACAAAGAGGAGCTGGTGTCCCAGCTTGAGTCTGAAGGCTAGATAACAAAGGAGAGTCAAAGTTCAAGTTCAAAAGCCATCCTCCAGGAGAATGCTATTTTATTCCGGGGAGGGTTCACCTTTTGTTTTATTCAGGCCTTCAGATGATGATATGAGGCCCACTCACATAATGGAGGTTAATTCTCTCTCTTGTTCACCACCCTCTAGCTTTCCTGAATTCCTTTTGGACTCTCAGACCCCAGAGACTTTTCCATGTATATTCAGATGCAATGGTAGCTGCCTTTCCACCCCTCAGAAATATACTAGTTTGGCCCTGGATCAACCCACCTATTTCATCCCTTCACTTGTTTATCTGTAGCACAATCCTATCTTCATGAAAATATATATAATTCGGTTGTTGATTTGTTTTACTTACTTATGGTCTGTCACTTCACTTGAATGTAGGC
Source organism: Homo sapiens (assembly GCF_000001405.40). Lineage (NCBI taxonomy): Eukaryota > Metazoa > Chordata > Mammalia > Primates > Hominidae > Homo > Homo sapiens. Next base: position 14,077,714 of record NC_000002.12, read on the forward strand.
TCATGAAGGCACAAAACACACACTACACCCTGATTCACCTTGTTTTTGTTTTTGTTTTTTTTTTTTTGAGTCAGGGTCTGGCTATGTTGCCCAGGCTGGGAGTGCAGTGGTACGATCATAGCTCACTGCAGCCTCAACCCCCCAGACTCAAGCAATCCACCCACCTCAGCCTCCTGAGTAGCTGGGACTACAGGCATGTGCCACTGCACCTGGCTACTTTTTTAAACTTTTGTAGAAATGGGGTCTCATTATGTCACCTAGGCTGGCATGCTTGCTCACCTTTGTATATCAAAGATTTAGCAGAGAATCTGCCACATAATATTTGTACAACAAATACTTGTTAAACAGATGAATACGAAAGCTTCTGGTTGCCAAATAATTTTACAGCTGATGGACAACTTTCATCAAAGTCTAATCAATTACTGATTCACAATAATTCCATGCCTAATAATCACTGCAAATATATTAAATGCTTAGGCTGGCTAATAACTTTCCCAGGGACATTTTTAGTTCTGTGCTTTAGCTATCTACATACATTTTTGGAGAAGAATGTCTTCATATATCTGATGAAAAAGAGTCACTAGTGAGCAGGATAACCATGAAGTTAATTGAGACAAACTAGTTTAATTGCTACAAATCCAAAAAAGCAACATGGTCCTTCCAATTCAAATATTTCAATCAATAAATAATTATTGAGCATTTTCCAGTTGCAAGGTCCTAGAAAATTATTCAGAGATAAAGAAAAAAATGCTACTACTTTTCTTCAAGAATGATTCAATCTATATAAGACGGAGGTGAGTATAATAATGGTGAAAACATGATTGAGATATTAATATAAACATATGTATGTGTGTGTGAATGTGTGTGTGTGTGTGTGTGTGTGGTGGGGGGAGCTTTAAAGGAAGGAATTATTTTGATGTGCTTAGGTAAAATGTTTTCAGGTCAATGAAATATGTGGCTTTTGTACTGGGCCTTAAAAATTTGAATTTAGAGATGCTGAGACGATTAATAAAGGAAATTTCAAGACTGAAGCTACAATGTAAAGAAATATTGGAGTAAATCGCTATTTTGACTGATGAGTTATGGTTCTGGATTCTGACTTACTTTTCCTAATCAAAGAAAAACAAGCAAAAAGGGTTGGGGGGAAGAACTCTTAAAAACAGATCCAAGAAGTGAAAATTTAAATAATACTACTTGATATTTCCTTCACTATTTTTGAGTAAATTCTTCTCTGAGATAATCCTGAGACAATGAAGAACCTCATGATTAATAATAGTTTTAAAATTACTGAAAAGGCAAATTAATTAATTTTCCAATAAAACCTATGATACATGCCTATTTCTTCTTAACTCGCAGCCAAAATCTTTCTTAAAGCAACTACACTTTCAGGGTTATTCCAGGTCTGTAGTTCTTGATCTATGAAACCAGAAATAGAAGCCCTCTCTGTGTCTTTTTATAATTTTTGTCTACCAGTAACTTTGGAATATATATGAGTTTATTCCAGAAAGAAAGTGAATGCATATCATTAAGACTTTACATTCTAGTACATTATGTACCATCTTTGTGATATGTGTTAAATATGTCACAAGTTCTTATGACAACCAGTGTGAAGATTAGTGGATTATCATCATTTTTAACTGATTGTCAAGAGCAAAACTGATCTATGAGATTCCTTTTAGCATTGTTTCCTTCCTGTTGTCATATATTTCACGTTTGTAGGAGCCAAGTCATATATTCTTTAAATTTCAACTAGTAGCATAACATATCTTCTTTTAAAAATAGTGCATTTAATATACAATTTATCAAAATTCTTATGTCTGACTTAAAGATGTGGAGGAAGAAATGGAATAGTAACATTACCAGTGTCAATCGAGGAGGGAAGGAAATGAAGTGCCCATTATCAATGAATGAATGAATGCGTGGGTAAAAATAGAATTAGATATGTGTGAATGAATCAATTCAGAATTCCAGCATATTAGGAAATCTTCATGTGGTTTAGTGATGGTTGATAAATTCAGGGTAGAAATAAGTAAACATAATATCACCCATCTTTCTGTAGCTCTCTGACTACCCAGTTCCTCTTTTCGTGTAAATAGGAAGCATATTATCAAATACACTTAAATATGTATCAGAAATTAGATAAGAATTCCAGAAAATAAAAGTGTCCACAATTTAAATAATTCTGTAGAAAAAGAATGTCCTAAAAATTATATGTCCTTTGCATACACTCTTGAAAATTCTAATGTCCTAACTTGTTCTGATAAACTTTAAAAAACATTATCTCATTTAATACACAGAGAAAACAGCTAGCTTGTTCTAGGTTAGGCTGATGGTAAAAGGCAAAGCAAAGATTTAAGCCAGTATCTGATTCCAAAGGCTATCCTTTGTTATACAAATTAACAAGCTTCCCCACTGGGGGAAAATATTTCCCCTCCTAATCACTTATAGGAAGGAGACAAATCTGCTACCAACCTCTGATGAGTATTGCTTTATCTCTTCAATTCAATTACATTTATAGCTTTATCTGAATACACAAATGCAGAAGTCTCCACAGGCATCATAGTGAAGTGTATTATTGTTATTTGTTGTTTCTATATAGTATTAAATGATCACATCTTGATAAATTAAAACCTGCTCCTGGAAGTTGTAAAATAATGTTTGAAACATCAGTGTTCATGTTGTCAGTAAGAATTTTTGAATTCCTAGAGGGTAACTAAATATAAAATAATAAGTAACTGACTTAGAGATCTCAAACTTTTCATCAATCAAAAGAGCTGTTCTCGCTTCTGTGACTCTTCACCAATGGGCAGTCCTACATGCAGCAGGAAACATACTACTCCTATTAATATATCAGAATGTGACTAATATTGATTTAGCAGTCTATTCATTTCATCATCTCCTAAATCACAGGAAAAGCTAACTGGCAAGGCCAAAAAAAGGCATTAAGCAAAATACTATTATATTTTTGCAAAGAAACAATACAATTGTTTATGCAGACAAAGAATCTTCAGAAGTTGACATGCAATGCATACTTCCTGAAGAAATATATTCTATCCTGGCTCTAGCACTGAAATACTATGTGGTCTGGGGAAGTCATTTTATTCACTCCGGTTTTACCTTTTTAAAATGAAAGAATTGACCTCTAAGTGTCTTCTTACTTTATATTTCTCAACCTGTGAAGCAGAACAGTGACTTAGAAATAAATATTCTAGATTAGTGCTCTCTAAAATAAATTTTTGTAATAAAGTAAATGTTCAATATCTGGGCTGTCCAGTAAGATATTCACTATCTTAGATAGCCCTTGAGCATTTGTAATGTGGTTAGTATAAGTGAAGGCTTGTATTTTAAATTTCTTTTAAATTAAACTAATATAAATTTACATATCCACATGTGATTAGTTGCAACTCTATTGGCCAGTAAAGTTTTAGATGGGAGTGATTTTATGGATTGTTGAATTTCCATAGAGTGTAATTATGATGATTATTAAGGTCATTTATTTAGGGATCATTCTTTGAAAGGCAGCTGACTGTGGCTGAAGGGCAATAGACTAAGAAGCTGAGTTTTAGTTTTAGCTTTGACTTTAACTTGCCATTTGACATTAGCAAACAATTTTATCCCAGTGGTTTATAATTTGTTTACAATTCTTTTTAAGAGGCCACACCCAGTGACTATGGCAGTATAGCGAACATTGAACATATATTTTTCCTAAGAAAACAATAAATAAAGTGGTAAAAACTATTAGAATCAACTTTTTCAGAACTCTGAAAACTAATGAAAAGCTTCAGCAAACCAAGGGAATACTTAATATAGAAAAACAATTGGTAAAATAGCTGTGTAGCATTTTAACTTATCCTCATACCTTTTCTGAATCCCTCTGAAGAGGACTTGAAGACAATAGTCCATACACCCAGTAAAGGTACCTGATACTAGAGTGAGCAAGACACAGCTTACTTTAAAAAAATTGAGTTTTTTTGTTTTTCCTGTTTGGTAGATTTCTGAATGACTCATACAAAAGCCTTGCCATTTTCTTCCATACCTCAGGATTCTCCCAGGGTTGAGGCAGCTTTCCAAGAAGGATTTGTTTAAAATATTCAAAGGCAGCAGGGTGGGCAAGATGGCCAAGTAAGAACAGCTCCAGTCTGCAGCTCCCAGCAAGGTCAACGCAGAAGGTGGGTGATTTCTGCATTTCCAATTGAAGTACTAGGCTCATCTCATTGGGACTGGTTAGACAGTGGGTGCAGCCCATGGAGGGCGAGCCAAAGCAGAGTGGGAAGTTGCCTTACCCAGGAAGCACAAGGGGTTGGGGAACCCCCTCCCCTAGCCAAGGGAAGCCATGAGGGACTGCCTGAGGAACTGTGCACTCTGGCCTAGATACTACACTTTTCCCACGGTCTTCACAACCACAACCTACAGACCAGGAGATTCCCTTGGGTGCCTACACCACCAGAGCCCTGGGTTTCAAGCAGAAAACTGGGCAGCCTTTAGGGCAGACACCGAGCTAGCTGTAGGAGTTTTTTTCATACCCCGGTGGTGCCTGGAATGGCAACTAGACAGAACCATTCACTCCCTGGGAAAGGGGGCTGAAGCCAGGGAGTCAAGTGGTCCAGCTCAGCAGATCCCACCCCCACAGAGCCCAGCAAGCAAAGATCCACTGGCTTGAAATTCTCGCTGCCAGGGCAGCAGTCTGAAGTTGACCTGGGACATTTGAGCTTGGTGTGGGGAGGGGCATCCACTATTACTGAGGCTTGAGCAGCCAGTTTTCCCCTCACAGTGCAAACAAAGCCACCAGGAAGTTCCAACTGGGCAATGCCCACTGCAGCTCAGCAAAGCTGTGGTAGCCAGACTGCCTGTCTAGATTCTTCCTCTCTGGGCAGAGCATCTCTGAAAGAAAGGTAGCAGCCCCCGTCAGGGGCTTATAGATAAAACTCTCATCTACCTGGGACAAAGCACCTTGGGGAAGGGGCAGCCTGCCAGCTCTGAAGAGAGCAGCGGATCTCCCGGCACAGAGCTCAAGCTCTGCTAAGGGATAGACTGCCTCCTCAAGTGGGTCCATGACCCCTGTGCCTCCTGACTGGAAGACAACTCCTAGCAGGTGTTGACAGACACCTCATACAGGAGAGCTCTGGCTGCCATCTGCTGGTTCCCCTCTGGGACGAAGCTTCCAAAGGAGGAACAGGCAGCAATCTTTGCTGTTCGGCAGCCTCCACTGGTGATAGCCAGGCAAACACGGTCTGGAGTGGACCTCCAGCAAACTCCAGCAGACCTGCAGCAGAGAGGCCTGACTGTTAGGAGGAAAACTAACAAACAGAGAGGAATACCATCAACATCAACAAAAAGGAAGTCCACACAGAAACCCCATCCAAAGGTCATCAGCATCAAAGACCAAAGATAGATAAATCCATGAAGATGAGGAAAAACCAGTGCAAAAAAGGCTGAAAATTTCAAAAGCCAGAATGCCTCTTCTCTTCCAAAGGATCACAACTCCTCGCCAGCAAGGGAACAAAACTGGATGGAGAATGAGTTTGATTCATTGACAGAAGTAGGCTTCAGAAGGTAGGTAATAACAAACTCCTTAGAGCTAAAGGAGTATGTTCTAACCCAATGCAAGGAAGCTAAGAACCTTGAAAAAAGGTTAGAGGAATTGGTAACTAGAATAAGGCAGTTTAGAGAAGAACATAAATGACATGATGGGATAAAAACACAGCACGAGAACTTCGTGAAGCATACACAAGTATCAATAGCTGAATCAATCAAGCAGAAGAAAGGATATCAGAGATTGAAGATCAACTTACTGCAGTAAAGCGTGAAGACAAGATTAGAGAGAAAAAAAGGAAAAGGAATGAACAAAGCTTCCAAGAAATATGGGACTATGCAAAGAGACCAAACCTATATTTGTTTGGTGTACCTGAAAGTGACAGGGAGATTAGAACCAAGTTAGAAAACACTCTTCAGGATATTATCCAGGAGAACTTTTCCAACCTAGCAAGATAGGCCAACATTCAAATTCAGAAAATACAGAGAACACCACAAAGATACTCCTCAAGAAGAGTAACCCCAAGACACATAAACGTCAGATTCACCAAGGTTGAAATGATGGAAAAAATGTTAAGGGCAGCAAGAAAGGTTGGGTTACTTACAAAGGGAAGCCCATCAGACTATCAGCGGATCTCTTGGCAGAAACCTTACAAGCCAGAAGAGAGTGGAGGCCAATATTCAACATTCTTAAAGAAAATAATTTTCAACCCAGAATTTCAAATCCAGCCAAACTAAGCTTCATAAGTGAAGGAAAAATAAAATTTTTTTACAGACAAGCAAATGCTGAGCGATTTTGTTACCACTAGGCCTGCCTTACAAGAGTTCCTAAAGGAAGTACTAAACATGGAAAGGAACAACCAATACCAGCCACTGCAAAAACATACCAAATTGTAAAGACCATTGACATGAAGAAACTGCATTAACTAACGGCCAAAATAACCAGCTAGCATCATAATGACAGGATCAAATTCACACATAACAACATTAACCTTAAATGCAAATGGGCTAAATGTCCCAATTAAAAGACACAGACTGGCAAATTGGATAGAGTCAAGATCCTTCAATGTGCTGTATTCAGCAGATCCATCTCATGTGCAAAGACATATAGGCTTAAAATAAAGGGATGGAGGAATATTTACCAACAAATGGAAAGCAAAAAAAGAAAAAAAAAAAAGCAGGGGTTGCAATCCTTATCTCTGATAAAACAGACTTTAAACCAAGAAAGATCAAAAGAGACACAGAAGGGCATTACATAATGGTGAAGGGATCAATGCAACAAGAAGAGCTAACTATCCTAAATAGATATGCACCCAATACAGGAGCACCCAGTTTCATAAAGCAAGTTCTTATAGACCTACAAAAAGACTTAGACTCCCACACAATAATAGTGGTAGACTTTAACACCCCACTGTCAATATTAGACAGATCAATGAGACAGAAAACTAAAAAGGATATTCCGGACTTGAACTCAGCTCTTGACCAAGTGGACCTAATAGACATCTACAGAACTCTACCCCCAAAATCAACAGAATATACATTCTTCTCAGCAATATATCACACTTATTCTAAAATTGACCACATAATTGTATAAAAGTTAAACCCTCCTTAGCAAATGCAAAAGAACAGAAGTCATAACAAACAGTCTCTCAGACCATGGTGCAATCAAATTAGAACTCAGGATTAAGAAACTCACTCAAAACCACACAACTACATAGAAACTGAACAACCTGTTCCTGAATGACTACTGGGTAAATAAATAAATTAAGGCAGAAACAAATAAGTACTTTTAAACCAATAAGAACAAAGGCACAGCGTACCATAATCTCTGAGACACATTTAAAGCAGTGTTTAGAGGGAAATTTATTGCACTAAATGCCCACAAGAGAAAGCATGAAATATCTAAAATTGACACCCTAACATCACTATTAAAAGAACTAGAGAAGCAAGAGTAAACAATTTCAAAAGCTAACAGAAGACAAGAAAAAGAGAGACTCCTTCCTAACTCATTTTATGAGGCAAGCATCATCCTGATACCAAAACCTGACAGACACACACACACACACACACACACACACACACACACACAAATTCAGGCCAATATCCCTGAAGAACATCAATGTGAAAATCCTCAATAAAATGCTGGCAAACCGAATCCAGCAGCACATCAAAAAGCTTATCCACTATGATCAAGTTGGCTACATCCCTGGGATGCAAGTCTGGTTCAACATATGCAAATCAATAAACGTAATCCATCACATAAACAGAACCAATGACAAAAACCACATGATTATCTCAATAGATGCAGAAAAGGCCTTTGATAAAATTCAACATCCTTTCATGCTAAAAACTCTCAATAAACTAGGTATTGATGGAACTTATCTCAAAATAATAAGAGCTATTTATGACAAACCTACAACCAATATCATACCGAATGGGCAAACAAGGATGTCTTCTCTTAACATTCCTATTCAACATAGTATTAAAAGTTCTGGCTAGGGTAATCAAGCAAGAGAATGAAATAAAGGTATTCAAATAGGAAGAGAGGAAGGCAAATTATCTGTTTGGAGATGACATGATTGTATATTTAGAAAACCCCATTGTCTCAGTCCCAAATCTCCTTAAGCTGATAAGCAACTTCAGCAAAGTCTCAGGATACAAAACTAACGTACAAAAATCATAAGCATTCTTATATACCAATAATAGACAAACAGAGAGCCAAATCATGAGTGAACTCCCATTCACAATTGCTACAAAGAGAATAAAACACCTACGAATACAACTTACAAGGGATGTGAAGGACCACTTCAAGGAAAACTACAAACCACTGCTCAAGGAAATAAGAGAGGACACAAACAAATGGAAAAACATTCCATGCTAATGGATAGGAAGAATCAATATCGTGAAAGTGGCCATACTGCCCAAAGTAATTTATAGATTCAATGGTAACCCCAGCAAGCTACCACTGACTTTCTTCACAGAATTGAAAAAAATTACTTTAAATTTCATATGGAACCAAAAAAAGAGCCCATATAGCCAAGACAATCCTAAGCAAAAGGAACAAAGGTAGAGGCATCATGCCACCTGAACTTAAACTATGCTACAAGGCTACAGTAACCAAAACAGCATGTTACTGGTAACAAAATAGATATATAGACCAATGTAACAAAACAGAGGCCTCAGAAATAACACCACACATCTACAACCATCTGATCTTTTACAAACCTGACAAAAACAAGCAATGGGGAAAGGATTGCCTATTTAATAAATAGTGTTGGGAAAACTGGCTAGCTATATGCAGAAAGTTGAAACTGAACCCCTTCCTTACACTTTATACAAAAGTTAACTCAAGATACATTAAAGACTTAAACGTTAAGACTTAAAACCATAAAAGCCCTAGAAGAAAACCTAGGCAATACCATTCAGGACATAGGCATGGGAAATGACTTCATGACTAAAACACCAAAAGCAATGGCAACAAAAGCCACAATTGACAAATGGGATCTAATTAAACTAAAGAGCTTCTGCACAGCAAAAGAAACTATCATCAGAGTGAACAGGGAACCTACACAATAGGAGAATATTTTTGCAATCTATCCATCTGACAAAGGGTTAATATCCAGAATCTAAAAGGAACTTAAACAAATTTACAAGAAAAGAACAAACAACCCCATCAAAAAGTGGGCAAAGGATATGAACAGACACTTCTCAAAAGAAGACATTTATGTGGCCAACAAGCATATGAAAAAAGCTCATAATTACTGGTCATTAGAGAAATGCAAATCAAACCTCAATGAGATACCATCTCCTCACAGTTAGAATGGTGAACATTAAAAAGTCAGGAAACAACAGATGCTGGAGAGAATGTGGAGAAATACGAATGCCTTTACACTTTTGATGGGAGTGTAAATTAGTTCAACCATTGTGGAAGACAGTGTGGCGATTCCTCAGGGATCTAGAACCAGAAATACCATTTGACCCAGCAATCCCATTACTGGGTATATACCCAAAGGATTATGAATCATGCTACTATAAAGACACATGCACATGTATGTTTATTCCAACACTATTCACAATAACAAAGACTTGGAACCAACCCAAATGCCCATCAATGATAGACTGGATAAAGAAAATGTGGCACGTATACACCATGGAATACTATGCAGCCATAAAAAGGATGGGTTCATGTCCTTTGCAGGGACATGGATGAAGCTGGAAACCATCATTCTCAGCAAACTAACACAGGAACAGAAAACCAGACATCGCATGTTCTCACTCATAAGTGGGAGGTGAACAATGAGAACACATGGACACAGGGAGGGAAACATCACACACCGGGACCTGTCAGGGATGGACGGCTAGGGGAGGCATACCATTAGGAGCAATACCTAATGCAGGTGATGGGTTGATGGGCGCAGCAAACCACCATGGCAAGTGTATACCTATGTAAAAAACCCGCACGTTCTGCACATGTGTCCCAGTATTTAAAGTATAATAAAGAAAAAATTATTAAATAAAAAATAAAATATTCAAAGGCAAATGTATTAGTTGTTACCCTGTAGAGTAGGAAATAGTAGTTATAACAGACAGTAGACTAACGAAAACATTTGGGAGGAAAGACTGGATAGTTAGATTATTTTATAAAATTAAGTGAGTTGTACTCTTTAATTAAATGGCAGAGATTTGCAGAATGAATTTAAAAATAATAATCCAACTATATACTGTCTATAGGAGATTCACTTGAGATCCAAAGACAAAAATAGATTAAAGGTGAAAAGATGGATAAATGTGTTCTATGCATGCAGTAACCAGATAAAAATTGAAGTGGCTATAGCAGTATCAAAAAATACTGAAATTGTTAAGCAAAAATTGTTAGAAGATACCAAGAAGAACATTATATGATGGCAAAGGGATCAAATCATCAATATAATATAACAATTATAAATATATATTCACCTAAAAACAGAGCCCCAAAATACATGAAACAAAATCTGATAGGATGGAATTTAGGAATTCTTCTCATATCACCAGCTGACCACCAAGCTAAGGGAACAAAGGTATCAGTGGCCATATATGACAAAGAATACAGACTTTACAAAATTATTTTAGAAAAGTCACTAAACAATAACAATAACAAGAAAAGTAAAATTATTTGGGAATAGAGATAATCTAATCTCTGAGACAGCCACATTATACCTTTCAAAATTTCCAGGTTTCAACAAAAAACATGAGGAATATAAAGAAACAAGAAAGCAAGTCCCAGAAAAAGGGAAATATAAAATAGATAGAAACTGTCCCAGAGAATGAATTGTGATTTACTAGAAAGACTTAAAATCAACTACTTTATCTATGTTCAAACAACTAAAGGAAAGCAGAACAGTACTTCACCTAATAAAAAACGTCCGTAAAGAGATAGAAATTACAAAAATAAACAAATAGAAGTTCTGAGGTTGAAGAGCACAATACCTGAAATTTAAAAATTACTGGAGGGGTTCAACAGCAGGCCTGATAAGGAAGGCTATCATGAAGGATAAATAAGCTCCACATATTGAATGTATAGTAGGGTGACTATAACTAATAATATGTATTATATACTTGAAATTTTCTACAAGAATAGATTTAAATGTTCTCACCACGTACAAAAAAGGTAACTATGTGAGGTGGTGGATAGGTTAATTAGCTTGATAATAGTAACCATTTCACAATAGTTTCATTTCACAATACATGTACATTTCACAATGATACATTTTATAAAACATTTATCAAATTATCATGTTGTACACCTTAAATATATATGATTTTTATTTGCCCATTATTCCTCAAAAAGTTGGGGAAATATATGTCAAAAATATTTAGAAATAAATTATTTGCCATTTTTTAAAAAGAGGATGCAGAATGGAGTTAAGAAAGAAGAAAAACCCATAATATATATATATATAAAAGTAATAGAATGACCAAAATCAATTCTCTTTTACCAGCAATAACACTATATTGTAACAGATTAAATTCTCCAATTAAAATGCAGAGATGAGCAGAATGTATTTTTTAAATGATTTCACACACTGTCTTTAAGAGGCTCATTTAAAATCCAAACACACAAATAGATTGAATGGTTGAAAATGCAATTATTGCAAACGGCCACCGAAAAGAACTGAAGTAGCTATACTAATAACAGAGCAAATAAATTTTAAAACAAAATTTTTAAATGAGACAAAAACAGATCACATATAATGGTAAAAGGTAAATTCTTCAAAAAGATAGAACAATTATAAACATATATTAACCCAACAAGAGTGTCACTACATATATAAGAGAAAGTGGGCAGAAGCGAAGGGAAAAATAGATAATTCAAAAAGAAAAGTTTAAAAATGTGAAACCCCACTTCCAATAATAAAATAACTGGATAGAATATTAGCAAAAAATAAAAGGCTTCACAATAACATAAGCCAAATATTCTGTGTGTGTATGTGTGTGTGTATGTCTAGACAGATAGATATATAGATAAATAAATGATAGACAGATAGATAGACAGAGATATATGAAAACTATAAAAACAACAGCAGAATGAGGATCCTTTCTCAAGAGCACATGGAACATGCTCCAGAATAGATCACATGTTATGCCATAAAAAAATTCAATATATTTAAAAATACTGAATTCATATAAGGTATATTTCCGGGAAATAATAGAAATAAATTAGAAAAAAAAGAAGCACATTTGGAAAATTTTAACAATATGTGGAAATTAAATGATACTTTTTAAACATCCAATGGCTCAAAGAAGAAATCACAAGAAAAATTAGAAAATACTTTGAGATAAATAAGAATAGATTAGAAAAATACCAAAAATTATAAGATGCTATGAAAATACTCCTTAGAGGGATATTTGTAGCTGCATATACCTACATACAAAAATTGAGGAAGATCCTAAAATCTCGAACTCAATCTTTTTTTTTTTTTTTTTTTTTTTAATTGAGACAGGGTTTCACTCTTTTGCTCAGGCTGGAGTGCAGTGGCACGATATCCACCCACTGCAACCTCCACCTCCTGGGTTCAAGCGATTCTCCTGCCTCAGCCTCCTGAGTAGCTTGGACTACAGGCGCACTCCACCACGCCCAGCAAATTTTTGTATTTTCAGTAGAGACAAGGTTTCACCATGTAGGCCAGGATGGTCTCGATCTCCTGACCTCATGATCCACCCACCTCAGCCTCCCAAAGTGCTGGAATTACAGGCATGAGCCACAGCACCCATCCAAGAACTCTATCTTTTACCCTAAGGAATTAGAAAGAGACTGAACTGATATAAAGGAGCATATCAAGTGATCTTCTAAATAAAAGTAGGATACAGTAAAATTGAATGTGAAGTGCAAAAGGCCAGAAACAGAAAAGATTTTGGTATGTTTAAGAAGCAAGAATCAAGCCAGTATGCCTAGAGCAAGGTGACTACAGGGAAGAATATTAGGAGATGGAGTTGCAGAAGTAGGCTAAGGATAAACTATGAGGGCCTTATCACCCATACAAAAATTTTAAACTTTGATATAAATGTAATAGGAGTTGTGACATAATCTATTGATAAAAATGACATTAGATATGGGATTCACACTAAAAAAATCCCTTAAAAAGATTTTATATTCAAGTTTTTTAAGACATTTTTCTAACATTAAATTACTTAAGCAACAATCGTGAAAATAACATATAGATTCAGTACAAAGCAGTCACACCTTCAACCTTTCATTCATTAATTTATCATGTGTTCATAAAACAAAATTTATTGAGTCTCCATTAGATACTCAAGTCTGTGCTCAATACCCTGATTTAAAAGAAATGATCCTTTCAAGAAATGTACATAATATGGGAGAAAAAATATACTCAATGTGTAATTAAAATATAAAATGTGTTACAACGGAGAAATAGTGGATGATACAGGAAAACAAAACATGATGATTCTCATGAACCAGTAATAATTCAACTGAAAATTAAAGAAATATTTTGTCTTGCCACAGAAGTGTTTGAAAAAAAATTTCCTTGAAGATGTTACTACTACAGGATGCTGAATTTCTCAAATGCTTTCTCCTACATCAATTAATATGATCTTATGGTTTTTGCCTTGCATTTTCCTAACGTTGTGTATGACACTGATTGATGTGTGTAGGTTGAAACATCCTTGAATCATATGGATAGACCCTACTTCGTTATGATTATGATCTTTTAATATGCTGTTGAATTCAGTTTGCTAATATTTTCTGAAGAATTATTGCAGCTATGATTATCAGGGATATTGATCTGTGTTTTTCTTTTCTTATGGTGTCTTTGTATGGCTTTGGTATCAGGGTGATGCTGGCCTCATAAAAAGAGTTCAGAAGTGTTCCCGCTTATATTTTTTTGAAGAGTATATTTTGCATTGGTATTCGTTCTTTCAATCTTTGGGAGAATTCGCCTGTGAAGCCATCTGGTCTTGGACTTTTCTTTGTTAGAAGATTTTTGATTACTGATCCATTCTTCTTATTTATCATTAGTTTTTTCTGGCTTTCTACTTTTGGGGATACATCCACAGGAACTAGAATCAGGATTTCAAAGACACATCTGCACTCCCATGTGCATTGCATCATTATTTACAATAGTCAAGATATGGAAGCAATTAAATGTCCATTGATAGACAAATATGTAAAGAAAATATGGTATGCACATAAAATGGAATATTATTCATCTTTTAAAAAGAGGTAAATCCTGCTATATGTGACTGCATGAATAAGCCTGGAAGACATTATACTAAGAGAAATAAGCTAGATACAGAAGGACACATACTACACGACACTATTAACACTTATTTGACAAATTTAAAACAGACGGACTCATAGAAGCAGACAGAGGAATAGTGGTTGTCAGGGCCTGGGGGAGAGGAGAAAATAAAGAAACATTAGTTAGGGGGTAAAAAGTTTTAGTTTCATGAGATGAATAAGTCCTAGAGATCACATACATGGTATAGTGCCTATAGTTAACAATATTATACGGTATACATGTTTGCTAAGAGAGTGGATATTATATTGTATTCTTATTACAAACAAGAATAAGAAGCCAAAATATTGAGACCCCATGGCTACAAAAAAATTAGCTAGGCATAATGGCACATACCTGTAGTTGTAGCTACTCAGGAGGCTGAAATTGGAGGATAGCTTTAGCCCAGTAATTGGAGGCTGGCATGAACTATGATCATGCCAATGCATTCCAGTCTGGGTGACCAAGCAAGTTCCTGACTTAAAAAAATACGGGAAGAAAAGAGGGAAGATGGAAGAAGAAGAAAAAAGAAGGAAGGGATTAGGGAGACGGAAGAAAAAGGAGAAGAAGAAATGGAAGGAAAAAGAAAAAAGGAAAAGAGGGAGGGAAGGAAGAAAGACAGGAAGGACAGAAGGAAGAAAGGAAAGAAGGAAGGAAGGGGAGAAAGAGAGAAATGGTTGGAGAAAGAAGGAAGGAAAAAAGAAGGAAAGAAGGAAGGAAGGAGAGAAAGAGAGATGGAGGGAGAAAGAAGGAAGGAAAAGAGAAGAAAGAAGAAAGGAAGGAAGGGAGGGAGGGAGGAAGGGAGGAATAGAAGAGAGGGGGCGGTAAAAATCTTGGAGGTGATGAATAGGTTTATGGCATACATTGCGTTGATGGTTCCACGGATGAATACTTATCCCCAAAAATACTGACATGAAAGAATATTAACTGGAAGCTTCATGGAAAACAAGTTTCAAATCTTTTAGGAGAAGTTGAAGATATAGGAGTAGGAGTTCAAGTCTCTGAAAGAATGGAAGTTAATTAAATTTAAGGAATAAGAAGTTTTAGCTAAAGGTGGAAGGAAGGGTTTATTTCTGTTATTTATTTTTGTTTTTTGTTTGTTTGTTCATTTTTAGAATGCAATGAATAGATAAGGGTACATTAAATCAACTTCTTTTTTCTCCAAAAGTATGAGGCCTTCAAGCTTCATATGGCTTAACTTCCAGTTTCTAGCATAAATGTTTCTTGAATCTCACCCATTTTTATTTTCCTTCAAGGCTCAGTTGAATTATTTCTCCTCATCCACACAAGCAAAAACTTTGTTTGCATACTTCACCCCATCATTTCTCAGTCTTACTTCTTTATTTTCCCCTTTATTTCCAACACTATCACTTCCATGGCCTCCTTAGTTTAGTACTTTAAAGTACTATTGACTGAGGAGGCCCAACTGCTTGTGTTCAAACCCTCACTCTACCATGTATTAAAAGAGTAACCTGGGGAAAATTATTTTTCCTTCAATGCCTCAATTTTTTCATCTGAAAAATAGAGACAATAGAATCCATTCATTTAAAGTGTTTAGAAAAATATTTATTACATAATAAAATCAATAAATATTTTTCACTAGAACTTATTTTTGTCTTCAAATTTCTTGAAGTTACCCTAAATTTGCTCAATATCTTTCATTCAAAAGTCGAATTCTAGCCACCAGTGAAATTAACTTTCTCTTTTTGTTCAACCTTCCTACCTGTGTATTCTTCAGCAATGTTTGCACTGTCTCAACTCACATTCTGATGAAATTCTCTGCCATCTGACTTACCTTCAGCACCTTATTTAAGCTACGTTCACTAAAGATACCAGTTAATGCTTAATTTATGTTTTCATTTTTCATAGCTCTCTGTAGCTTTTGACAATGTGGCCACTTTATTTATTTATTTATTTATTTATTTATTTATTTTTTGAGACGGAGTCTTGCTTTTCCGCCCAGGCCGGAGTGCAGTGGCGCTATCTTGGCTCACTGCAAGCTCCGCCTCCCCGGTTCACACCATTCTCCTGCCTCAGCCTCCCGAGTAGCTGGGACTACAGGAGCCCACCACCATGCCCAGCTGATTTTTTTGTATTTTTAGTAGAGATGGGGTTTCACCGTGTTAGCCGGGATGGTCTTGAACTCCTGACCTCGTGATCCGCCCACCTCAGCCTCCCAAAGTGCTGGGATTACAGGCGTCAGCCATCGCTCCCGGCCGGCCACTCTCTTTTTACTTAAATTGCTAACTCTGTTAGATTATAGCATAACACACTTTTAGTTCTCCCTACCTATCTCACACTATTTGTGCATCTTTGAAAGATACTCTTCCTTTGTCCATCACATGAATTGCTGTGATCCTTATAACCCATTTTATCTGATTATGCATCGTCTAAAATCACATATATCCCTGACATTAACTGTTAACTCATTATTGCATATTTTCACTCCAGACCTCTCCCCTGAGCTTCAAACAAACATGAGAATAACAGTAGAAACTACCTTCTCACATTCCCATTCAAAGAATCATTAACTTTTGCCAATTTCTGAATCTTCAATATTTAAAAAAGAAATTCATCCTTTCCTTTTCTATTAACATTGCTCTAAAACATGCGTTCATCATCTGGTCTAGACATTTTCATATTTTTAAATGTCTCCTTTTCTTAAACTGCACAACTGAATTTCATTCCCTCTCAGATAGCAAAGTATGAAATTGAATCTGATTGAGTCACTTTCCTGTTTAAGATGTTGCTGTAGCTACAGCAAACAAATAAAAATAAAAAAGACAATCAAAGGTTTTAATTACATGTCCCCTACCAGTCTCTCAGGCTGAATTTGCATTGTCCTTGCTGAATTACAAAGGTCTTGAATTCTCATGTTCATGTTGTATTTAGAGTTTGTGGTTTTACTCATGCTGTTGTTAATACCTAAAAATGTTCTTCCTACTCTTCCTTTTTTTTAATTAATTTTTTAATCGTATTTTGAAATGCAATGCAGGTATCACTCGCTTGAGGTTGCTCTCCAGAGCTAATCTTCTTTACAGGCCAATCGAGGAGCTCCTTTGCAAAGCACCCATTCTTTCTAAAAACAGTGCTATGAAGCACTTGCCGTATTGGTTTATAACTACATGTTGCATTAATATCCCAGGATCCCCACAGAAGCAATTATTATAACCTATTCAGTTTTGTACTTATAGAATTTACTATAGTGTGTGGTGTATGTTAGGGCTTGGCAAGTATTGACTAACAATACGATATAATGCTCTAATCTATCTGTTTAGAAATGATAAATTTTGTTAAATAAGAAACAAAGTTTCACAAATTTATAATTTTTTTTAAATTTGTAAATCTCTGAGAAAAGCCCAACATTTTCATGACATATTATCTTTATAGGACGTTGCTAGATTGATTGCTAAATTTTTTGGATTTTGTATTTGTATTCTTTGAGGGGTATTAGTATGTAATTTGTTGTTATTGTTTTTTTAATACCTTTGCTGGAATTTACCAGCACTGCCCTTAAAACCTGCGTCATGTCTGAACAAGTATGCAATTTTATTTCTTTCTGTGCATTAATATTTTTACATACACATCTAATTTTTATGTGTTATGTATGGTTCTATGTATTTATGCAAATGCTTAG
Source organism: Homo sapiens (assembly GCF_000001405.40). NCBI lineage: Eukaryota > Metazoa > Chordata > Mammalia > Primates > Hominidae > Homo > Homo sapiens. The sequence goes on from NC_000002.12 coordinate 14,095,657, forward strand.
TTGTGAGTACAAGTCTTCTTAATATATATACTGGTTATTTAAGTATATTCAATTTATCTCTGTCCCACTTCCATTGTGGAAGTATGCATTACAGTGTGTGCATATATGTTCACATGTGAGTTTGCTTATGTTTGTGACTGTGTGCATGCATTATGCGTGCTTGTTGTATGTATTTACTGTTGTGTGTTTTAAACATAAGTTGAGGGGCACCACCTATTTCCTGGAGTGAAAATTAATTATCCGCTTCAGAAGAAAAAAATAATAACACGAGATGTAAAACAGTCCTTTCTGAGTATAAACTACATGCTCCCCTTGCTGACTCATGTTTGCATCTTTTATTTTTCAGTGCTTTATAAACCTGATGCTGCCAGTACTGTTTGAAGAATTCTTGCTACAGGTCCCTTGCAGCAGTCTATAAAAAATTTATGCCCATGTCTTACAAACGCCAAATTTTGGCAAAGATTTTGCTAGGCAGGAGTTGGCAGCTGTGTCCTGATGCGCACCTGTTTCAGGATACTATCTAAATACAGGGAAAGAGTTTTCCAAGCAGGTCAATTTTAATTCTCCAGTAGATCCTACCTTTCCAGCCCAGAAATATACATGTTATTATTTTATTCAATAAGGCAAGTAGTTTCTCATCTTTAAATTTCCATTTCTTAGTTTATACAATGATCTTTACAATTTTAAAAGCATTTTCACACATCTCATTTGATTTTATGTGACCTTGGTAAAGTTGTTTTATTTTTCTGACTTTCAGTTTCTTTTCCATTTCCGCAGAAATATAATAATAATGACAGCCATGAAAACGGAACACGGATGCTATGAGGATGCAAAGAAGCAGATACATTCAAGAGCTTGTAAACTGTATGATAAATATAAATGTGAAAATCATCACTTATTCTTTTTTTTTTTTTTTTTTTTTTATGAGACGGAGTCTCACTCTGTCACCCAGGCTGGAGTGCAGTGGTGTGATCTTGGCTCACTGCAATCTCCACCTCCTAGGTTCAAGCGATTCTCCTGCCTCAGCCTCTCGAGTAGCTGGGACTACAGGCGTGTGCCAGCACGCCCAGCTAATTTTTCGTATTTTTTTTTAGTAGAGACAGGGTTTCACCATGTTAGCCAGGATGTTCAGGATCTCTTGACCTCGTGATCCACCCGCCTCAGCCTCCCAAAGTGCTGGGATCACAGGCATAAGCCACTGCTCCCAGCCACTTATTCTTATTGTTGTCATTATTATTATTTCTCCCAGGAGGACTACAGAAAGGAAAAGACATCACAATATACTTAGTTTATAGGCTCAAAAACCAGTTTTATATTCTCTGCTGCTATACTTGGAAACAGAACAATAAGCTAGTTTTCCCTAGATAAGTAATGAGCAATCATGAGATAACAGATTATTTTCCATTATATTCATAATAGTGTATTGAATTAACAATCACTGTTAGCAAGTGCATGCGTAGTTGGCATTCTAATACAATGTTGACACAGTTTATATACTATATTTTGCAAATTATTTGACTACATCTATCAAAATTTAGATTCTACATAATCTTTGGCCCATCCATTTCATTATTGGTATCTAAGGGAAAAATCATACGTAAAAACACACATACACATATATGCACACACACACAGGCATATACATATTTTGATAAGGATATATGTATGTAAACAGAGGGGCATGTATTTGTAAATATACTATTTGATAATATGTATGAGATATGCATATATATTAAAATTTTAATAGCTAATCATTGAAAACAAACTTAATTTCTATCTGTAAGTGAAGGTTAAATAAAGTGTGCTATATGCCTACTACAGGTTTCTGTGAGCCTAAAGAAGAATAAATTAAGTCTACTACTGAAATGGAAAAATAATTATGACATTGTCCTAAGTTAAGAAAGCAAGTTACAGAAAAATATACTTGGTATAAACTCATTAATTAAAAATATGTTTATAAATATAAAGATATAGAGACAAAGGTGGTGTTTACCTCTACAAAATTTTGCATTGTTTTATTTTTTGACTAGGTATCACTTTTGTAATTAAACAAAAGCCTGTCTATGTAATGAGGAAAGCATGAACTAAAAGCATTTACATTTTTACGAGATAAAAAGTAAGTATATTAAGACTCTTTAGAGACCATTCTAATGCACCACTAACTAAAAGCAATTGTGTGATCCAGTGGTTGGAAATGAATATCTAATAACTGTATTCTAATTCTTGCTTATTCAATGATGCCCTGTGGAATTCTCTGGAGGCAACAGTTTCACTGTTGTCTTTCCTTTAGAGCCTATTATGATATAACAGCTATAATTTCCTTACTTCTCTGGATTTTGATTCTAAATTAAAACTATTTTCTTGATTGGAAGCAGTGCAGTGTAAAATGAAGGCAACTATGGGAAGAATTCTCTTGGGGAATGCAGGGGGTTCACCAATGAGCTTCGTTAACACTGAGTGTTCAGGCCGTAACGTCTTCATTCAGAAGAAACTGCGTTAAATTTTATATTCCTGTAGCCTTAAAATTTTACAAAGAAAAATATTGTCTCTAATAGGCAAAACAATGAGCAAGGCTTTGTACTTTGCCATGTATCCTTTTCTTTGTGTGTTTTGAGCTTTAACCAGAACTAGCTAGATGATTTCAGTGCTAGATCCCTGAATCCTGGTTCCTCAGGTGATCCAAGATATATCCTGGGGTGCTCTGTCCTTGCTCTCAGGAGTAGGCATCTCCACAGAATTTAGATGGATTTATAAAATATAAATTAAATGGTGATTTGGGGAAGCAGAAAAGTGTAAAAGTAGAAGTAGTAGTCAGAAATCGTAAATTTTCAATCTTGTCTTTCCAATTACTAACTGTGTTAACTCTATTAAGTCACATACACCCTGAAACATAACAATGTTTTCTGAAATAGTACTATAAAATGCTTAATACAGAGAATGCCACATAACAAGCACTCAATAAAGACAAGCTACTATTACCATAATAAAATCAACACACTAGAAAAAATCAACAACAAACATTGTCTTCTCCATTCTCCCTTTTCCTACAGAATAAATTCTAAACATTTTAGTAGCATTTATACTGATTTTCACCAAATGACCTAACAGTATTTTTTTTTTCATATACCACTGGCCATATAGACTTAATATTTCTCTTCTAGTCAATCATTCTTGGAATATTCCCTGGTGCCCTCTGAGATGAAGGCCATTTTTAAAATACATCTGGCTGTTTGCTTTCCATTTGTAACAATCTCATTTAAATGTCATCCCCTTGTGGGTGGAGAAGGGGTTATTTAGTCTCACAATTCTATACAACAGTTATAACAAACAGCTTCTCCTCTGTGTTCCCATACCATCACATACCCTACTTGATCATCAATGTACTTCTACATACTAGCTTTTCTCACTAGCCTAAGGCCTTGAGAACTATCTTCTATGACATTTAGCAAAGACTGATGATTAATAAAGAGTAGCTCTGGGTGGAGCCAACATGGCCGAATAGGAACAGCTCCGGTCTACAGCTCCCAGCGTGAGTGACACAGAAGACGGGTGATTTCTGCATTTCCATCTGAGGTACCAGGTTCATCTCACTAGGGAGTGCCAGACAGTAGGTGCAGGACAGTGGGTGCAGCACACCGGGCGCGACCCGAAGCAGGGCGAGGGATTGCCTCACTTGGGAAGTGCAAGGGGTCAGGGAGTTCCCTTTCCTAGTCAAAGAAAGAGATGACAGATGGCACCTGGAAAATTGGGTCACTCCCACCCTAATACTGTGCTTTTCCAAAGGGCTTAAAAAAAGGCACACCAGGAGATTATATCCCACACCTGGCTAGGAGGGTCCTACACCCACGGAGTCTTGCTGATTGCTAGCAGAGCCGTCTGAGATCAAACTGCAAGGTGGCAGTGAGGCTGGGGGAGGGGGGCCTGCCATTGACCAGACTTGATTAGGTAAACAAAGCAGCCAGGAAGCTGGAACTGGGTGGAGCCCACCACAGCTCAAGGAGGCCTGCCTGCCTCTGTAGGCTCCACCTCTGGGAGCAGGGCACAGACAAACAAAAAGACAGCAGTAACCTCTGCAGACATAAATGTCCCTGTCTGACAGCTTTGAAGAGAGTAGTGGTTCTCCCAGCACACAGCTGGAGATATGAGAATGGGCAGACTGCCTCCTCAAGTGGGTTCCTGACCCCCGAGCAGCTGAACTGGGAGGCACCCCCCAGTAGGGGCAGACTGACACCTCACATGGCCCAGTACTCGTCTGAGACAAAACTTCCAGAGGAACAATCAGGCAGCAGCATTTGCGGATCACCAATATCCGCTGTTCTACAGCCACCGCTGTTCTGCAGCCACTGCTGCTGATACCCAGGCAAACAGGGTCTGGAGTGGACCTCCAGCAAACTCCAACAGACCTGCAGCTGAGGGTCCTGTCTGTTAGAAGGAAAAGTAACAAATAGAAAGGACAGCCACACCAAAAACCCATCTGTTCATCACCATCATCAAAGACCAAAAGTAGATAAAACCACAAAGATGGGGAAAAAACAGAGCAGAAAAACTGGAAACTCTAAAAAGCAGAGCATCTCTCCTCCTCCAAAGGAACGCAGCTCCTCACCAGCAACGGAACAAAGCTGGATGGAGAATGACTTTGACGAGTTGAGAGAAGAAGGCTTCAGATGATCAAACTACTCTGAGCTACAGGAGGAAATTCAAACCAATGGCAAAGAAGCTAAAAACTTTGAAAAAAAATTAGACGAATGGATACCTAGAATAACCAATGCAGAGAAGTCCTTAAAGGAGCTGATGGAGCTGAAAGCCAAGGCTCGAGAACTATGTGAAGAATGCAGAAGCCGCAGGAGCCGATGCGATCAACTGGAAGAAAGAGTATCAGTGATAGAAGACAAAATGAATGAAATGAAGTGAGAAGGGAAGTCTAGAGAAAAAAAGAATAAAAAGAAATGAACAAAGCCTCCAAGAAATATGGGACTATGTGAAAAGACCAAATCTACGTCTGATTAGGGTACCTGAAAGCGATGGGGAGAATGGAACCAAGTTGGAAAACACTCTGCAGGATATTATCCAGGAGAACTTACCCAATCTAGCCAGGCAGGCCAACGTTCAGATTCAGGAAATACAGAGAATGCCACAAAGATACTCCTCAAGAAGAGCAACTCCAAGACACATAATTGTCAGATTCACCAAAGTTGAAATGAAGGAAAAAATGTTAAGGGCAGCCAGAGAGAAAGGTCGGGTTACCCACAAAGGGAAGCCCATCAGACTAACAGCGGATCTCTCGGCAGAAACTCTACAAGCCAGAAGAGAGTGGGGGCCAATATACAACATTCTTAAAGAAAAGAATTTTCAACCCAGAATTTCATATCCAGCCAAACTAAACTTCACAGGTGAAGGAGAAATAAAATACTTTACAGACAAGCAAATGCTGAGAGATTTTGTCACCACCAGGCCTGCCCTAAAAGAGCTCCTGAAGGAAGCATTAAACATGGAAAGGAACAACTGGTACCAGCTGCTGCAAAATCATGCCAAAGTGTAAAGACCATCCAGACTAGGAAGAAACTGCATCAACTAACGAGCAAAATCACCAGCTAACATCATAATGACAGGATCAAATTCACACATAACAATATTAACTTTAAATGTAAATGGACTAAATGCTCCAATTAAAAGACACAGACTGGCAAATTGGATAAAGAGTCAAGACCCATCAGTGTGCTGTATTCAGGAAACCCATCTCACATGCAGAGACACACATAGGCTCAAAATAAAGGGAAGGAGGAAGATCTACCAAGCAAATGAAAACAAAAAAAGGCAGGGGTTGCAATCCTAGTCTCTGATAAAACACACTTTAAACCAACAAAGATCAAAAGAGACAGAGAAGGCCATTACATAATGCTAAAGGGATCAATTCAACAAGAAGAGCTAACTATCCTAAATATATATGCACCCAATACAGGAGCACCCAGATTCATAAAGCAAGTCCTGAGTGACCTACAAAGAGACTTAGACTCCCCCACAATAATAATGGGAGACTTTAACACCCCACTGTCAACATTAGACAGATCAACGAGACACAAAGTTAACCAGGATACCCAGGAATTGAACTCAGCTCTGCATCAAGCGGACCTAATAGACATCTACAGAACTCTCCACCCCAAATCAACAGAATATACATTTTTTTTCAGCACCACACCTATTCCAAAATTGACCACATAGTTGGAAGTAAAGCTCTCCTCAGCAAATGTAAAAGAATAGAAATTATAACAAACGGTCTCTCAGACCACAGTGCAATCAAACTAGAACTCAGGATTAAGAAACTCACTCAAAACTGCTCAGCTACATGGAAACTGAACAACCTGCTCCTGAAGGACTACTGGGTACATAATGAAATGAAGGCAGAAATAAAGATTTTCTTTGAAACCAACGAGAACAAAGACACAACATACCAGAATCTCTGGGACACATTCAAAGCAGTGTGTAGAGGGAAATTTGTAGCACTAAATGACCACAAGAGAAAGCAGGAAAGATCCAAAATTGACACCCTAACATCACAATTAAAAGAACTAGAAAAGCAAGAGCAAACACATTCAAAAGCTAGCAGAAGGCAAGAAATAACTAAAATCAGAGCAGAACTGAAGGAATTAGAGACACAAAAAGCCCTTCAAAAAATTAATGAATCCAGGAGCTGGTTTTTTGAAAAGATCAACAAAATTGATAGACCGCTAGCAAGATTAATAAAGAAGAAAAGAGAGAAGAATCAAATAGATGCAATAAAAAATGATAAAGGGGATATCACCACCGATCCCACAGAAATACAAACTACCATCAGAGAATACTACAAACACCTCTATGCAAATACACTAGAAAATCTAGAAGAAATGGATAAATTCCTCGACACATACACCCTCCCAAGACTAAACCAGGAAGAAGTTGAATCTCTGAATAGACCAATAACAGGCTCTGAAATTGTGGCAATAATCAATAGCTTACCAACCAAAAAGAGTCCAGGGCCAGATGGATTCACAGCCGAATTCTACCCGAGGTACAAGGAGGAAGTGGTACCATTCCTTCTGAAACTATTCCAATCAATAAAAAAACAGGGAATCCTCCCTAACTCATTTTATGAGGCCAGCATCATCCTGATACCAAAGCCGGGCAGAGACACAATCAAAAAAGAGAATTTTAGACCAATATCCTTGATGAACATTGATGCAGAAATCCTCAATAAAATACTGGCAAACCGAATCCAGCAGCACATCAAAAAGCTTATCCACCATGATCAAGTGGGCTTCATCCCTGGGACTCAAGGCTGGTTCTACATAAGCAAATCAATAAATGTAATCCAGCATATAAACAGAACCAAAGACAAAAACCACATGATTATCTCAACAGATGCAGAAAAGGCCTTTGACAAAATTCAACAACCCTTCATGCTAAAAACTCTCAATAAATTAGGTATTGATGGGACATATCTCACAATAATAAGAGCTATCTATGACAAACCCACAGCCAATATCATACTGAATGGGCAAAAACTGGAAGCATTCCCTTTGAAAACTGGCACAAGACAGGGATGCCCTCTCTCACCACTCCTATTCAACACAGTGTTGGAAGTTCTGGCCAGGGCAATTAGGCAGGAGAAGGAAATAAAGGGTATTCAATTCAGAAAAGAGGAAGTCAAATTGTCCCTGTTTGCAGATGACATGATTGTATATCTAGAAAACCCCATTGCCTCAGCCCAAAATCTCCTTAAGCTGCTAAGCAACTTCAACAAAGTCTCAGGATACAAAATCAATGTACAAAAATCACGAGCATTCTTATACACCAATAACAGACAAACAGAGAGTCAAATCATGAGTGAACTACCATTCACAATTGCTTCAAAGAGAATAAAATACCTAGGAATCCAACTTACAAGGGATGTGAAGGACCTCTTCAAGAACTACAAACCACTGCTCAAGGAAATAAAAGAGGATACAAACAAATGGAAGAACATTCCATGCTCATGGGTAGGAAGAATCAATATCATGAAAATGGCCATACTGCCCAAGGTAATTTATAGATTCAATGCCATCCCCATCAAGCTACCAATGACTTTCTTCACAGAATTGGAAAAAATTACTTTAAAGTTCATATGGAACCAAAAAAGAGCCCGCATCGCCAAGTCAATCCTAAGCCAAAAGAACAAAGCCAGAAGCATCACGCTATCTGACTTCAAACTATACTACAAGGCTACAGTAACCAAAACAGCATGTTACTGGTACCAAAAGAGAGAAATAGATCAATAGAACAGAACAGAGACCTCAGAAATAATGCCACATATCTACAACTATCTGATCTTTGACAAACCTGAGAAAAACAAGCAATGGGAAAAGGATTCCCTATTTAATAAATGGTGCTGGGAAAACTGGCTAGCCATATGTAGAAAGCTGAAGCTGGATCCCTTCCTTACACTTTATACAAAAATTAATTCAAGATGGATTAAACACTTAAATGTTAGACCTAAAACCATAAAAACCGTAGAAGAAAACCTAGGCGATATCATTCAGGACATAGGCACGGGCAAGGACTTCATGTCTAAAACACCAAAAGCAATGGCAACAAAAGCCAAAATTGACAAATGGGATCTAATTAAAATAAAGAGCTTCTGCACAGCAAAAGAAAGTACCATCAGAGTGAACAGGCAACCTACAAAATGGGAGAAAATTTTCACAACCTACTCATCTGACAAAGGGCTAATATCCAGAATCTACAATGAACTCAAACAAATTTACAAGAAAAAAACAAACAACCCCATCAAAAAGTGGGCGAAGGATATGAACAGATACTTCTCAAAAGAAGACATTTATGCAGCCAAAAAACACATGAAAAAATGCTCATCATCACTGGCCATCAGAGAAATGCAAATCAAAACCACAATGAGATAGCATCTCACAACAGTTAGAATGGAGATCATTAAAAAGTCAGGACACAACAGGTGCTGGAGAGGATGTGGAGAAATAGGAACATTTTACACTGTTGGTGGGACTGTAAACTAGTTCAACCATTGTGGAAGTCAGTGTGGCGATTCCTCAGGGATCTAGAACTAGAAACACCATTTGACCCAGCCATCCCATTACTGGGTATATACCCAAAGGATTATAAATCATGCTGCTATAAGACACATGCACACGTATGTTTACTGCGGCACTATTCACAATAGCAAAGACTTGGAACCAACCCAAATGTCCATCAGTGACAGACTGGATGAAGAAAATGTGTCACATATGCACCATGGAATACTATGCAGCCATAAAAAATGATGAGTTCATGTCCTTTGTAGGGACATGGATGAAACTGGAAACCATCATTCTCAGCAAACTATGGCAAGGACAAAAAACCAAACACCACGTGTTCTCACTCATAGGTGGGAATTGAACAATGAGAACACATGGACACAGGAAGGGGAACATCACACTCTGGGGACTGTTGTGGGGTGGGGGGAGGGGGGAGGGATAGCATTAGGAGATATACCTAATGCTAAATGACGAGTTAATGGGTGCAGCACACCAACATGGCACATGTATACATATATAACAAACCTGCACATTGTGCACATGTACCCTAAAACTTCAAGTATAATAAAAATAAAATTAAAAAAAAGAGTAGCTCTAAAAATAGATTAACTAAATTAATACTTACATCTTAAGCTTACTCAGAAGGCAAACTTGATACCTAAATTTAAAAGCCCACAAATGATGTAAATATGTTGTCTATTCGCATTAGTGATTGTTGAGAGGGAAAATTTTCCATGACATTATCTAACATAACAGTGTTTGTAAATACAACTAATATCCTAAGATCCTGTATATCTTCTTTTCAAAATAGTATAGCATTCATTAAACTTATAGAAAACAATGCATTCTTAAAACGAACACTTATAAGTTCTTCATTGGAAGCCGGAAAAGACAAAGACCCTAAAATAAATAAGAAAACCTCTCTATAACACATCTACAGAGTAAAGTTGAATATCTAGAAACACAATTCTCAAAATTGAATGAAGTTGAGATTTCATCTTTGAGTTCAACATTTTTTCAAAAGTTAAAACAACTAAAATTAGTTAAACTTTTAAAAATAGAAAATGGTCATACTATAAGATTATTTTAGGTCATAAATAAAATTCCAGAAAAATCCACAATAACATTTTAATTCTTTGAAGAAATTAGGTAAATTTACAGGGATTTAGATACAGAAGGCTTATTTTTGTACAATTTTACTTTCAATTACTCAATTAAAAATAGAACTCTTGTCAATAGAGTAAAATTTTTATTTACCTCATTTTTGAATTTGCTTTCAGGATTCATGATGAAATGTAAAACATGTCTTTCTGTGATAATTTCTAAAAGCCTCATTTTATTAGAATAGATGAATAGAATAGAACACTTTAATTTTTCAAACTCAGTTTTCGTACCAAGCATAGTATAGCCAATTGCTTGGCATCATAAAATATAATAATATCTATGTCTCCAATTTGCTATTAAATAATACATAACACTTGGTTCTTTGTTGCATAAAATATCATGTTTTAAATCGTATTGAAATTTTAATTTTTTCTTAAAATCTTAATTATATTTATGCATTAAAAGTAAATAAGAACTTCTTTATAAATTAAACACATCATGGAGAAAAATATATCAATAATATACAGTAGATTTCAAAAAACTGAAAAAAGCTATTTAAATAAATTTTGAGAAAAATCATTAATGTATAACATATATATTCATGCATTTATATATTTATTATGTATTAACCATATCTAGATACGGTGCCAAGATTTTTACATAGTTATCATAAGGATTTTCATACTTTATAACTCTCAATATTTTTTGATGGTAGAGTTAAAAAAACTATTTGCTTTGGATTTAATTTTCATAAAAACTGTTAACATTATCTGTGAAAAATTTCATGTTCCATAAAAAATGGATAAATTTCCAGATTTAGAATAAGGAGGAACTTAGAGATCTTCTATACCTGTTATAGACCCTCAAATTTGTTAATAAAAAACTGAAGTCCAGAGAGTTTAATTTGCTTGACTACCAAGCATTTTGTTACTTATTTTATCATTTATTTACATAAAGGACTTCAATACAACTATAATGCAACTAGTAGTGGAAGTAGTACTCAAACCATTGTGTCTCAACTCCCAGGCCAATGCTCTGTCCGACATTTTACATGGTATTTTATTCATTTTAAAAAATCTTCATTTTGAGATAATTTCAGACTAATACAAGAGTTTAAAAAGTAATACAGTGTTCCCATATACCTTTCATTCAACTTCCTGTAATGTTACGTCATACCCATATTAAATTAATAGAATTAAGGGAAAACATTAATATAATATAATACTAGCGCTGAACTACAGACTTAAAAATATCAGAGTAGGCAAAAAGATAGATACAACAAATAGATTAGTTGCCAGGGCTGGCGGGAGGGGAGAGTGGTGAGTGACAGCTTGGTATGTATGGGGTGTCCTTTTGCAATGATGAAAATGTTTTGGAAGTAGAGAGAGATAATTGTTGCACAACATTGTAAATGCACTCAATGCCATTTGCGTGTACCCTTTAAAATGGCCAATTGTATGTTGTGTGAATTTTTCTTCAATTAAAAAAATGATGGAGGGGGTTGTTGCAATAGGCTTTTACAGTAGTTTAGATGAGAGACATTGATAGCTTAGACTCCCCTGGGAGGAGTGAAGGTAAATAAATTGAAGAATTGAGGGCTGTTTAGGAAAGAAAATTGTGATAATTGGTGATGGCTTAGGTATGGTAGTACAGAAAAACATGGGTTTAAAAACATGGAGTGAGTGATTTCTTCTGAATAGATTTTGGTGGCTTTATTGATATTAGCATCATCAATGGAAAATCAAGTTAACAGACAAATACTGTGGGTCTGGGTTTGGACAGTTGGTTTTGAGGAGTTTTTGACACATCTAGGCAGAAGTAATGAATAGCTAGGTGAATATAGAGGTCTGGTGTTCAAGGGAGTCACTGGTATAGTTGGAGATTTCTAGCAATATTCAGTGAAGTTAGGGACACTGAGCTCATTGATTGGTTTAGTAAAAGATGTTTTTTCTTTGTCTTCATGTGAGAGGAGGGGTGACTGGACTAGATTGAGGAGTGAAAAAGAGTTGATAATTCAAACATTATAGTATGAATATTTCTTAGATTCACATGCTACTAGCTACCTTCTTCTGGACAATCTGCTACCACTTTGAACATAGTTCTAGGAATACATGTATCAGAGGAAAAAAAAAAGATGGATTGTTGATTTGTTTACCTTGATATACTGTAAGTTACTGATATGGTTTAGATTTGTGTCCCTACCCAAATCTCATCTTGAACTGTAAGCACCACGTGTCGGGGGAGGGGCCTGGTAGGAGGTGACTGAATCTTAGAGGTGGACTTCCTCGTGCTGTTCTCCTGCTACTGGGTGAGTTCTCAGGAGATCCAGTGGTCTGAAAGTGTGACACTTTCTCTCTCACTCTCTCTCTCTCCTGCTCTGCCATGGGAAGATGTGCCTTGGTTCCCCTTTGCCTTCCACCATGATTGTAAGTTTCCTGAGGCCTCCCAGTTATGCTTCCCATTTAGCCTGCAGAACTATGAGTCAATTAAACCTCTTTTCTTCAAAAATTACCCAGTCTCAGGTAGTTCTTTATAGCAGTGTGAATATAGACAAATATAGTTATTGAAGCACCTACTATATTAATCTATGCATTTTTGTATTGCCTCCACTTGCCCAATGATTGGGATATAACAGACACTGACTTTTGGATGGATAATGATTATACATAATCAGTTATGTCTGATTATTATACATAATCTGTATACGTCTGATAATGCATTGAAAGTTCTCAGCCAGTCTTTTTCTCATGAGTATTTAAAACATCAAATGTGCATCTCTGAATTAGGCAAAATCCAAAATATCTCAGCTATAATTATAATTAATAATGCTATTATAATATTCTGTAGTGACAAATACTATATCTATAGGCACGTCTGAGTTGATAAATAAGTAAATGTATGTAGAAAATTTCTTTGCCCTTGTGATGACTTACTGTATGAAACAAATTTATACCAAATTCCAATTTTTGCATTTCCCTAAAACAGTCTGATTACTCATTTTTCAGAGGACAAATGGCTGGTTAGAAATGAGAAGATTTAATATTGTTAATATTTTAGCTCTTTTGAAATTACTCTGCAGGTGCAATGTAATCTTAATCAAATCTCAAACTATAGTTTTGAAAATAGACAAACTATGATTTTCTTTCGTTGTATATTTTTAAATAGAAACATCTTTGTTGTTCTTTAGAATGATACACGATTGTTATAAAAGATTTGAATTATGTAGAGAGAGACAGTGTTTCTCTGTAAATTATCTCTAATCATGATTCACAATGTACTCTAGTAACTTGGATACCAAGCTATTTCTAAAATAAATTATATTTAACAGCCATAATAATTTATATGGTCCATGACCACGTGAGAACAGACAGGCACATCAATGAAAAAGCATAGTAAATTCTTTAAAGGACATTGTACACATATTTTTAAATGTTTTAAAATGTCATTTAAAATTGGTATTCAAGTAATGAATAATTCAAAAATGATGCTGGAACACCCATTGTTTAGCAGAAAAATGACTGATTTTGCCAGATGTGTATTTCATATTTAAGCTAAAATAAACAAAATGTAGTTTATTTTTAAAATAAAAGTATAAAAGCAGTAAATGAAAATATAATGAATATTTCTGTTACAGTCTTGACATACGAAAAGTTTTTTTTTCTTTTTTCTTTTTTTTTTGAGATTGAGTTTTGCTCTTGTTGCCCAGGCTGGAGTGCAGTGGTGTGATCTCGGCTCAATGCAATCCCCACCTCCTGGGTTCAAGGGATTCTCCTGCCTCAGCCTCCCATGTTGCTGGGATTACAGGTGCCTGCCACCACACCCTGCTAATTTTTTTGTATTTTTAGTAGAGAGCGGAGGATTTCGCCATGTTGGCCAGGCTGGTCTCAAACTCCTGATCTCAGGTGATCCACCCACCTCAACCTCCCAAAGTGCTGGGATTACAGGTGTGAGTCACCATGTCCGGCCACAAAAAGTTTTTTAAAGCATATCAGTAAAAGCAGAAACCATGAAGGAAATAGCTGATGGGCTTTATAGTTTAGTGTTTGTGATTTTTTAAAGTAAATAAATAAAACAGCCAAACTGAAAAATAATGAAAAATTAAGCAAAATATTGCTACATATGTAAAATAAGAAAGTTTGTTACCCTTTACATATCAAAATTATAAATCAATAATAAAATTCCTCTTGAGTATAATTTTAAAAATTACCTTAAAAACCCATATCCTTAAGGTAATAAGTACCTAATAATTCAACTTACAGATATTTTTTCTAAAGAAATTATTAGATAAGCAGAAGAAGACATAGAACAAGTATTTCCATCATAATGCTGTTAAAGTAGCCAGGTAAAATTGGAATCAGCATAAATGTCCAAATGGTAGATTACATGAATTATTACATAATCATAAGAAAGTGAGAAAATATAAAATCATAGTATAAATATAAATTTATATATGCAAAGACAGATATCATTTATATTAACAGTAGAATTCAAAATATGTCCTGTATGTTCACGTATGTGTGTGTTTACAGATGTACAAAAATAAATGAAATGTATAGACCAATACTGACTATTAAATATGTGCCTATATTTATATAGATATACAAAAATAAATGAAGATGTATAGGTCAATACTAAGAACTAAAGGTGTACATATATTGATATGTGCCAGTGTGTGTGTGTACATATATATACACACACACACATATGAATATATATAAAGCAATAGCCCAATATCATAAATTAGAATGTTATATATGCTTATGTCTGAGTGATAAGTTTAGAAGTGATATTTCCATTACTTTTATATTTATAGAACACTTGTTAGTCTGTTTGTAAGTTAATTTGTAATTATTCAGCATTGAAAGTGTGATGTATATGCCTTTGTTAAATTTTACAGTTAGTTACCTAAATCAACATTACACACTTCAGGGATAATGAGTTAGTATTTTTAAACTCCCAAGAAGAAGCCAACATTCTTGAAGCAGCTTCTGCAAAAAATTTCAGCTGTCTTTAACTGTGAACCACACTACAGATGTAATATAAGAAATAATAATGACTATTTTGGTAAAATAGATGCTTTCAGGAGAAGAAGTTATGTCTTATCATAAAAGAAAGTTAGAAAAATCTATGCCCTTTAGAAGGTGAATTCATCTTGATATCAAAATCAGAAAAATATTGGTTGAGAAGAGAAAATTTCCAGGCATTTTCATTAATGAATATACATACAAAGATTATAAAAATAATATTGGGAAACTGAATTTTTAAATGTGTGGCCACATATTATTTATATGAGAAAGGCAAGGAAGATTTAACACTAAATAAAATACATTAAAAATCATGGGCCGGGCGTGGTGGCTCACGCCTGTAATCCCAGCACTTTGGGAGGCCCAGGCAGGCAGATCATGAGGGCAGGAGATTGAGACCACCCTGGTTAACAGGGTGAAACCCCGTCTGTACTAAAAATACAAAAAATTAGCCGGGCATGGTGGCAGGCGCCTGTAGTCCCTGCTGCTCGGGAGGCTGAGGCAGGAGAATGGCATGAACCTGGGAGGTGGAGCTTGCTGTGAGCCGAGACCGGGCCACTGCACTCCAGCCAGGGTGACAGAGTGAGACTCCATCTCAAAAAAAAAAAAAAAAAAAAATCGTTCACTACATTAATAAGTTAAATGTCAAAAATTTAATAATATGAATATATGCATATATGTAAGTGTGTGAGTATACAGGGAAAAAACATTTTTCTAAATGTTTTTTAGAAAAATCACTATATGTATATAGCACCGTCAGTAAACGTATGAGCTTAGAAATATCATCCTTATTATGGGAAACAGGAATCTAATCCTTCTGTCTTTACAGTATGTCTGGAAGAAAAAACTAAAAAGTCTCTGCTGGAAAAGTGTAACCAAAACTCACACAGACTTCAGACTTCAGTATTGTCCAAAAAAGTGTAAGAATAGATCTATTTTTAAATGATCCTGGGTTGTTAGGGTCCACAGACATCTTTATAAGGCAAAATGAATAGTTTTCAGGAAGAAGACAACTTAAAGATGGCCATAAATGAATAAATTTAGACCTAAATATAAAAAAATCAGGAAACACATAAGTAAGAAGTCATAAGCAAGATAATAAGTAGAGAAAAAAACAGTGATTTTAAATTCCATCAGATTTTTAAATTACTGGATTCAAATGATGAGTAAAGAATTATAAGAAAAGATCAAAAGAATCAGCAAGGATCTAGATACTATCAAAAATGACAAATTAGATTTTAAATGAAACTCACAACAAATTTAAATCTTAGAAATGAAAGGAGAAAAATTACAGAAATGTGAAACTCCAATGAGGAGTTAAGCAGCAAATTATACATAGCTGAAAAGAAAATTTGTAGCCTGGGAAATATACCTGAAAAAATTTCACAAACTGTAGCACAGAAAGACAGACAAGGGTAACATGGGAGAGGGCTAATGCATAATTGAAATTTCAGAAGTGGTAATTGAGACAAAAGATGAAAAACCAAAGAGATAGAAAACAATTCTAGACTCAGTGAACTCAGTGAATCACTAGTAGACACAATGTAGAAAAGATTTCTTTTAAAAACCCAAACAAACAAACAAAAATCATGATAACTATGGTTAAATTATTTGGTTGTCCTGGTTTTATTTGAGATGACAGTAAATATGTCATTAACATATCTCACCACAAGAAAGAAACAAAGTCCAGGTGTTTTCACAGGTTGGCTCCATCAAATATTAATGGTAAATTATATTAATTATAAATTAATTCCATTCTTACAGAAACCACTTAGAAGTAAAATGAGTAAAAAGTAATGAACAAAAATAATTCCACAAATTATTCTGTGAAGATTGTAAGAAATTTGATATCAAACTTAGATGTGGACCATATAATAAATAAAATTTAGAGACTACTTTCATAGACATGGACGCAAAACTCTTAAAAAAAAGGTATAGTCTATTATATACTGCCCTTATATAAAATTATCCCAATAGAATGCCTATGATTTTTTAATCCTTTAATTTCACAGAATGTACATTTTTCAGCACAATGTTTCATGGTCTGTGTTTATATAAGATAGTAAACAATGTTCCCCCAAATTAATACAAAATTTTGAACAACACCTATGTATTAATGTATTTGAGCTATATTCCAAACACAATTACTAGTCCTACAGAATGGTATGTAGAAGTTTTTAAAAGTCTCTCATATGTCAACAAAGGTGACACAGATGTCACGTACCCTTGGTGCTAAGATAGCATCAGAGTATCATCCTTATTGTGAGTTAATTCCCAGTCATGGATTCTTCTCTTGCATGTTTCTATAATTCATTTTATAATTAGTACTTATTTTTGCCAATTTCTGTAGACTAAAATAACAAGAAAACGTAAAAGAAATTTTTGGGAAAAAAAAAGTAAAGGAGGTGTTAAAAGTGATATAATTAAAAAAAGATAGTCCTATATACAAAGTGAGCATATACTTATAATACACCAGACTGAATCAACCCAACCTATCAGATTTCATCTCAGTGTAGTGGGCAGTTCCAAGCTCTTGGAAGCATCACACAAATATGTATGTGCTGCTCTGGTCTGTGTTCTCCAAAGCCACAATAGGCTTCTCAGCCATGAGCAATACAACACAAAATTATGGGGGAGTTAATCCCCAGGGGAGTAACTTACAACAGGAAATTCACCCTCCAAACCCATCCGAATCTGTGAATAAATAAAATATGCCAGGCTCCCCATCCTCAAGAGGAGCAATTCTGAGGAAGAACTCAAATAAAGACACAAAGAAATATCTTCTTAATATCCATTCAATTGTTTGGTTATCAACAAATAGTTTTTAAAGATATTTTTATACCCTAAATTGAGAGGGTATTTTTTAAATAAAGAGAGTTTTATTCTACATTATTATAATAAGGAAAAGGGTTGTGGGTTTGGGGCTAAAATATTATGCATTATAATTTTGCATTTATAACAAGACTAAATAATACCCCAGGAAATGCTGTTATGAAGACAAACTGACATTTGGAAAAAGGTTCTGGTGGTATGCAGAGGTTATTTATGTTAAAAAAAAGAATTAAGCAACGTATACAATGGATAACATAATTACTAATAAACATTTATTACAGAAATGCAATTTTTGTTCTATCATTAGGAAACGTATTAATGTAACTCTTCCATTAACAAATTAAAAAGCAAACAATTTTAACATTTCAATACATGCCAAAAAGGCACTGAATAAAATTCAACACACATAATTTTTTTAACACTAAAGAGGTAGAAAATAAAAATATAGTAACTAGATTATCTGATGTATGTAAAAAAATTTCTAAAATATTCTAGGGATAAATTATTATGAGGAGTAGATTTTGGCAAAGTTTCTTAACAAAAAGTTTGTTAACGAGAGTTGATTTCAGATCTACACATTTTAACCGAAAGTAAGAATATGTAATCTGAAACCATATATTTTCGATAGTGACGGAAATATAGGGTACCTAATAGTACACCAATATTAGGTACTTAATATTGCTGTAAGATTAGTAATATTAGGTACCCTATATTTAGTAATATTAACTAATATTAGTTAATATTACCTAATACTTATTAATATTACTATTAGGTTCACTAATGTTACACTAATATTAGGTACCTAATATTACACTAATATTATGCTAATATTAGGTACCTAATATTACACTAATATTAGATTATACATTATGTATCAATTAATTATGATTAATTTGTAATTATGATTAATTATGATAACATGTTATGTATCAATTAATACATTATGTATCAATGTATTACATACATTAGGTATAATGTAATACATTAATATTAGGTACCTAATATTAACAAGCTACATAAAGTTTCTTTAGGAATTATGTCTAAAATTGCCCATATTTTTGAATAGTATATCTTAGGGTTGTAAAGGTGCCTATTCTCTCTAAATCTACAGACTCAATGTAGTGCTAATAAAAGTTACAAAATTGTAAAATATGGAAAATTATAAAAACTACTGAAATGGAAAGATATGAAATGCTCATGGGAGGAAATCCCAATATCAAAATATTCTAATGTGTCTCTAGGCCCACCTATACATTTGCTGTAAATGTGTCAAAATAGCAAAATAGAACTAATTAAATTAATCCTGAATCCAAAAGAATTGTGTAAATAGCCAACACAGATCATTTTGAATGAGAACAAGGAACGTTTACATTCCACAGGTATCTGTTCTTTATCTGTTCAATTTTTTCTTTCTTCACTAATAGCTTGGTTGAGGACTTTACACAGTGACATATTGTCAAATTCACCTCTGGTGTATAGTTATGATTGTTAGGTCATATGCTATGCCACAGAGCCCAGATCCAAAATTCTTCTGACGGGCTTGAACAAGAGGTTATGTTTCGTTGAAATGTAACATGGAAAATGAAAAATTATACATCTGAGTCTAAAAATCCTATGCAAAATTGTGCAATAGGGCAATTTGATGACTATGCCAGTGTCTCTAACTTTACAGGTTGGAAGCCGACTTAAAGGTCATTTGAAATGTCATTTCTCATCATCCTGCACACAGTTCTCCATACTGAGTTCCTTGGGAGGCAAGACGCAATAAAAGTTCCAGTCAGTTACACAAGTCTGATTCCTGATTTTTGCGACTTTTTCTGTCCTATGTAACTGAAACATACAACTTCGATTAAAAAAAAAGTGTCTAATTTTACTCTCTCCAAAATGAGAACTCAGCATCATCCGAAGACCCTGCTTTCTTTAAATTCTGCCATGCACAGCTCCCTTCTCAAGCAGCTAGTGAGACAGAGGTCCAAGGTAGAAAGAGAAAGGGTGAAAAAAAAATAGAGTGGAAAACAGGAAAAAAAAGCCCAGATAGACCCAAAGATCCCTTGGACTTAATCAGATAAGACCCTAAATGCGTTTTCTTTTTTTTTTTTTTTTTGAGACGGAGTCTCGCTCTGTCGCCCAGGCTGGAGTGCAGTGGCGCCATCTCGGCTCACTGCAAGCTCCGCCTCCCGGGTTCACGCCATTCTCCTGCCTCAGCCTCCCAAGTAGCGGGGACTACAGGCGCCCGCCACCGCGCCCGGCTAATTTTTTGTATTTTTAGTAGAGACGGGGTTTCACCTTGTTAGCCAGGATGGTCTCGATCTCCTGACCTCATGATCCACCCGCCTCGGCCTCCCAAAGTGCTGGGACTACAGGCGCGAGCCACCGCGCCCGGCCCAATTTTTTGTATTTTTAGTAGAGACGGCGTTTCACCGTGTTAGCCAGGATGGTCTCCATCTCCTGACCTCGTGATCCACCCGCCTCGACCTCCCAAAGTGCTGGGATTACAGGCGTGAGCCACGGCGCCCGGCCCCTAAATGCATTTTCTCCACATATCCTTCAGTTTATGGTACCTTTATTTCCTTTGCTTTTGAGTCTGTGCTGCAACATTTCTACTTGTGTGTTGTGAAAAGAGAAGAGGGAGGCCTGCCTCCTTGACCCAGAACAACAGTGAGGTCTGATTGTTCAACTTCGCTAGACAACAAATTATTTGCTAGCATACAGGGGCTAGCTAAACATTCATTTCTTTTATTTGGGAGGATTTTTAATTAGATGAGATTGCTAATAACATTAATTTTTAGAATAATATTTACTAGTCATTCACATATAACCATTCATAGTGGTTTCTCAGATATCCACAAAATTGGGATTTTCAGCTTAGGATGTGGCTTTGAAACTGATAATTTTTGGTTTGCAACAGCACAAAATATTCCTGTGTCTTCAATTCAGTAATTGCGAAGGAGTTCTGTTGCTATAAATTAAAGATTCTGTTATCTTCCCCACAACGTGAGCACTAAACTTCTGGCTTGGTGATGCTTCATGCTGTTTATTAGGCACTGCTTTAGAAACGCAGATAAACGCAAGGAGGTTATCATATTTAGCAAAATATAATTCACTCCCACCTTATTATAATTTCATTCAATTCAATTGCTTTAGACTTAGATGAGACTGTTTAAAATTTCAATAAAGAATGCTCAAGCAATGGGAAGAACCAAAGCATTTGCAAGGAAAACCTTGCCTTACCTTTCCAAACTTCCAAACAAAACTCAGAAAGTGGGTGGCCCTTAGTATGCATCAGATATAGCTAGTCCCACTGCTTTATGTTTTGATAACAAACTGGATATAGGAGCTCATCAATCTCACATTAATAATGGTAATTCTGTAAATGTATGGGCATGACAAGCACACACCTGCAACTCTCACAGTGTAAGTCCGCTGGTATTCTAAATTCACTCAGTGCCTACTTGGGGTTACTTACATACAAGTCAGTAAATAGGATTGAACAATTCATTTCTGTGCCTTTTTAAGCTCTAATTCCACACGCCTGGACACTATTATTAGAAAAGTGGCATGTCTAGAAGCCATTACCTAAATTCTAAATAGAGATGACTATATTATTATTTAATATTAAACTTTATTCTTTTAGGAGCCACGTAGCCCTGGATTTCCATCTTGACCTCAATTTGTCAAGGTTTTTCATTTTGAGAATTTAACATAACCTCTGTATGCCTTTATTAACTCAACTATAAAATTTCAAAAGTAGTATATAGTTCACCAGCATTGAGATGAGGATTAGATAAAATTATGTACCTCGAGTTCAAAGCACAGTATCTGCTACAAAAAACACTCTTAATACGGATTCATTCCATTACAGACAGCATTGCTATAGAAAAAGGTCATTTGAAAAATATACATCTCTACAACTTTGGTAAACCTATAGAAGCAGAGAGTGATTTCTATTTTGCAACATCTATTATAAACTGATTCTAGCATGAAATGAGCAGTAGTTTTCTTTCATTTTCTAGATAATAAAACCTTGCACGTTAATTCATCTCTCTGGTTGTGGTTGTGTTGGTTGTTATTTATTTATTTTTATTTTTCCATAGACAGCCAGGAATCTTAGAACCATAAAGTATGATAAATTGTATCAAATATATCATCTCAGATTCTTTGCAGCTTATTCTTCTCCTCCTTATCAAAAATCTTTTGTTCTTCCCTCTTTCTTGTGTTTATGTATTCATTTTTGTAAGTTACCTCAGATGGGTTTTATAAAACTTAACATTAGGAAAAGTCTAACTTACAACCATCAAAACAAATTCACTCCCCCGTAGGGGTTGGAAGTCCCAATGGACAGAGATTGAGGAAACAACACTAGTATTTGTGGCTGACTAGATTAGGAGCTCCAACTGGGTAGACATGAATCTTTGCGTAGACATGAATCTTTGTTTACAAGAGGCTACCCTCTGTATCTGTGAGTTTCACATCTGCAGATTCAGTCAATAGTGGACTGAAAATATCCACACAAAAAAAATTAAAATTAAAAATACAGTATAACAACTATTTACATAGCATAGTTTGTATGAAAACATTATACTCTTTTCTATAAGGGATTTGAGCACCTTTGGATTTTTTTTTTTAGGTTGGGGGCGGTCCTGGAACAAATGCCCCTTGTTTAGGGAGGGCCATGAGTCCTGCTCTCTGCAGCTCCCCAACCTGGAGGGAAAGTTTCCCCAGATTATGCCAAAGCTAGTTTCCTTAATAGTTTGGTCAGCTACATCAAACTAGTCCTCAGCCTATAGGTTTCACGTTTTTACTAGCCTGAGAAATTATTCAAACAAAGCAATCACATTCTCCTGTAGAAACCAAGGGTTACCTCACCCTCTTGTCGCTACAATGCCTCCCTCTAATAATATCTTCGGGTTCTCTCTGCTTCTGAGTGTCCTACTGCATTGTTCTGCATGGCATGCAGTCGGCTTCCCTGAGGCTGTGATATGTGACTAGCAAAGTGCTGTTAATTGCATACGTCCAGAGTCAGGTGCCATGGATTTGGCCATCCTGTTCTTTAGGGCTGGGGTTCCTCCTTCATCAGCGAAATGAAGGGAGGCCGTCAAAGGAGTCACAAGTGATGGTAGGTTGGATTAGGTAAAAAATGAAGAAAGGGAAGAAAGAAATTGGCTGATATCCCTGATGTAGCATTTTTAGATCCTCTCTCAAACAAATATTATTGGTGTTGGAGAGACCAGTTCTTGGTGTCTTTATTATTTCCTCTACTGGCTTGGAAGTTAAGGTTTGCACTTTTATTATTTTAATGATCTCTGTTAAGTTTCAACTCACATAAGGACATATCATTACCTAGATTTTATTCCCATTTTCTGGAAAAAATTAAAATGCTTTATGGCCATTTTATAGAGTTTATCTTAAAAAGTGTGATCTCTATATGACCTATATATTGTTTCACATATGCAATACAGTTTATGAATATGTTTTGCCTAATGAATATGTAATTATACAGTTATGATTTGTTATTGTTATTTTATAAATGTATTATTTTCTCCTCTTCTTTTCCCTTGTCTTTCTGATTTCATGGGGGTGTCGAGTTGTCTGCCACCTGCACAGTCATTGAATTCTGGGCCACATCTCCCTGTTTCCTATTCCAGAGCTGAGCTGACTGATGATTTGGTGCCCACTTTCCAAGGAAAGTATCTGTTATGTTTCTTGACATGAGAGATATAATTTTCTTATTTATATTATCTTAATCATAGCTTTATCTTTATCATAGCTTATCTTTATTGTAGCTTTCTTGCTTTATTATCTCAATTTACTGTATATTCTATAATATCCACTTCTGGATAAAATATAATAGAAGTTTTGGGTTTTGTTGGTTTCTGAGGCTAGAAGACTGATCCTGTCATAACTAACAATGCCATCTGAAGAGGAAATCAGCACTGAATTAAGAGAATTTTGCGATAATCTTTATTGGAATATTTTGTGTCCCACCCCTAGTTAAGGATCAAATCATTCACGTAACAAATGTCTATGTAACACATCTTATGTGCCAACTCAAGTGTTGGGGAGAATACAGAGAAACCCCAAAATATGATTAGTACTTAGTTCCATGCTCCAAATATCCCATAATCTGCCTGAGAAATAGGTACGTTAATGTGTCATTATATTGGACCATAATGGGTTTAATAATACTGTCACATACTGAATGTTATTTGTGTGTTTTGAGAAGGCAAGTGGAAGCTATTATCTCTATCTTGCTGGGGAATGGTTGAAAAGTTTCATAGTGAAGTTGACCTTTAAACTGGTCCTTGAAGTGTTAATAAGATGTAGCCAGGAGGAGAATAAAAATAAAGGAATGCTAAAAGGAAGGAAAGGCCACAAGTATGAGAGTGCATTCACTCATTCGCCAATTAATTGATTGGTTCATTGACACAATAAGCATTAATTGATAACTTACTTTGGGGTAAATGTTGTGCAATGTGTCTAAGTGAGAGACAGCCCTGGCTGCCAGATATGCCACACATAATAGGGGAGGGGGGTAAGTAAAACAGTCAAGGTCTAATTAGTTACCTGAAATGATACAGATGTACACAAACATCTAGGTGTTGGTGGGATGGCAAGACACGTCCCGAAGTAGTATTTTGTTTAGACAAGTGCTTTTTCCAATCAAGAAAATAAAGGAAAAGTGAGGGAGAATCAAAAGAATCACTCTTTCCAAACACTAGCCTCACTATTTGACTTCCTACCTCTTTTTTTTTTGTATTAAAAGTGCATTTCGTTAGTCCTAATTTCATCTCATTCCCCCATATTCCTCTTAAGTACTCTCAGTCATTCCACTTCATAGCCCTCTGTGCACTCATTTGCTGCTGGCATCAGGTTCACCTTCAATCCTGAGTGACAGATTTGTGAAAGAACCCAATTAGAACCCAGCTAATGAGCCCTCCGTGGGCTCCCCTAATAGCCAAATGACTGTTTATTTTCATCTTTTGAAAAAGAAAGAGACTGCAAGTCAAGAAAATAGTTTAGAATAAAGAAGCGCTAATTGAATCAGAAAAACACCTGTGCTCCTCATTCTATATTTATTTATGTACTTTAATCTGATGTTGTTTAAAAGATGCAAAGTGTTTTAAACATGTTAATTATGTGCTATAGGAAAACAGACTCTCGATAAAAACTAAGAATTAGCAGTAGTAAGAAAAAAATAATAACATCAAGGCATGAAGTAATTTTATAGCCTTTTACCCTGGAGTACTTTTCATATGAAGATACCATACGAAATATGCTTTTAAAAAATGCTTTTATCATATTATGATGCTACAGTAAAAGTGAGACATATTCATAGGGTGTTATTTGCAAACATTTACATATTTGAGTGAAAAATATTACCCAGTAAATGAAAAACCCTAGATTGTCATTGAAAAATCATAAAGTGTGCATGTCATCTTCCTTCCTTCCTTCCTTCCTTCCTTTGTCTTTCTTTTTTTTCAGTTCCAGAGAAGCAGCTGTTAGGTGTACATTTGATGCTAGAGTAGCTGGCTGCACTGACAAGCCACTGGAATTCCAAGGTGACAATCATTTTATTTTAATTGTTTCTAAATGTGCAATGACTGCAGGAATCTCTAACAATGTGAATTTTTAATAACCTATGATTACCGTGTACTCCTCTGCCTTTTATACTCATCAGAAACATAGACACCAGCTGTCTCCTTCTAATAAGAGATCTCCTATTATTGTGAAGGAATAATCTGTTGTTGATAATGTTAACACTATAATCCAATAACAGAATCTCTTCCTATATAGAAGACCAAGAAACCTTTTTGGATTTGACCTAGGTGAACACAAGACTATTTCTATTCAGCTTCAATTTGCCCAGCTGAATCTCTCACAGCTATCTGACTTCTAACCACATGAAACCGAGAAAGATTTACAGCACCACTATCAATCCCTATTTCTCCAAACCCCTTCTATATATGTCTCCTTCCAAAAATTGTTTTTATTTTAATGCATCGTGGGTACCATTTTCTTTCTTTTTCTTTTCTTTTTTGTTTTTTGAGATGGCAGCTCACTCTGTCACCAGGCTGGAGTGCAGTGGCACAATCTCGGCTCACTGTAATCTCCACCTCCCAGGTTCAAGCAATTCTCCTGCCTCAGCCTCCCAAGTAGCTGGGACTACAGGTGCACAACACCACGCCCAGCTGATTTTTGTACTTGTAGTAGAGATGGGGTTTCACCATGTTGGCCAGGATGGGCTTGATCTCTAGACCTCTTGATCTGCCCGCCTCGCCTTCCCAAAATGGTGAGATTACAGGTGTGAGCCACTGCACCCGGCCGTGGGTACCATTTTCAACTCCACCACAGAAGTGCCGCTTGATAAGACACTTTGATATGTTTCCATAACTTCTTCCTACATATCCCATTTATGCCATTATCAGCATCCTAATCTGTAGAATGAATCTTGCAGGATGGTTATTCTAGAAATACATAGCAACAATGTGACCAATGTATATGGCAGTTTGGCACAGTGAAAAGAAACACAGCATGTAAAGACAATTAGTTTGAGTTCATAGAAAGTTTATAATTTATGGGATTTCATTGTGAATAATACCAAAATTCTGGATCGCAGGGGTAGACAGTGCCCAAGGCACACGCAAAAATACAAATTTTATCAAAAATATTCAAGTATACAGGCTCAGCTTAAAATGATAAATTGTCCTCATTTTACTTACCAGGGCATTCTTCAACAGAATTGACCCGAATGGAAATGACCCTTAACTAAGAAATGGCCAAAGTTGCAGCATAAAACTTATGCATGTAAATAATGGAGGAAATAGGAGTCAAAGAAATGAAGAAAGGAGGCCGCCATGTATCAGAATGGTTTGTTCTATGGCCTCAGAAATATTACAGATGAGATGCATTATCTGAGGATAATATTCAAGAATAAATAAAGTAAGAGACAAAAAGAAGATAAAGAGAGGCAACTTTTGGTTGCAGAATGCAGGAAACAAGAGAAAAATACAGTTCTCCCTCGGTAAAGCAGAGTGCAGTGGGGAGATTGAAGGACTACTTGCAGTTACCAAAATTCAGGTACCCGCATGGCCCTCAGTCAGCCCTTCAGAACCTCTGGATATGAAATGTCAGCCCTCCAGAGGGATGAGTTTCATAGCCTGGGAACACAGTAGTTTCAATATGCATTTCGTTGGGAATGCAGAACCTGCCAATATGGAAGGTTAATTGTATTTATTGGGAAAAAAATGCCCATATAAGTAAACTGTGCAGTTCAAAATCATGTTGTTCAAGAGTCAACTGTAAAATAAATACAAAGGTAAAGGCACATTAGAAGCAGTAAATTTGCCAGGCACGGTGGCTCATGCCTGTAATTCCAGCATTATGGGAGGAATTTTTTTTTTTCTTTCGAAAACGAACTTTAGTTTCTTAACCTTTCACATGGCAAGAGAAGTTATACAGTTAATTAGCATGTGAGCAACAAACAGAACTAAAAATTGTTTTTCTAAACTTAATCTTGTATTTCAGGTAAGCTGTTTGAAAATGTAAGATAGAGTAGCATAGTTTGACATTGGTGTTTATGGCGCTTTTTATGATCACAGTTTTTTTGGTTTTTGTTTTGATATGGGGTCTCGCTCTGTCACCCAGGCTGGAGAGCAGTGGCACAACCATAGCCCACTGCAGCCTTAACCCCCCCAGGCTCAAGCGATCCTCCCATGCCAGTCCCTCAAGCAGCTGGTATCACAAGCGCGCACTACCATGCCCAGCCAGTCTCTATATCTCTATAGAGAATGAGGTCTCACCATGTTGTCTAGGCTGTTCTCGAACTCCTGAGCTTGAGCAACTCTCCTGCCTCGGCCTCCCAAAATGCTAGGACCACAGGATTGAGCCAACACACCCGGCCCTCAGATTTGTTTTTAACGCAGTACTCACAGACAGTATTTTAGCAAAGTGCTTAAGAGTATACAGTCGAACCAGTTACACGGGTTTAGCTCATTGCATTATACATTAATGGTTAGTATAATAAACTGTGTATAAAATAAAAAATACTAGTAAATGTTTCAAATACCATATATATGTACATATATATGATATATTTGATATCATAAGAACATGTTTCCACCTGGAATTACTAACAATTTAGTTTGGACTTGGAGTCCCACATACAATTGCTTGTGCTCTAACTTTTCCTAATTGCACAATCTTTGGTAGGACAAATAATCTTGCTAAGCCTCAGTTCCTTGTCTGCCCTGGGCAATGGCACAGATCAACTGGATCTGGAGTTAAAATATTTATATAAACAGCTTAGTCTACAAGTGGGAAAGATTATTTACTTTCATTATTTCTGCTCACATAGTGAGCAATAAAGTAGAAGGACCCAGATTATTTCTCCCAACAAAGAAATTCTGTCAAGATAAAATATCTCAGACAAATAAATGGAGAATGTTATGTTCTGAGCAATATGCTCAACTTTATCAAAAGCTTTTTACCTCATAGTTAATATATCACTATTCCCTTTGAAGGCTTTTTTTTCCTCTAGGGAGTTCCACTCTTCAAAATTCAGCATCCTGAACTTCTCTTTTCTTTCACACCAAACGTCAGGTATATTCTAACAATCTACCCTTATATGATAATATCAAAAGAAACAGGAAATCTTAATTTTTGTTGTTACCCAAAGGGCAGGACCTAAGTGAGACTTCATGCCATCAGAGACACCTTGGTAACCCTAAAATAATAAGTTTAATTACCCATTAAAGAAGGGGATTCCAACCTCTCTGTATTCTTTCATTTCATGCTGCTCCATTTCTTATAACTATCTGTTACATTCCCAACCATAATTGCCACTCCAATCCTAGACCTCAGACCAATCTCAATTAAATCATTCCTGGGGCACAAAACATTGAAAAAGGATCTTACCTCCCCTGCCTCAAGTGAATAGTCATAGAAAGAGTACAAAAGCAACCATTTATTGAATGCCTACTGTGCGATGGGCACTTTACTTCCCTTATCCCTGGAAGGTAGATTCAGTGTCCATTTAGCTAATGACACAACTGCAAATCAGGGAGTTAAACAGCTTGTCAAGCAGCTGTTACTGCAGGTCAGCAGAGCAGGGGTTCAGACTTTCATCCACCTGCCTCTGAAGCCTGCCTTCTTCCATTCTACTTTATTACAAGTGAAATGTTATGGCTATCTCATTATTTACGGTATGAGAGAAGTTTAAAACAATGCAGACTTGCTGAGTCTCATTTTCTTCATTTGTATAGCAGACCCTATAATATAATACCTATACCATAGATAGATTTTATTATGTAATCACATACATACAATATTTAAGCACAGTTTGTGGCATATATGAACTACTCAATAAATGTTCACTATTTTTCGTAACTATTTTTATTGTTCTCTTTATAGGTCTATCTGAAAATTTAATGAATGTGATGTGCCAGCCAAAAAAGGGTATTCAATATATAAGGCCTTTCTCCATGCTTACAATGCCTACAAATGTACACAAGCTTGGCACCCATTCATGTAGTGAGATTTGGCTGCTCAGCTTTTCCTCCAGAGCCAGACTTTGTAGCTGTGGCAGTTTGCTAAGTGTCTGGTTATCCCTAGGTAATGGATCTCATACCAGGAATAGATGTCTTTTCCTAAAGCCCCATGCTATAAATGACAGAACAGTGTGCCTCACATGCTAGCCTCCAGGTATGTTCTAGGCAAATACAGGCTAGAGAATCATCTGGCCTTGAGGAATTAACCAAGGAAAAGGAAAAAAAAATGTTCAATGGTCTCTCGAGTTGACTGTCAAACTAGAATAACATGAATAACATTTTCTATTCTGTTGCTCCAAAAAAAAAGTTTAGATAAGAAACTCATCCAGTCCCAGCTCTGTGAAAAATCCCACATTAACTTCCTCTGGTAATGCCCACATCTGTTAGCTCGTTAGAGACAAAGTTGAATGTTACTTGGAATCAGTGTTGGGCAAATGATTGGATGAGACACGCAATCCTCATGGATTTGTTGCTAATTTATCTTTGCCAATCTTTACTAGCTTTAGCTCAGCAAACAAGGATACAGTATCTGAGCTGGCGGCCAGGAAATTCCCAGGAAAGTTCTTGTGTCCCAGCTGCCCTTCTGAAGGTTTGGCGAGTTGGAGATGACTGGCAATAATCCTGCCCAGCAGAGCCCAGCTGTGTTGGGGATGTAGATAGACTGCAGATGGAGAGATTCAGGCTGCAAGAGCTGAGGCTCCAAGACCTCACTGCTGGAGGTCAGAGAGAGGGGGGCGTTGACCCCTGCCAGCTACTAAGGAGTGTGGGCACTGAGAATTGGATTCAAGCTCCCTGTGCATGTATCACAGAAAAAGAGGGAAGTTATGGGTTTTTCCAAGTTGTTCAAATTGCCTTTATTTCTATAGGCAAGAGAGAGGAGAGGAAGAATGGCTGGGCGATGGCAAAACTGAGTAGCTTGTCTTCGCTTCTTCACCCAGTCATTGAAGAGGAGATCATTTCATTGGGATCATGTAGGATAATGTAGCTAACTTCTTAGAGGTTCTGTAGTCCACAAATTTAGAATTCTAAAATAATCAAAGGAAATAATTTAAACAAATAGATCGAGTGAACACACACTATACTGATATGTATACTTTATTTTTCCTCTCTAGAAATCATGCTTTTACCTGGGCTACAGTTGAGAGCAAGGTATCATAATGAAATAAAAACAATATTGATGTAAGACAGACAGGTGTTTGCATTTTAATTTGGGCAATGAGCTTAGCCTTTCTCAGCATTAGTTTCATCAACAGTAAAATTAAAATGCTAAAAATGGCATTGTAAGGTTTATATTAAATCAAATTAATATTAAATAGTTATTAATTATTTATAATTAAATTATTTTAATTAAAATATTATAATTAAATTATTTTAATTAAAATATTATAATTAAATTATTTTAATTAAAATATTATAATTAAATTATTTTAATTAAAATATTATAATTAAATTATTTTAATTAAAATATTATAATTAAATTATTTTAATTAAAATATAATTAAATTATTTTAATTAAAATATTATAATTAAATTATTTTAATTAAAATATTATAATTAAATTATTTTAATTAAAATATTATAATTAAATTATTTTAATTAAAATATTATAATTAAATTATTTTAATTAAAATATTATAATTAAATTATTTTAGTTAATTAAAATTTAGTTAAATTTCATTTAAATTATTTAACAATTATAATTGAATATCAAATAACTATTATTTGATATTTAATTTGATTTAATGTAAACTATTTATATAAATAGTTGTCATAAGGTTTAAGTTAAATACAGCTTAAAAACATGGTACCTATTGTGGACTGAATGTTTGTGTTCCCCCAAAATTCATATGTTAATATATCATCCCCAATGTGATGATATTTGTAGCTAAGATCCTTGAGAGATAATTAGGTCATGAACGTGGAACGCTCATGAATGGAATTAGTGACTTTATAAGAAGAGGCCAAAGAGATAGCTTGCTCTTTCAATAAATGAGGATACAATGAGAAGTCAGCAGCCTGTCACCTGGAAAAGAGCCCTCCCTAGAACACTACCATGATGGTACTCTGATCTCAGACTTCCAGCCTCTAGAACTGTGAAAAATAAATATTTGTTGTTTAAGTCACCCGATCTGAAGGAATTTGTTATAACAGCCTATATTAATCCATTCTCACACTACTGTAAATAACTTACAATTACCCAGTCTCTGTGTAATTTATGAAGAAATTGAGGTTTAATTAACTCACAGTTCTTCAGGCTTAACAGGAGAATCCTCAGGAAACTTACAATCAGAAGGCAACTTACAAGCAGAAGGCAAAGGGGAAGCAAGCACGTCTGACCATGGTGAAGCAGGAGAGAGACGGAGAGAGGGAGGAAGTGCCACACACTTTTAAACCATCAGATCTCATAAGAACTCACTCACTATCATGAGAACAGCAAGGGGGAAGTCAGCCCCCATGATTCAATCACCTCCCACGAGGCCCCTCCTCCAACACATGGGGATTACATTTCCAGATGAGATTTGATTGAGGACGCAGAGCCAAACCATGTCATTCCACAGAGCCAAACCATATTACAGCCCAACTGACTAAGACATTACCTAACATTCATTTAAAACATAATGTGGAAAAAAAAAATAAGATGAATGTGTTAGTCTATTTGGCATTGTCATAAAGGAATATCTGAGACTGGGTATTTTATAAAGAAAAGAGGTTTATTTTGGCTCATGCTTCTGCAGGCGGTATTGGAAGTGTAATGCTGCCATCTGCTTGGCTTCTGGTGAGGTCTCAGGAAGGCAGAATCATGGCAGAACGCAGCAGGGGAGCAGGCATGTCACATGGGGAGAGAGGGAGCAAGAGACTAGGCAAGGTGGGAGGAGGGGGAGGTCCAAGCTCTCATGAAAATTAACAGAGTAAGAACTCATTTGTTACCACGGGGAGGGCACCAAGCCATTTATGAGGGATCAGCTCCTGTGACCCAAACACCTCCCACCAGGTTCTTCCTCCAACATTTGGTATCACACTGCAACACAAGATTTGGAGGGGACAAAACATCCAAATCATGTCAATAAATATGATTTTCTACAACAATAATTTTATTTTAAGTCAGCATGGCTGTTATTGCTTTGTTATTATCATTGTATAATAAGAGAACAAAAGGCTTTGCCACTTGCTAAAGAGATCCTATGTATCAATAAAGAGTCGAAAACAAAATAAGAATGGAGCTTTATTTTATGTCCCTGACATCACATCAGGAATCTATCCACCTTCACATTGGGGTAGCCCTCCCCACCAAAAAATTACTATATAAAGTATGTGTGTGTGTGAATACACACACATACATTTATACATTCACATATATAAAATATTATAAATGTTATATGTATATAAAACCTATGGATATAAATATCTATGTCTTGATCTATCTGTGTCTATCTATCTATCATTTATCTTTCCAACCCAGCAGCAGTAGTGCCAGCATTAATCCCAGGAATCCTACTCATATAAAAACTGAGATCAGGAGTTCAAACAGCCATGGGGCCACCTGGGGTCATTTTAACACAGTTGGCCATCACCCTTGCATACCAAAAAGATGTGGAGATGGTCAGAATAATCTAACACATAGCATTAGTTTTGCTCTTTCTTAATTTCTTTCTCTCTTCCTGACACTCCATACCCTTTTTGAACTTGGAGATTATAAAAAAATCTTTAGAAACGTTCAACAAAAAGATATAACACAGGTGAAGAAGAATTTTCTGTTAACTTTTGAGCTAACCTTTCCAAAACCAGTATGCTGTCTGATTATACAGCCTTCTGCTTCTGCAGCATTGACATAAATAAATGCATGAGAGATAAGAAGAGATCATCCACAGATTGGAATTTCTCCTGGATAATTTATAGAAGTGTTTATCCATCAGCGTTCACCTCATAGAGTGAACTTCATAATTCCATAAGCTCAGAACAAAGATTCAAGTCTGGGGCTTATAGAAGATGTGGATGTGCTGACAGGCTTAGCTGGGTTCTGTGGTGGATGTTGGGTTTCTACAGCCCAAGGCGACGCTGAAAAGGCAGGGTAGAACTCACAGATGCTCCATTCAGTTCAGTGTTGCCCACAGTGCACAGATGCTGAAAAGGCAGGGCAGGGTAGAACTCACAGATGCTCCATTCAGTTCAGTGTTGCCCACAGTGCACAGCAAATTGAGGCGCTTACATAGATTTTAATCTTTTCCAAAGAGGGGAGCGGTGTTCATGATGGCTGGGCTCATACAGAAGGGAGCAATATTGCAGGTGAATTCATTTCTGTCCTTTGGTTCTATAAAAGTCCTGGTGCCCACTATCAAGGCACTCAGCCTCTCATGCCTTCTATTGTAGTCCCTAATAATGAAAAGAATATGTGGGGGACCTTTGGTAATACTATTTCCTACAAGATGCCCCTTAAAAGTTGTTATGGAAAAGCATCCTGTATGGGGAAGGGCAAGGAAAATGCAGTGAGTCCTCTACACACACACACACATCTCTTAAGATCTCAAGACTCTGGCCACACAGCTCTAAGAGGCCACATGAACTGTCATGAAGGTCTGAGTTTTGACAGAAAAAAATACTACTGATGAGTTACCAGGGTAGCATTTGTAAAAAATAGAAGCAGGAGAGATATTTGTGGATGCACAAGGTAAAGGCAATATCCTTAAAGATCAGCTCCATGGTAGTCAGCATGAACTACCTGCCTTGGAGCTCCATGTGTCTCTCTGAGCTCGCTTGCACAGAGCTTGGCTTATGGTAAGAATTAAATAAGTTTGTTTAAATAATTGTTATGAAGCATCACTGTAATGTTGGCACCCTGATAATATCTATTTTACATATTCCACTCTTTTTATCCCGGGTTGTAGATAGACAAAGAATTACCTGTTGACATTACTTGTTCACAAATCCATTCAATAACATTATAAATATTTCTCAATCTGAAAAGAGTTAGAGGTGTCCCTTAATGAATAGACAAGATTTTTAGATGAGTGAAAAAGAAATAGAAAAGAATTGCTGTTTTTATTATCTACTCTGGCTGGTCATTGCCCTAGACTAGCTATTTTATAGACTACTGTCCACTTAAACTTCACAATAGCGCAGCAAGCCAACGGTTACCATCCCAGGGGAGGCAAAATCTAACCTGCACCTCTGCAGGTTGTTACACATTACTTGTTATGCATTATTGCATATACAATCATTTAAAAAATCATTCTTATGTTTATACATTCGGCAATGGAAAGGAATTGAATAGTAGATAAGACATTCTTAGAAAGTATGTTCTGTCTTCCTTTGAAATTAATAGCGAGGTAGAATTTTAATTAAATACAATTTTAAACTGTCCTGAATTCAAGCCCTCTCATAAGTCTTCTGAATAGAAATGTAGAATCTTAACAGTACTATAAGGGTGAAAAATAAGAATTTTTAAACACCACCTCAGATATGTGTCTAGGTTTTTTAAAACTCTATCTATTATAACAACAAATAAATCTAGCTTATATAAAATATATAACCAAATATTTCTGGTGAGTCAAGTGTTCAAATTTCTTATCTGTCAATCAAAACACATTTGAGATTAATTGTTTGGACTCAGTTAAGAGACATAGATTCAATCTATTGTACAATTCTAATGGGGGAAGATACATGAAGAACAATGCCAAGAGCAACAAGTTAAATCCACAATGAGCTAGCTCCCTAGGCAGAATAGAACCCCAAATTATGTTCAAACTGTCAGAGGAAAGAATGTTGTACTGCGCATCTAGAGCAAAGATATTTAACCATCTTTACCACTATCTTGCAGCATCACATTGGCCCAGCCATCTTTGCTCTCTGAGTCTCAGGACTCTTTTCCACAGAAACTTCTATATCAGTTCTGAGGGCTTTTTGAGTTTAAGCTCTACATACTTTCTACTTGACCACAGTAGACATTTTTAAGGAGTTCAGTTGCCTTAAATAGTTGAGATGAGACATAATTCAGGAAACCCTAACTCCTCCAAGGCATTCCATTCACTTACAGTAGGTGACCACAGTTCCAGGCTGGGTAGACTAATATGGATGGTAACATTCATGCCCTGTAGTCTTGGTAAGACAGCTGGGCCCATGGCTGGGGGGCCTTGAATAGTGGTGTTGGATGAGTTTTTCAGGTAAATTAGATTGTGGCTTTAACTGAACCAAAAGTTATTTCTAACTAGATATGAGTTTACAGGCATGCAAAGTAGAGGCAGCTACAGCATGGCAAAAGAGCAAAACATCAAGATATCTGGCTTCTTTGTACAACAGTGACTCATAAGAGCCTCCAGATCTTGGACAATAAAATCAATTTCCTCAACCTCAGTTTTCTCACATACAAAATGAAGGTAAGGATAATGGGTTTTTGGGTTGTTTGTAGAGAGCAAATTATCTATTATGGCAAAACTATGTGCTCTTTTTTCAGACATTATTAAGCAGTCAATAAACACTGGTGGTGAATGTAAAATTGCAGAGATGATGAAATGAGGGGTGAAAGGAATATGCTGTATATTCATGATTGGGCAACTAGAATGGCGAGGCCTTGTGAGAGAATCTAAAGAATTTAAAATTTAAAATTTCATAAGGCTGAAAATAATTATTATATATTAATTTATAAATCAGAATGCAAAACTATGTGGAGGAGCTAAAAGCAAATTGTGCTCCATATAAACAATGACTTTATAAACAAGAAATATATCCTGAAATAATATGCTACAGAATGACAACCAAAAATTAAAACCCCCTTTCTCTAAGTGTAATTACAGATAAACTTAAATATTCTAATATTTTGTGTACCTTACAAATGTCTAAAATAAGTTATTTCTAATTTTATAAGTAGAAAATATAGTAACATCATATGTTCAAAATTGCTATAAAAATAGATATTTAACATTCTCACCACAAAATAAAAGAGTAAGTTGGTAAGATGATGGGAATGTTAATTAACTTCTTCTAATTTTTCTACAGTGCATACATGGATCAAAACACCACATTTTGCCCTGTAAATACACATAGTTATTATTTGTCAATTGAAAATAAATTTATTGAAAAACTACATTGAAAAGAGAGAGATGCAAAGTAATAAAAAACTAAGGGAGAACAGATAGAGCAGCTACTGAGTTTCAAACAAATAATATTTCAAACAGATAATACTGAAAGGAGAATAGTATACATTTTTTAAGATAATCTTAAAAAATAATTAGTATGTGCATTTAAATAAGTGATCATATATTTTCCCAGGTCATTAATTGGCAAACTGTTTTGTGAAATAGTCAAGATGCTACTTTCACTTTTGATCTAAGAAAAGACACCATACATAATTAACAGTACTGAGAGGTGAGCGAAAATAGCACACTCCAATTTTTACACCTGCCCTATCATAGCCCTTATATACCTTTGTTATTACAATCTCCCCTGTTCCCTGCTCTTCCTTAAATCCTAAATCAAGAATCCCTTATTTCTAAAGTATTTATGTAACCTCCTTCTTCCCCTTTCACATAAAGGTAGGAGTTCAGGGCTTAATGGCATATTCCTTGGGTAAAGACAGTTCATTGTTTTCAATTCACTGTAGTATATGGGCTGAGCTGTATGACTCCCAAATTCATATGTTGACGTCCTAACCCCTAGTACCTCGGGATTCGACTGTGTTTGGAGACAGATCCCCTAAAAAGGTAATTAAGTTAAACTGAGGTTATTTGGGCGAGCTCAAATCCAACCTGACTGATACCTTATGAGAAGAGATTGGGAGATAAGAAGAGACACCACAGATGCTCACAAAGAGGAAAGACACTGTGAGGATACAGTGAGAAGGCAGCCTTCTGCAAATCCAGGAGAGAAGCCTCAGAGGACACCGAGTCTGTTGACACCATGAACCTGCTGTGTGAACAACCCACTTTGTGCCATTGTGTTAAGGCAGCCCTAGCATGCCAACGCAAGTTACTATAAATCACTGATATCAAAGCCCTTTGCAAGTAAAGTGCATAGAGGTAGTGTATTAATCCGTTTTCATGCTGCTGATAAAGATATACCCAAGACTGGGCAATTTACAAAAGAAAGAAGTTTAATGGACTCACAGTTCCACATGGCTGGAGAGTCCTCACAATCATGGCAGAAGGTGAAAGGCATGACTCACATGGTGGCAGACAAGAGAAGAGAGCTTGTGCAGGGAAACTCCCCTTTGTAAAACCATTAGATCTTGTGAGACCCATTCATTATCATGAGAAGAGCACAGGAAAGAGCTGCCCCCATGATTCAATCATCTCCCACCACCAGGTCCCTCCCACAACACGTGGGAATTATGGGAGCTACAGGATGAGATTCTGGTGGGGACACAGAGCCAAACCATATCAGGTAGGGAAGGGCAATGGGTGCTAGGAGGAGGAGTGTCATGCCAGAGGAATGAAGAACAGAAGGAAGTACAGAGGGCATTGAAAGCCAGTGGAGCTCTTCAAGCATTTACTGAGCATGGATTCTGAGGCACTCATAATATCACGCTGCAGAGAAAAATAATGCTAGTCTCTATTCCTAGGAAACAATGGGTATCACAAAGGAAAATGCATGTAAGACAATTAATAGATTTCAGAAGAAATAACAGTACATCAATCAGTGTAGCAAATGTGTAAAAGAGTTTTAAGCAGGGAGAGATTAATATTCCCAAACTCCAGACTTAACAAAAATGTGCTCCATTTCCTCACAGCACTGCTGCATGAATGACTGTAGTCAAATAGTTCTATTCTTTTATAAAACAATTATATTTTAGCAGGAGATAATGAAGCTTCAATCAGTACTGTCAATAATAAGGATACCTCTAGATAGATAGATTAGTTCAAAAGAGGGACAAACTCCCAGTACTCCTAGTACCAGTGTATTTATACAACTCTATATCTTATTTAATCATAAGGCTAAACCTGATTAAATCTGGAATCACCTGAAACATGTAAAGACATACAGATTTTTTTTAAAAAAGGATTGGACATTGATGGGAAACCTATGTATTAAGTAATCATTTAGTAGAAACCTATGTATTAAGCCTTAAATAAAAGACATCAGAATAAGAAGAAATACAATAAAACAGAAAAAGCAGATGAGAAAGGGAAAGAGGAAGAAATGAGAGAAGGAAGGAAGGAAGGAAAGAAGGAAGGAAGGAAAGAAGGAAGGAAGGAAAGAAGGAAGGAAGGAGGAAGGAAGGAAATTAGGGAGGGAGGGAGGGAGAGATTGAGAGAGAGAGAGAGGAGAGAAAGGGAAAGTAAGAGACAGAAAGAAAAAAAGAAAGAGAAAGAAGGAAATTAAAAGAAAGAGAAAGGAAGGAAGCAAGGAAGGAAGAAAATTAGGGAGGGAGGGAGGGAGAGATAGAGATGAGAGAAAGATAAAGTAAGGGAAAGTAAAAGAAAGAAAGAAAGAGGAAGGAAGGAAGGAAAGAGAAAGAAAAGAGAAAATACAGAAGAGCTAAACGTAGAAAGGAAGGGAAAATAAGAAAAGAGAAGAGGTCTGTGGAAAATAAAGTAACAAGTGACCTATTCAGCACTTAACTTATTGACAATTGCATTCTATTAATCATATCTTATTGTGTAACAAACTGCCCCAAAACTCAATGTCTTAAAATATCAAGTTGCTATTTTCTTTTTTATTCGTGGATCTGTGAGTCAGTAAGGACAGCTCTGATTTAGACTGTAGGTCAGCAAGGCTTGGAGCAGAGTAGAGCTCAAGGTCATTTATTGCAGAGTTGGCTAAAAGATCAACAGCTGCTTGAGGCATGTTTTTCTGTGACAAATCATGAAAGCAAAAAATTCAAGCCAATGCTTCTCTGGTACAAATGGCCAAGTGCACCTAATGCTTCTACTCACATCACATCTGCTAAAATTCCACTGGCTAGAACAAGTCACACGGCAAAGCCCAACCTTAATGCGTGTGAGAAGTATTCTCTACCCACAGTGGGAGGGGTAGTGGGGTGGCAGCGGTGGGTGGTTTAAAAGCATTCAAACCACTACAATGAGCACTGCTTCCCTCTGGAAATAGGCAGAAATGAGGATCTCACTAAGGGGTATTCTAAGCAGCAAAAAAAACTTCCAAGAAGTCTATATTACACTTTACTTAATGTGAAAGTTTTAGAAATACACTCAGAAACTATTTTCTCTCTCTTTGTGCATTTCTTTATGAGCTGATCTCTAAAGCCTTGCAGATTATAAGCAGGAATTCAGTGAGAAATAGGCATGCTCTAGAAAATAAACTAGAAGCCACAGAAATGACTGACCCTTACTCCCATACTCTCCTTAGAACGTCCTGACACTTTCATACAAACACAAATGGCCAAAATACGTACAGGCATAACTCGCTTTATTGGGCTTCACTTTGTTGTCATTTGCAGATACTGCGTTTTTTACAAATTGAAGGATTGTGGCAACCCTTCATTGAACAAGTCTATGGGCACCATTTTTCCAACATCATGTGCTTATTTCCAGTCTGTGTGCCACATTTTGGTAATTCTCACAATAATTCTAACTTTTATTATTATCATTATCAGATGTCTTATGATGATCTTTGATCAGTGACTCTTGATGTTACTATTGTAATTCTTTTGGGGCAGCATGAATCGAACCCATATAAGATGGCAAATGTGACTGATAAATATTATCAGTCACATTTTGATTTCCCACTAACTGGCCAAACTTCACATCTCTTTCCCTCTCCTTAGGGCTCCCTAGTCTGAGACAAAATAATATTGAAATTAGACCAATTAATAACCTTACAATAGCTATTAAGTGTTCACATGAAAGAGTCACACGTCTTCCACTTTAAATCAAAAGTCAGAAATGGTCAAGTTTAGTGAGGAAGGTATGTCAAAAGGTGAAAGAAGCCAAAAGCTAAGCCATTTGCACCAAATAGTTAGCCAAGTTGCTGAATGCAAAGGAAAAGTTCTTGATGAAAAGTGAAAGTGCTGCTTCAGTGAACACAGGAAGGATAAGAGCAAAACAGTC
This sequence comes from Homo sapiens, assembly GCF_000001405.40. Lineage (NCBI taxonomy): Eukaryota > Metazoa > Chordata > Mammalia > Primates > Hominidae > Homo > Homo sapiens. The sequence goes on from NC_000002.12 coordinate 14,136,219, forward strand.
TTATTTGCTGATATGACAGAAGTTTTATTGGTCTGGATAGAAGACTAAACCAACCGCAATATTCCCATAAGTCAAAACCTAATCCAGAGCAAGGCTCTCAACATTGAGGCGAGACCCTTCACCAGCAAAAAAGATTACAGTTGTGAAGGTGCAAATCATCATTGCATTTTTTTAAGCAATAATGTATTTTAATGTAAGGTATGTGTATATTTTTAAGGCATAATGCCATTGCATACTAAATAGACAACAGTACCGTGTAAACGTAACTTTTATATGCACTGGGAAACCAAAAAAATTGTGTGACTCAGTTTATTGTGATACTTGCTGCATTGTGGTGGTCTAGAACTGAACCCACAGTATCTCTGAGGGATGTCTGTACCTTGAAATAAACTCAGTGTCACACAAAATTCTTATTTTCTTAGTAACACCATAAGCTATAGACTCAATATAACTTTGACTTAATGTCTTCTCTGTCACAAAATTTTAAACCCTACTCTATGCAATGAAATTATGTGAAAAAAGGAAACTCTCATGCAAACGCATCCTCTTCACTGAATGCCTCCTGCACCCTTCCCGCTCACACCCTTCTTTCCCCTAAGATGATAACTTAATGTGCATCCTTCAGGCTGTCAGCCTGCACGTTCTTATACACTTCACTCTCTTCTCCTTTTTTCACCATTTGCCTTTAAAAATGTTGTCTTCCAACTTCAAAAGAAAAAATAATCCTTTGAAATGCATGCCCTCGCCCTCTTTGCTTCTTCTTGTTCCAGGATCACTACCTTGCAATAAACTCCTCTGAACTCACTGCCAACTAAGACACGTGGGCCATTTCTTCTCTTTTCCTTCCATCCTTCAGAACTGATTCACTGATAGAATACGTATGTATCACTCCTACAAATATTTACAAAGAAATGAAACATCGCAATCTTTCTGGGTTCTCATCAAATTATTACTTTTTTTTTCTGTTTTTTGATTGCATGTTAATTATTGTTTTGTCCCTAGTAAACATCTCACTTCTTCCTTCCTTCTGTGGATTGGTTCCATGATCTTTCTCACTTTAACCATATAGGTAGCCTCATTTTCATGAACTTTCTCTCTCTCCAGCAAACTCAAAGGCAAAATCCAAGTTCAGAATAAGTGCAAACACCTCTTTTCTCTACACCTATATCTAGGTTATAAAAACTTCTGGAAGGCCCGGCGCAGTGGCTCATGCCTGTAATCCCAGCACTTTGGGAGGCTCAGGCGGGCAGATCACGAAGTCAGGAGATCGAGACCATCCTGGCTAACACGGTGAAACCCTGTCTCTACTAAAAATACAAAAAATTAGCCGGGCGTGGGCGCCTGTAGTCCCAGCTACTCTGGAGGCTGAGGCAGGAGAATGGCGTCAACCTGGGAGGCGGAGCTTGTAGTGAGTCGAGATCGCGCTACTGCACTCCAGCCTGCAGCCTGGGCGACAGAGTGAGACTGTCTCAAACAAACAAACAAAAATCCTTCTGGAAAAATCAAAAAAGTCTTTGAAATTAGTGCCATTATAGATTTATGGCAGAAGAATATAAGAAAGGCTCTGGAGCTGCAGTATGAACTGATTGCAATGTTTCCTGCTCTCTACCGACCTCTGGGGACAGAGGCTGCTGTGTCTCCTGAAGCCTTGGCAACACAGTCCCCTAAGACATCTCAGCAGATGAGCCTCAGTGAATAACAAGTGAAAACAATATGACACTAAAGAAAAGCCAACAGTCAGAGACAGTGGATGCAACACTTAGAACTAGTGCTGTAATAAGATCACTTAGGAAAATTTAACTGGTGTATATACCAAATAAAGCACCTTTGACACAAAACAAATACAATTTGCTGATATAATGTCAATAGACACGTTGAAGGAGAGTACGGTTGGTCACTTGAAAAGGTTTGAATTAATGGACTTGGTTATGAAATAAAAGAAATAGCTAAAATGAGAAAGTAAAATTCAATGAGATGAAGAATAAAATGATATATTTTTAGCATAGATTCAGTAGACGTAACACAAATACTAGCAGCACACAAAATACACATTTTAACTTATGGAAGAAAGATAGTAAATAATAATGTAACTGAATTAATTTTTCCTAAGATCTGAATCAGGATATTGAGAGATCCCATTAAGTCTAAGCAGGATTGCTAAGAAAGAGTAAATATCTAGACTTATGATGGTAAATTTCCTGAATTACAACAAAGAATAAAATTCTAAAATCTTTAAACGAATAAAAATGTTTACCAAAAAACAAAAAAAAATCTGACTAGTGTTTTCATTTCTTATGGACTTCTCATAGAAATCAGAATAGAGAACTATAGAATTGAAGAGGAAATGACTTCAACCAGTGTCCGAAACCCAGTCAAGATAGCATTAACTTGTCTTAGTGGAAAAAAAAAAAAGTTACTATGCAAAGATTGTTAGAATATATTATCCATAACACATATTTTAAGAAAAAAAATCTTCATAAGGCTCTTGCCAGACAACAAGTGAATCAGGATTCAAGGTAGTAGAAAAAGAGGAGACGAAACATTCATGATCAATAAATTTAGCAAAACATGTGTATTCATCTGTTTGTGTATTATATATAATAGTTATATATACACATGTGTACATACATGTATATAAACATGTATACAAAATATTAATAGATGATTTTATATACCACTAAATAATTGCTATACAATTGATAAATAAATTAGGAGATATTTATATTTTAAGTTCAGGAGCAGGCATTTTGTGAAACTTCTTCACTGATATATCCTCATCACTTAGTACCTAACAGCACATGATAGGTGCTTAATAAATACTATGTATTAATTCTATTAGTAGTCTGGTTCATATCAGCAAAACCAAAATATATAATGATGATAAAACATTACAAAAATCTAATTTGGAGTAGATGGCCTCAATTATCGGTTTTGATTGTCCACACTGCCCTGCTTACTATGGCTTTATTCTGTTCCCAATGTAGGTCCCTTAATAATATAAGGGATGATTCGTCTGGAAGGTAAGACTGTTACAAATGTATATGTGTGTCTAATGACAGAGTTCCTAAATACATAAAGCAAAAATGGACTGTTTTAAAGAGTGAAGTAAAAAATTCCACAATCAGAAAGAGATTTTATTACTTTAAGCAATTGTTCAAACAACTAGATTAAAAAAAACAGAAGATTTGAACAAAACTATCAACAACCTTAATCTAATTGATAGATGTAGATTATCTGCCACAACAGCAAAATACACATTTTTCAATTGCATATGGTACATTCACCAAGATAGATCAATTACTAGCCCAGAAAAAAAAGTCAGTAAATTTCAAATGAATGGAAATACAGAGGACATATTCACTGACCTTAGTGGAACTAAATTATCAATTAATTTCAATAAGCCATGTAGTAGAACTGCAAATATGTGGAAATTAAACTACACATTGTAAGGAAGTCATGAGTCAAAAAATACAACGGTAATTAGAAATATTTCTAACTGAATACAAACAAAACAGAACACAAATTATCTGTGGAACTGTAGCTTTATAATATTAAAAAGAAAAGAGTATGTCTTTTTATTTCTTAAGCTATAAAAGACCTAAGATTTTACATTTTATAGAAAAAAAAGTGAAAAAGTAAAGTGAATATAAGGTAAATGAAGCCAAGATAAGTGAAAGACAGGAAATAATAAGACTGAAAATCAAAAATAGAAAGAAAAGACTCAGAATTTAAAATGTCAGAAAAACAACAGAAATTAGGAGAGAGGACTGGAGCAGTTTTTCTCACACATCCTTCAGAAGAAACCAAAGTTGCTGACATCTACATTTGGAACTCCCAGCCTCCAGAACTGAGAGAATAAATTTGTTCTTCAAGCCACGCAGTTCGTGGTACTTTGTTACAGCAGCCCTAACAAACAAATACACCTGAAATCAAGCTTTACTGTGAAGTTCAAGAATACAGGCATGTAAAGTCTCAGGTAAAACAGAGAGATCTGAGACACCCCGCTGGGCTCCGCAGGCCCTTGTTTCTCCTGCCAGATACTTACTCTCCATCTCAGAATAACAGATGAAATCTCAAAGTGGAGTTTTGCAGGTTATTATCTCACACAGCAGGGAAAATTTCAGTTATGAATGTCTTCATTTTATACTGCACAGAATTATAGAGCTTCTGCGACAATTTTCAAGGAATGCACCTCATTGCGTTTGAATTTATTTACTGTAAGTGAACCTTACTTAAGGACATTCTATAGAAAAGAACTCTTTCTCTTAACAAATATCACTCTTAATTTAAGTGGAGTTTCAATTGGCAAGGAGGTTAGATGGATCACTTGCCTTCTCTCCCCTAAGGATGCGTCCCACAGAGAGATTAAATGCAGGGAAGACCCTCTGCTCTCCTAGTGCCTCTCCCTGTGTGTGCTGTTGCCTGTGTGTGCTGTTGCGTTTTCTTTTCTTATTTAGCTCCTGTCCTTAGAAGTTGGGGTTCCTGGGGCTTCTTGCATTTTGATTGTTTTCTGTCCTTTTTATTTCAAGCAAGTGGTGCTTCAGCTACTACATTTCTCTTAAATTGCCAATTTTTATGAATTATAATGCTGTTGGCTTGATTAAACAGAGATTCATATACAGTTCTCTGAGACGAACATCTCTATACCTTGGGCTGAGATTAAAGCCATTTTAGGACAACGCCTTTATGATACCAAAAGCATTTTGTCAAATTGAAAGAGTCTACAAGACATTCCTTTAAGCTTCTTAGAAGTCCTATTCCCTAGGAGAGAAGTTTTAAAAGCCATGACCTTCAACACCTTAGAAACTGTACTAGGTATGTGGTGTCAACACAATGTGTTACAGAAGCTTTTTAAGATTATGTTTTACTAGGTAACGTCATAGATTTCATAGTTCTTATGGGATTCATTACCATGAGAGTTTTTTTCCAGAAGATACTAGAGATGAGAAACAATTTTAGTTTTGAATGCATCTTATCCTAAATGCTTTATATTTTCTAAAAATTATACTTTAAAGGTGAACAGTTCCTTTTTTAGTTCATCTCTCTATTATTGCATAGGAAGTTAGAAGTTACCTGTGAGCCTTTTCAACATTATTCCTGGAAATCTCAGATTTGCAATATAATTTGATAGCGTTTTTATTTTCCATTTCATTGTAGGCATTTTTTTCTCAAACTTTCCACTGCCATATTATATGTGTCACCTTTTCCCCAATGTCCAATAAAAATTGTCTTCTTGCCTTCCAGTTTCTACTAACGGGAACTTTAGGGCCCTTCCAGTTTCCCAGTTTTCAATAAGAGTCGCCTCAAGATCCTTCAAGATTCTGCCTACCTCCAAGTCCCAAAACCAATGCCTCATATTTAGGTTTTCAATACTGCAGCATCTCACTTCCAGGAATCAGTTTCTAACCCAGGTACCTATTCATGCTGTAAACCCACACATAAACTTAGAATAAATCTTTACTTTATGAAGTTCATAGGTCTAACAGGAATTCACAAAGGATACAGTGGTGACTTCTCATGTCTGCTTCCTAGTCACTGGAACTCAGCTGGGATAGCCCCACGGCAGGAAAACAATACAGCCGTGCTTTTAAAATAATAAATGCATATACCTTCTATGCAAAATTTGCTGGGAATCTGTTTGCTAAATCAGTCTGGAACACAAAGATATGTTTATAGGGAATTTTAAGGGAAATACCATAACAAAATTAATGCTGGTTGAATATACTATCTTAGATCTAAAAATAGACTCTATCTTGCAGATATTAAATAGCATATTGTGGAACTGCAACTGTCCCAGGAGTCTCGGAGAAATTTTCATGAGATAATATGGAGTAAAAAAACATTGATATATAGAGAACTATATTAAATTTAAATAAATTTTCTTCAGCATACTACAAAGAATGCCATATATATATATATGAAAACTTTATATATGCAAACTTATGTTTTATGAACAGGTAACGGGTGTCAGGTTTTTTACATGTGTAAGACGTGAAGGCAGTTATTCCATGAGTGATGGGGAAGAGAGGAAAGAATGAGACCAGCAAAAGATAAAAAGGTAAAACCAAAAAAGGAATGCACTAAACACCCTAATCACATACAAAGCACTTATATTATATAATCACATATAAGCTTGCATATATTTAAACACAATGAAATCAGGAGAAAACGTATATTTATACCCTTGTATGTTCACTATTTATTATTTAAAAAAATAAATATCCACTTTTATTATTGTCTGTGAAAAAAATCCCAAGTGTGTGTATACAAACGCAAATACACACACACACACACACACACACACACACACAAGCTTGTATTCATTTGTACAAGCAAGGATAAATATGCGCAAATTTTGTTGCATGAAGGGAAAAGCATTAAGGCAGGGAAAGGGTGAAATTTTATAAGTACATATTGGCTAAATTTGTTCTGGGGTGTCTGGAATTGGCTCTCTAATCTGATTAAAGCACTAATGACTATTTTTAGTAGTAAAGAGAGTACTGATAATTCATGGAATGAGCTGTTTATATAGATTTACAAAGTATCTGCATTGGATACTCAAGCATTAATAAGAGTCAAGGAGCTAAGTGACTTATGTATATAATACATTTAAACATTTTTTGTAAAGTATGGAATATAATTGAATTGGTTGGTTGCTCCTAATGTAGTTGGCTACAGTGGTGAAAGAAAAGTATGAGCTCAAGGATTTGAATGCTCAGCTAAGGCACTCTATAAAAATGACCTGAGTGCTTCTAGGTGTAAACTAAAAGAAAGGTTTATCTCCTATAGTGACAGGGCTATAATTGCTGAAAATTAAAAACAGAGCCTTATCCCAAGAGTGACCAAATTATAAAGCAGTTTGAACTTCCGGCTTCACTGGGTGCCTATTGGTAAAGTAGGAGGACTAGTTCAGAAACATAGGATCCTGTAATTTGAAATGGAGATGTGTGGGAAGACTCTGATGAAGCTGGGGGACATTAAGTCCCTAAACTCTGAAGAGTCTTCTTTGCTAGTAGAAGAGGTGTCTCTGACCCCAGTGAAACTGGCCTTTCAACATGCAGCAAACATCCATCACATTTGTCATATTGTATTGCCAAAACACAAGTTACAATTTCCGTCCACACTCATTGTGAGGGTGTCACTCATTTGTAATTTTCATTGTAGACATATTTCACCTTCCTGGTTAGCTGTATTTCTAGGTATTTTATTTTTTTGTGGCTATTGTGAATGGCACTGAATCTTTGATTTGGCTTTCTGCTTGGATATTATTGGTGTATACAAAATGCTACCCATTTTTGTACATTGGTTAAGTATGCTGAAACTTTGCTGCAGTTGTTTATCAGATTTGGGAGCTTTTGGGCAGGGACTATGGGGTTTTCTAGGTAAAGAATCATATTGTCTGCAAATAGAGATAGTTTCACTTCCTCTCTTTCTATTTGGATGCCTTTCATTTCCTTCCCTTGCCTGATTGCTCTGGGTAGGACTTCCAGTACTGTGTTGAATAGGAATGGTGTTCTAGTTTTCAAGGGGAATGCATCCAGCTTTTGCCCATTCATTTTGATGTTGGCTGTGGGTTTCTCATAGATGTCTCTTACTATTTTGAGGTAAGTTCCTTCAATGCTTAGTTTGTTGAGGGTTTTTTTTTTAACATGAAGAGATGTTGAATTTTATTGAAAGCCTTTTCTGCATCCATTGAGATAATCATATGGTTTATGTTTTTTTGTTCTGTCTATAGGGTGAATTGCACTTATTGATTTGTGTATATTGAACCAACCTTGCATCCCAAGCATAAAGCCTACTTGATCATGGTGGATTCTCTTTTCAATGTGCTGTTGGATTCACTTTTCTGGCATTTTGTTGGAGATTTTTGCATCCATGTTCATCAAGGATATTGGCCTGAAGTTTTTTGTTGTTGTTGTTGTATCTCTGCCAGGTTTTGGTATTAGGATAATGCTGGCCTCATATAATGAATTAAGGAGGAGTTTCTCCTCCTCAATTTTTTGAAATAGTTTCAGTAGAAATGGTACCTGCTCTTATTTATACATCTGGTAAAATTTGGCTCTGAATCTAACTGGTCCTGGCCTTTTTCTGGTTAGTAGGCTTATTATTACTGATTCAATTTTGGAACTCATTACTGGTCTACTAAGGGAATCAATTTCTTCCTTGCTCAATCTTGGGAGGTTATATGTTTCCAGGAACTTTTCCATTTCTTCTAGGTGTTCTAGTTTGTGTCCATAGAGGTGTTTGTAGTAGCCTGTGAGGGTTTTTTTTTTTTTTTTTAATATATTCCTGTGGGGTCAGTGGTAATTTCCCCTTTGTCATTTCTGATTGTGTTCATTTGGACCTTCTCTCTTTTTCTTTATTAGGCTAGCTAGCAGTCTGTCAATCTTATTTATTCTTTCAAGTAAAAAACTCCTGGATTAATTGATCTTACATGGTTTTTCGTGTCTCAATATTTTGCAGTTCAGCTCTGATTTTCTTTATTTCTTTTCTTTTGCAAGCTTTGGGGTTGCTTTGCTCTTGTTTCTGTGGTTCTTCTAGATGTGTACATAACATTTATTTAAGACTTATGCCTACTGCAGCTGTGCTTCCCAATATGGTAGCCATTAGCTATGTGTAGCTGTATACATTTAAATATAAGCTAACAAAAATAAAATTAAAAATGTAGTTTCTTATTAGCCCAAGCCACAAGTGCTCAATAGGTACTGAATAGTAGCTACCATTTTTAGACATCACAGGTACAGGATATTTTCAGCACCACAGAAAGTACTATTGGACTGTGATATTCTAGAAAGCATCTCCTTCACTAGAACTAGCATAATGAAAGACTTATATTTAACAAGAATATCTTCATTATCCACTATGAGATAAATGCCGTGAATTTAAATTTCATTTCTGTGATCAACTTCAAAGTCACAGTTTGCTTGCATTTTACATTCTTCAAGCATTTGATGTGAAAACAAAAATATATAAATAAAACATTCCTAAATTGTTACTTCAGAATATCTTTATTTCAAAAGTTGGTATTTTATCCTTGAAAATAACATGGTAAAAAAATGAAGAGGATGAGCACAGATCATTTTTAGCACTACATTTTTCATTTTCTTTCTAAACTGGCTTTGCTTAAGACAGAAATACGGTGCTGTTCTAATGTCAAGCAAATCCCCATTTAAACACACTGGCTTGAGCATTGATAGGTAGACGTGTCTAAAGTACCTGATTATTTCTGTATAAAGTCTGTGAAATAAGTATTGGTCTGGTATTGTAATCATCTCCTCACGATTAGAGTTCAGAGTGTCTAAAATAAGTTTTTGTAAACAGTAAAGCATAGACACTACTCACACATCAACTTACACAGAGTGGTTCTTATGTGTATTTTGGAAATCATCTTTGTGCCATAGCATAAATTAAAACTACCTTCTAGTGTCTAGTACATTCCATGCAAAACCTCAAAAAAAATTCTTAGGTGTTCCCTCTATTTATGCTAACAGCAATACAAGTCTACTCTAGTGGTTAAGAGCATGACAAGTCACTTCCTTGCCACTTACTACCTGTGTGGGCATGAGCATGAGACTTAACTTCTCTATAAAACAGGGATGAGGCCAGGCAAGTGGCTTAGGCCTGTAATCCCAGCACTTTGGGAGGCTGAGGCGGGTGGATCACAAGGTCAGGAGATCGAGACCATCCTGGCTAACATGGTCAAACCTCGTCTCTACTAAAAATACAAAAAAAAATTAGCCAGGCGTGGTGGCGGGCGCCTGTAGTCCCAGCTACTCTAGAGGCTGAGGCAAGAGAATGGCATGAACCTGGGAGGCAGAGGTTGCAGTGAGCCGAGATCGTGTCACTGCACTCCAGCCTGGGTGACAGAGTGAGACTCCGTCTCAAAAAAAAAAAAAAACAAAAAAAAAACCAGGATGAACATTTTGTTCATAAGATTGTTAAAACAAATACATGGGTTATGGGTTAACACATATAGATAAACAGGAAAAATGAACAAAACATATAAAACACTTAACATGTTAGTTCATTTTATTATCATTATTGATAATATTCTTGCCACTATCATTTTCATTATTATCATTTTTCTTTTAAAGTCCTGTCGACTCTTTGTGGTCCAGATAAATTTTTTTTCCCCTGTGAGCCATTTCCAGCTCTCTCCAGTCACAAGAAAAAATTGCCTCCTGTTCTATGCAACCTTGGCACTTAGTACCTCTTGTACATCAATTCTCACAGTAATATAATCGCCTCCTTTTATACATAACCTTTCTTATTTAATTGTTCTGTACCAATTCTGTTGGGTATTTTGGGGGCAAATAAATATTTCCAGATTATATAATGTTGGATAATCAGGAGCCATTCTGGATCTGTGGAAATGATATATCTTCTCCAGAGACTATGGACTTTGTGTTGAATGTAGAACTTGTGTAAGACCATGGAGATATTTCTTTAGGGAGGCAGGGAAGAGGTGTTCTATATTTAAAACAGGCGAAGATTGTTAGATTGTTAAAGGCAGCACTGTCGCAGACACAGCTAATTGCCTAATCAATAACGATTCTACTTTTATGTCTCCAGTAATGCCCAAATGTTGGCAGAGGACATTGCCTCCTTGCATATGAATGCTTTCATTGGTCCTAGGAACTAGACATGGCCATAATATGACTGAGTTTTATCCAATGAGTTTTAAGAAGAGGTGTTTTGCAGGCCTATCAAGAGGGCTTTTTAAAAGAAAAGAATGAGATCTTCTCTTCCTTCCTATTACCTGGAATTTGGATATAAAAGCTGGATCTTCAGCATCACTTGTACCCTGTGAGGTTACCTTGAGGATAGAAGCCAAACATTAAGATGGTAAAGCAGCAAGATAGAAAGATATCTTGAAGGCAATAGAGTCATATGCCAACCCTGGACTGCCTCTGCCAAGACAGATTTTATGCCAAGACAGATTTTATGTGAGCAAAAAGTAAATATTTATCTTGTTAACCAACTTTTCCATACCATGGAAATAAACCAAACCTAATGCCATTGATATACTTGTCTTCCAAAGCCAAGTTCAAGTCCTAACACTTCCTTGAACCCTTCCCTGAGCACACAGATTAGCAGAACTGATTTTCTTCTAAATTGTAGAACCATTGTCATTCAAATCTTTCTTTTGACACATAAAAAGGCTCATTGTTTATGTTAGACACTTTCATGTATGATTCTTTTCCTCGTTACATGCTAATCTCCAAGCGTTCTAAGCCTGTCTTTTATAACATGGAATCCTCTATGTAGTCTGATACTGGGCTCAAATAAAACCAATGGTAGTTACTGGTCTTCAAAATAATAATTAAAAAAAACTGTGTGTTTTACAAATTATTAGTAAAAATCACAAATAAAAAGGGCATTTAAAATATTTTATAAAATATTCTATAATTCTACAATAATTCTCTGTAGGAGTGTGTGTGTGTGTGAGCATATATACATACAAAGTACTTTCAGTTGTATTCTCTGTGTGAGTGGATGTGTGTGTAGATGAGTGTGTGTGTTCATTATGTATATTGCATATGTATATATTTGTAAATATATCACACGCAAATATAGTTGGCCCTATGTATCCATGGGTTTCACATCTAAGGATTCAAACCATCTCACATCTAAAAGATTTTGGAGAAAAACAATAAAACAACAATACAACAATAAAAATAATATAAATTCAAAACCAATGTAGCATAACAACTATCTACCTAGCTCTTACATTTTATTAGGTATTATAATTATCTGGAGATAATTTAAAGTATACAAGAGGCTGTGCATAGGTTATATACAAATACTATGTCATTTTATGTAAGGGACTTGAGAATCGGTAGATTGTTATCCATGGGGGTCCCGTACCAACCCTCCAAAGTGGGAGAGACTCTAAGTATCAAGTTTCATTTCCTCTTTAGCACTTAGCATTATATTGTAAACCAGTATTTTTCAAGATTTTTTAAAATATCACCCCTTTAAGCATTTCTCAATAGTTTTTTAAAAAATCATATTGTTAAAAAGGCAGTATGAATTTTAATATCATAGGTGTGCCATTTATCTTTTTATGTACTATATGTATATCTATGCTTTACACATAAAAAGATTAAGACTTTTGGCAGTCCTCCAAAACCAATTTTTCACCCCCTTGGGGATGATGAAATATTGCTCATGTTGGAATGCATGCTGTAAACACACAGCTTCTCGTTAAATATTCTAAATATTTTAATGTAAACAAATCTGCAGCATATTTAATTTCTGAAACATATGTTTAGCATGAATGTAACATCATAACATAAAAAGCATTCTCTACTGCTGAGCATGTACATAAGAAATAGTGCTACATTTCTTATGCATGCAAGGAAAGTATACTTTCCAATAGGTAAGAAGGGATACAGGCAAGTTCAAGCCCGATAATATTTTACATAAAATATATACTAAACATGATAAGGCTGAGAAAGATATCTTAAAGATCAAAATGCATTTAAATACACTAATAAAAATAAATACTGGATTGTATCCATGTACACATACTTCAATACACCTCTGGTTACTTCTTTTCTTAACATCTACAGTTGAAATTGGTAATTCAACAATGAAACAAAGTACCTAATATCATTAACATATTGATAGGTTTTACCAAAATAATATATAATAGTGTAAATTTAATTTCCATGAGCCAAAAATCATACATCTGTTAAAACTAAAAATAAAAATACAATTAAAATTAATGCATATGATACATTGAGGAGAGGCGATGTTTCATTTTGGTAATGCACATTTTGTGAGACTGAATTCTTTTCATGTGTTTATATCTGGAATGAATTGTTGGTTCTTGATCTCAAAATCAGACATGTAGAAATTCCAAAAAATACAAATACCAAGTCAAGTGCCATGATATCAATAAGATAAATGTGAATTAATTTTTTATAACATAAATGACTAACAAGAACAATAAAATAATTATAGGAAAATTCTAATGTTTGGATAAAAATTTCTAGAATTACAAGTATCACTTTAAGCTTGATTAATTTTATCTGCTTATGGTCCTCTTTAAAGTGCTGCTTTAGCATTTTCCTCATTTTTGTCTAAATTACTTATGCTTTTAAAATTTAAAATAACAAATATATTCTAACTGAATTGTCAACCAGTAAGGCCATGGGAATTTTAAAGAGACAGGGAAGATATAAACAGTATTAATTACTCTTCATTTAGTCTCCTATATAAAGCACAAAAACGAAGTCTAGCTTTGTTTATACTTGATTTTAATCCCCATGACTAACGTTTTAAATTTGCATGATACAATTCCCATTTTACAGAGAAGGAACTATGATTCCATAAATACACAGAATAGTTGACAGAAGTCAGATAACCAAGAACTGCCAAAGCCCTGACCCAAAGCCTGGCCTGTGTGGCTCCAGAGGAAGTGTGTTCTTTGCGCTACTGTCTGGAGACTGTCAACCTATCAGCAATTGAGTGACATATACACACATGAGCACACATGTCAAAGAAGCATGATGAGTGAACAAATTCTTCCAAAAAAAAAAAAAAACCCTTAGGACAATCATATTAATTTGTTTTTACAAACTAAATCATAAAACTCGGAAACCAAAAGTGACTCAAGTGATAATACAACTTTACCTTCATTTTATAGAGAAGGGGAAGTAACTAGCAAGAAGAGTATTTGCCAAAGTTGATACAAACACTGAATAACAATGCCCAGATTAGAATCTAATTCCTCAGACTCTGTAAGTCGTGCTTTATTTCATATCATTTGATACTTCCATCTAATATTACACTGGGTTCCAAAAATGCCCTTGGAGACTGGAAAACTTAGAGTGGTTTGTGCCATGTGAAATGGCCTCTGTCTGCTTTCTTTACTTATTTATTTATTTGCTCTTTTTCTCACAGAGATTTTATTTTTCTTAAGACTGTTGTGGGGTGGGGGGAGGGTGGAGGGATAGCATTGGGAGATATACTTAATGCTAGATGACGAGTTAGTGGGTGCAGCGCACCAGCATGGCACATGTATACATGTGTAACTAACCTGCACATTGTGCACATGTACCCTAAAACTTAAAGTATAATAATAATAAATTAAAAAAAAAAGATAAGACTGCCAGGGATCACTTTTTCTACTTTACGTGTAACCCTTCCACTGAGACATATTTAATGCTACAAACTATAATCTGCTATAAACTGAAAGCAGGTAGGTCCCTGGCATTGTTAGAATTCTCTGTAAATTGGGACCAAATAGACATTGCTTAATGGCCCAAGGAACATTATGATGAGGCAGATGCGCTAAATTTTGACTCTTACCTATCTCTTACAACTTTATTTTACAAATTCTTGGCTTAATACTGTGCTCTACTATAGTAGAGGGGATCCAGGGAAGCAGCCTTCAAATAAGCAATGCCTCATTCCAAAAATAGCTTGAGATATTATTTCAAACAATAGAAAAGGATAATGTTCAGAGATGATTTGGTTGTAAGGAAAATTTATGTCATCTCTTTAGCCCTAGAACTTATGCTAAACTTACTGGCTAAAACTTTAAAACTAAATTTGGTATAAGATTCCACAATTTACAGGTAATTTATGCCGCTCTGCTAATCCTCCAGCATGTTAAATTTAGAAATAAATCTTTGAGGCCAGGTGCCGTGGTTCAAGCCTGTAATCCCAGCACTTTGGGAGGCCAAGGCGGGTGGATTGCTTGAGGTCAGGAATTTGAGTCCAGACTGGCCAATGTGGTGAAACCTCTCGTCTCCACTAAAAAGACTAAAAAAAAAAAAAAGGCAGGTGTGGTGGTGTGCACCTGTATTCCAGTTATAACATGGAATAATATTATTCAGTTATTCAGGAGGCTGAGGCAGGAGAATCACTTGAACTTGGGAGGCAGAGGTTGCAGTGAGCCAAGATTGCACCACTGCATTCCAGCCTGGGCAACAGAATGAGACCCTGTCAAAAAAAAAAAAAAAAAAAAGAAAAGAAAAGAAATAATTTTTTGAGAAATAATTTTAATAAAGTAAAAATATTTTGTCTTGATTACTAGAATGGTGTTTTGAAAATTTCATAAACAGGTTCACTTTCAGATTTTTTATATCAATGTTATATAAATGAATTAATACCCATCACTTAATCCATCAGTTATTAAATTTTTGTTAAGTGCCCAGATGTGTCTAACACCTTGATAAATTGAGAATATATAAATATTAATGGGACATGTTTGTCTTTGTGCAATATCTCATTTTCTCTTCAGTTGGCCCTATGATCTAGGAAGTGCCTTTATTTTTATTAGTATAATACAGATAAAGCAACCGTGTCTAGACACATTAATAATGTAAGTGATTTGCCAAAATCCCTACACTACAGAACTTGATATGATTCCTATTATTTCTAATTCCCAATATAGGCTTTGTTTCTACTATATTAGAAGTTAACATTCCTCAGCATCCTTTCAGCTGTAATTCTCAAACTGGATTTCTGTATTTCAGAAAGCACTCAGAATTCCTGAGCAACAAGAAACCAACAGATTATTTTTGGCCAAAGTGTGACTTGGTAGATCTTTCTTTTTTGGGGGGCAGTGGGGGGACAGAGTTTTTTTGTTGCCGAGGCTGGAGTGCAATGGCATAATCTCGGCTCACGGCAACCTCTGCTTCCCCGGTTCCAGCAATTCTCCTCTCTCAGCCTCCGAAGTAGCTGGGATTACAGGCATGCACCACCACGCAAAACTAATTTTGTATTTTTAGCAGAGATGGGGTTTCACCATGTTGGTCAGGCTGGTCTCAAATTCCTTACCTCAGGTAATCCACCCGCCTCAGCCCCCCAAAGTGTTGGGATTACAGGCCTGAGCCACTACGCCTGGGCCGATTTTGTAGATCTTTCTATGATGATGGAACTGTTCTATATCTGCACTGTCTAATGCATTATCCACTAGCCACATATGACTATTGAGCACTTGAAATGTGGCTAATTCACCCAAGCAAGTGAACTATTAATTGCATTTAATTTTAATTATTTTGTTTGTAAATTTAAGTAGCTACATGTGGGTAATGGACCCCTTAAGAGGCAGCACAATATAAGCATCAGTTTTAGTAAAGAATCATAGAAGAACGAAGAAAGTACCTACTTTTATACAAAACAATTGGATAAATTACAGCACAGGCTAAGCACATTGAATTAATGTTCAACTTTAAAGCCAGAACGTCAAAGCAGGTTCTTTCTTGCTGCTGCTTTAACTAGTCCCCAGGTTCATGAGGACTCTCCTTTGACCTTTAAGGTAGTTGGATGAAAATGTTTAAGGAAAGTTGGATAAAATGAGAATTAGATTTCCCTATATATAAATTTGATCTCTTACTCTTCTTAATTAACAGCAAGTATATTCAGAAATCATAGAATTATAGATTCATTGGGTCAAAATAAGTGGGGCAAGATTAAAACTTGGACATTATCAAGTTCAGTGGCCTTATATTTTAGAAGTAGAATGCCAAGCTCAGAGAAGTTATTGACTTTCTCAAGTCGATGCAGCTAGTAAGTTTCAAAGTCAAGTTGAGAGGTCAGGTTTCCAAGCTCTCAAACCAGAACTTTTTAGATTATTCCCAGCACTTTACTGCTTGTCACACCCAGTTAGGCTTATCCTCAATAATACTTTCAAAAAAATAAAAGGCACACTCATCCGTCGTCTTTCTTTTATATGTTATGGCAGCTGAGTACAGCAATGCGGAACCTTTAAAATGTGAAATGTTTTAAGTATTCTCCCTACCACCAATAAAAAGAATCAATAGTGTATGTAGATCCCCCAACCCATGAGTGGGACTTCCTTGCTATAAGCCCACTTCCACTTCCATTTTTACTGTGGGAAGTTCAGAAGTCTCATTAGAACTCAGAGAACACTTCTGAAATTTCTGCACAGACTGTTTTACAGCATCTTTGCAGACATTAGGAAATAAAAGTGATCATTAGCAGATGTGATTTAGCTACTTTAGAAACGGGAGCCATGTTGTTTATGTTGCTTACTTGATGGGCATGTCTCGAGGCCATTGCCTTGAATTTCTGAGATAATATTTCTAATAAAGATTACCATAGTATCTGTCCCTAAAACATGAGACCTAAAGTTAAGGGTGCATTTCTCTGTAAAAGGGCATGTTTTTAAAAATGAAACTATCACAAACACAGATAACTTAATGTTCATTTCACAGGAAAGACAGCATTAACACCTTGTTCCACCCCATCTTATTTCCTTTCAAAATATCAAAATGTCTTTGTATACAAGAAGGCAGGAAATGATCTAGTACCATATTCACAGGCTAATTGTTCCTTTGGCTTCTTTTATCAACCTAGGTACCAGTTTTTATATTCCATGGCTATTAGGATAAAATTAAATATTACCCTTTGTTCCACTTCCAACCTAGTTCTTTATTTTGGCAAAGCAAAATATTCAAAATACTCATTGGTATCTAAGCTAATACACAGGATAGGGCTGTCAAATCAGGCTCAAACATATCAGAGATTTTATCTGGGGTCAAACTTTACCAATAATCCCAGGGATACAGTCAATAAAGAGGCTCAGGCACAGAAGGCAGATGCCCGGGACATAAGAAAACCTCCCTTGATGTGTCTTCCCATGTTAGACCTACACTGTCTGGTCAAGGATAAGAGAGAGAATCTCCAGGTGAGGATTTAAAGGTCATTATTGAACACAATGAGAAGCATTTGTGTTATGATACATCTTCCATTTTATACTTCAGAAAGTTGTATCACTTATGTTACTTTTCCCAGGGAGTCAGGCCTCATAGTTTTTTGTTTTGTGTTGTGTTGTTTTGTTTTGCACTATTAGTAAATCTTTGGTAAGGGAAAACCTTGCTAAGTGCACTCACTAGATGAAGCCTCTACTATCAAGCCAATGTTGTCTCTTTATCCAGAGATAAAGAGTGGTCCAGTTGACAAGAAGAGTAGACCAGGTCACCTGTCTTCTTTCTCTTCACCTACTCCAGGGAACTAAAGCAAGTGAATGGCTCACAGGTTAACTCTTTTAACTCCCTCCTGCCGTGGCTGAGAAAAGCAAGGTACATGGAATACTATAACGAATATTTTTACTCAGAGCTCTATGTCAGAATCACCTACACATTTAAAAAATATCACCTATCAGTACCTAATAGCCAGACATTATAATTAGATGGGTCTCCAATGGGACCAGTTCTTTTTTTTTTAATGTGACATTTTAAAACTACCATAAAATCTAGGAAATAAATCAGCACTCACCCATCTTTTGACCCCAGTCTAATCTTAATGTATTCTCAGTTGACCAAAATCATTATGAATCTCGCCTTGACAGACACTGTGCTCTTGGAAAACTATCTGAGTACGAAAGTGGTCACTTTGCTCCAGTACTTCAAATGCATCACAAAGTCAAGCGTAAATCCAAGGACAAATTCCAAGGCCTGTGTTGTACAAAGACACTGTTAATACTGTCTAATGATGCACTTATTTTATTCCAGGTAGACAGAAAATATAGACTTGAGCTTGAGCCCCTAGGATTTGAGAATGCGTTCCAAGAGTCACAAAGATGTGCCGAAAAGATGGACTGTGTACAGAAGAATGGAGAGGTGAGAAGTCAGCTAAGCAAGGAATAATCTTGTCCACCCTTCATTCTGATTAAATCAACAAACAGTCACAGTTTGATCAATTTGTTTATTGGGCATTCATATCAGAATGTATTTAAGCAATATCTAACTATGTCAGGACTAAAGTACTTGGTATGAAACAGGGCCCATTTTAGATTACTTTAAACACTAACTATGTGCATCTCCTTTACTAGTCAGGGTTCCCCAAAGAAATAAAAGCAATAGGCTTTTTCATATAAATACATAAACAACTGTCTGTGTATATATATACGAGAGAGAGAGAGAGAGGGAAGGAGGGAGAGAGGGAGAGAAAGAAGAGGGAGAAATGGAGAGAGAAAAAGAAACAGGGGCTGCTAAGTTTGAAATTTGCAGGGCTGCTAGCAGCCTAGGAATTCCGACAGGAGTTGATATTGTAGTCATAATACTGGAGGCAGTCTGGAGACAGAGTTTATTACTCTTTGAGGACTGCAATCCTTTCTCTGAAGGTCTCCAACAGATTGGATGAGGCTCACCCACACTGTCCAGAGTAATCCACTTTACTCAAAGTCTACTGATTTGTTATTTACATCTTAAAAAGACTTTCACAACAACACCTAGACTAGTGTTTGACCAAGCACTTGGTATCATGGCGTAGGCAAGTTGACACATAAAACTAGCCATCCCGTCTCTTTTAATCCCTCCAACAACCCCTTGTAGTTAGTATTATAATGGTATAGTTCCTAACTAAAAATTTAGCAATTGAGGTATGCAAGTTACTATAAAGTTATGCAAGTTACTATAAAGTTATGCACGGTGTATTCACGAGGTTCCATGGGTTCCTACTTCTGCATAGGCTGTCAAGAGGCTTTACAGGTGAGGTGGCATTAATAAAGTCCTAAATGATTATAAGGAATTAAGCAGTAAGAGAGATGGAGGCCGCATACTTTAGCTATTAAAAAAAAAACCCTGCTTCTGAGTCTGATAGTGTGTGGTGTTTCTTAGAAATT
Organism: Homo sapiens; assembly: GCF_000001405.40. Lineage (NCBI taxonomy): Eukaryota > Metazoa > Chordata > Mammalia > Primates > Hominidae > Homo > Homo sapiens. The sequence continues at coordinate 14,155,825 of NC_000002.12, forward strand.
TTAACAGTTATACATATTGGGATACAAGACATGTTTTGGTGAGAAGGAGGTGGGAAGAGAGAAATAAATTAGGTCAGGACGAGTTTTCTATGCCATGTTAGTAAGTTTGGTATTTTTCAAATAGGAAAAAGATTTCCTTTGAAGTCTATTTCTAAAATATGATTATTGGAAGAAACAGTTATTTAGAAGGTGCAGCCATCTTTGTTCATCAAAGAATATCATGCTTGTAGCAACATAGAGTTTAAGATGGAGAGAGAAACCAGAGTTAGGGAATTAATTGGAAGGCTGTTGCAACATTCAACTTTTATTTTTTAATTTGAAAAATACAAAAGAGTAGAAGATGACTCTCAGTTTTCTGCCAGTGGCCTGCACATAAGGCAAATCTGCTAATGGAGATGAAGTTTACACAATGGACAGAAGTACTTTGGAGGAAAGGAAAATAAACTAACTTAGGTCATACTGAGTTCAAATTGCCTCTTGAAGATTCAGAAGACATCTACTAGAGAGGGGAATACACAGCTCTATTACTCAGGAGTGAGATCTAGGCAACAAATATAGGCTCTAAATATGTGGCAGAAATGATAAAAGATAATCTTTTATGAAACTGTGTTATCATAATGCCACCAGAGAGTAGAGAGTTAAATCTTGTATAAAAGAGTTGGAAAAGCTAACTTAATTTACCATGGATGCACTAGGTCTGCATACCAATGTCCTGGGAGCTGCTATATCAGCTATGCTTTGTCTAGCAGGAGAATTAAGTCTTCAGTGACAGGAAAATAGGTTAATATACTCAATTCCCCCCGGTTCATTTTAACCTTATTTGCCAACATATTTGCATTCTCTTTTTATAGAAACACTAGAACAAAGTTATCTTAAAAAGAGAAGAAAAAAACCAGTAATTTCTGGGGGAAAAGAAAATATCCACTACATTATCACAGCATAAGAGGAAAAAAAAAAGAACCAAGGTATTAGAGTCAGAGAAATAATAGTAATTATTAGACTATACCGGGAGACTTCCATGTCCCAGACTATGAAACATGCTATGTTATATGAGCATTCTATTTCTAAACACTTTACATGGATTCAATCATTTGCTCTTCACAATAGCCACATGACAAAATGACTGTGTTTATCCCCATCTCACAGATGAGGAGGGTGAAGCACAGATAATTTCACTCGACCAAGTTTATCTAACTAGGAATTGGTGGAATATTTTGCTTTATCATGAAATTTCACCAATTCCTAAAGAAGAAGCACAATTTATGGATTAATTTTCATTATTTCTTGATTAACTTTGGAGTAATAAAATGGGAAAATGTGGTAGGAGAAGATACCAGTTGAATCCCAACTGAGTCATATTCCCACTATGTGACAGGATTCATCACCCTATGGAGTCTCAAGGTTCTCATTTCTAAAATATATGGCAGCTTCTATGAGATGTTAGTTATAAAATGGTACATGATATTGAGGAAGTGCTCAATATACATTTATACCATATTTTTAATATTTCTTTTTAAAAAAACTCTTTGATTCAAGATTCCTGGATATATTCTGTGTACTCCATGCAGTTGTATATAAATATGCATGTACACATGTACTTCCACTTATCTAATAAAAAGGACCATTCCAGGATCTTTCTATTAATAAGATTAAAAAAGAGAGAAAAAGATATAATCCTGTAGCATTATATTTTTAACAAGACATGTGACCAAATACTCTGAAGATATTTTAAAGTACAAGAAATCTCCTGAATTATTTGAATTCAACTTCATGGGAAATAATTTTAGATGTAAAATTTACATTGCAGATGTAAATAATAATAGCAAAAAGCACTATAAGCTGTAGTAATAACTGATAATTTTCTGAAAATTTGTGTTTATATGTGTCTGTGAAAGAGAAAATAAGAGTGTGGGGAAGAGAGAGAGAGAGAAATCATTACAAGTGTCTTTCAAGTTATTAAACTCAAGGAAATTATTCAATTTTCAACCTAATTGGTAGCATCCTGAATTGTTGAGGGAGTTTTATATTTTGTGTTTGATTCTGTACATGCCTGAACAAATTTATGAATTGTCATTTCTATTATAAATCAAAATAAAGTTGGTCCTGTTTTATGGGAAATGAGTGCAGTGTGTGCTGTTTCTTTATGGCCTTTATATTTCTGGCTGGCCAAAAGCATCTCTTATTTCATGCCATACAGCTGTCAGCCTAGAAAGAACTGAGAAGAAGAATGACAGAATAAATGTGCATTGCATCTGGCCTTTGTGTCCTTTTGCTAGAAAAGTTGAACCTGGGTTGAAATCTCTTCTCTTTTTGTAATGAAGAGCTCAAAATGTGTCTTTTTACAACAGCAATACCCCAGACATCCTCTTTAGAGAAAAGCCATTTCTTCTAGAGTGGCTCTACCCTTGAGAGAATAAAAAAAGAGTCCAAAGAATTAGATGCTGATGAAAGTTAAAAATAAATCAGGGAAAACTTTGAAAAACTAGAGAAAAAATCCAGAAAGCACCGAACTAAGATTGAGAAACTGTTCTCCTCATTTACCTGTTTTCAAATTTAAAATATCATAAATCTGAAAAGATGAAGAGAGTTTGCCTAGTTTCATAGCTTACAAATTGATACCGGAAGCATTGTTTCACAAATGTTTTTTAAAAATGGATTTTTTTGCCTAGGTTTTCTTCTAGGGTTTTTATGGTTTTAGGTCTAACATTTAAGTCTTTAATCCATCTTGAATTAATTTTGTATAAGGTGTAAGGAAGGGATCCAGTTTCAGCTTTCTACATATGGCTAGCCAGTTTTCCCAGCACCATTTATTAAAAAAGGGAATCCTTTCCCCATTTCTTGTTTTTGTCAGGTTTGTCAAAGATCAGATGGTTGCAGATGTGTGGTATTATTTCTGAGGGCTCTATTCTGTTCCATTGGTCTATATCTCCGTTTTGGTACAAATACCATGCTGTTTTTGGTTACTGTAGCCCTGTAGTATAGTTTGAAGTCAGGTAGCGTGATGCCTCCAGCTTTGTTCTTTTGGCTTAGGATTGTCTTGGCGATGTGGGCTCTTTTTTGGTTCCATATGAAATTTAAAGTAGTTTTTTCCAATTCTGTGAAGAAAGTCATTGGTAGCTTGATGGGGATGGCGTTGAATCTATAAATAACCTTGGGCAGTATAGCCATTTTCACAATATTGATTCTTCCTATCCATGAGCATGGAACGTTCTTCCATTTGTTTGTGTCCTCTTTTATTTTGTTGAGCAGTGGTTCATAGTTCTCCTGAAGAGGTCCTTCATATCCCTTGTAAGTTGGATTCCTAGGTATTTTATTCTCTTTGTAGCAAATGTGAATGGAGTTCACTCATGATTTGGCTCTCTGTTTGTCTGTTATTGGTGTATAGCAAGGCTTGTGATTTGTGCACATTGATTTTGTATCCTGAGACTTTGCTGAAGTTGCTTATCAGCTTAAGGAGATTATCGGCTGAGACGATGGGGTTTTCTAAATATAGAATCATGTCATCTGCAAACAGGGACAATTTGACTTCCTCTTTTCCTAATTGAATACCCTTTATTTCTTTCTCTTGCCTGATTGTCCTGGCCAGAATGTCCAACACTAGATTGAATAGGAGTGGTGAGAGAGGGCATCCCTGTCTTGTGCCAGTTTTCAAAGGGAATGCTTCCAGTTTTTGCCCATTCAGTATAATATTGGCTATGGGTTTGTCATAAATAGCTCTTATTATTTTGAGATATGTCCCATCAATACGTAGTTTATTGAGAGTTTTTAGCATGAAGGGCTGTTGAATTTTGTTGAAGGCCTTTTCTGCATGTATTGAGATAATCATGTGGTTTTTGTCTTTGGTTCTATTTATATGATGGATTATGTTTATTGATTTGCATATGTTGAACCAGCTACACAGCAAAAGCAACTACCATCAGAGTGAACAGGCAACCTACAGAATGGGAGAACATTTTTACAATCTACCCATCTGACAAAGGGCTAATATCCAGAATCTACAAAGAACTTAAACAAATTTACAAGAAAAAATCAAACAACCCCATCAAAAAGTGGGTGAAGGATATGAACAGACACTTCTCAAAAGAAGACATTTATGCAGCCAACAGACACATGAAAAAATGCTCATCATCACTGGCCGTCAGAGAAATGCAAATCAAAACCAAAATGCGACACCATCTCATCAGTTAGAATGGCGGTCATTCAAAAGTCAGGAAACAATAGGTGCTGGAGAGGATGTGGAGAAATAGGAATGCTTTTACACTGTTGGTGGGACTGTAAACTAGTTCAACCATTGTGGAAGACAGTGTGGGGATTCCTCAAGGATCTAGAACTAGAGATACCATTTTACCCAGCCATCCCATTACTGAGTATATACCCAAAGGATTATAAATCATGCTGCTGTAAAGATACATGCACATGCATGTTTATTGCGGCACTATTCACAAGAGCAAAGACTTAGAACCAACCCAAATGTCTATCAATGATAGACTGGATTAAGAAAATGTGGCACATATACACCATGGAATACTAAACAGCCATAAAAAAGATGAGTTCATGTCCTTTGTAGGGACATGGATGAAGCTAGAAACCATCATTCTGAGCAAACTATCGCAAGGACAGAAAACCAAACACCGCATGTTCTCACTCATAGGTGGGAATTGAACAATCAGAACACTTGGACACAGGGTGGGGAACATCACACACTGGGGCCTGTTGTGGGGTGGGGGGAGAGGGGAGGGATAGCATTAGGAGATATACCTAATGTAAATGATGAGTTAATGGGTGCAGCACATCAACATGGCACATGTATACATATGTAACAAATCTGCATGTTGTGCACATGTACCCTAAAACTTAAAGTATAATAAAAAAAATTAAAAATGGATTTTTTCCCAAAGAGCCCTACATTACTTCCCAATATTTAAAAATATATATAATTAAAATTTTGTGTGTGTGTATATATATAAAATTAAAATTTTACTTTGAGTAAAATAATAACATGGTATTCCATGAGATCAGTCTCCATTTTCATCCTCAGCTTGGGGCTTTGAGTCAATTTTTTTAAAATTTTGTTTTTCTTTTCTAAACCCAGTTTGAAAAATCACCTATTGTCTTAGTCTATTTCTGCTGCTGTAACAAAATATCTGGGCCTGGGTAATGTATAAAGAAAATACATTTATTTTCTCAAAATTCTGGAGGCTGAGAAATTCAGAATCAAAGTGTTGGCATGCAGTGTCTTGTGAGGACCTTCTTGCTGTTCCTCTAGAAGGAAGAAACACTGTGTCCTCAAATGGCTGAAGAGCAAGTTAGCTGAATACTGCTTCAAGCTTCTGTTATAAGGACCTTAATTCTATTCATTAAGGAGGAGCCATCATAACTTAATCATGGTGGCTTAAAGGCTCTACCTCTTAATATGATCACACTGGCAACACCTAAATTTTGGTGGGGACAAATTCAAACCATAGAATTCATTTAGTACAAAGTCTCTCATCAAGTTGTTATTAACACTAATATGCTGATTGAGAGAAATCTTTAGATTTCAGGAAATATTTAGATTTCAGCAATACCTTATATAGAAATACTGGCAAAAGACTGGTCTGCCTCTGTTCTAATACCAACAAGACAATATTTAATAGCTGTGTTTCATTAGTGAAAAGTTTTAATCCTTAGAAAGCTCTGGTATTGAATTCAAATAAATTTTCACGTCACAAACTCTAAATTTTGCCTTGTGAAAAGAAAATGAATGCTTATTTTTCCAAATTTTGAAATCTTCTCAGTTCTAGAACTCTCCCTATGCTTAGTTTTCAGAATTATATCTATGTTGGTCCCACGTCTCAGAATTATATTTACTGTATTTATATATTTTTAAAAATGTCATCAGAAATATTTTTAAAATGTAATAAGAGCTGTTTTTATTTAACTTTGTTCATATAATTTTAAAGAAATTATATAGGGGTGATATAAATACTTAACAAATTTCTAAAGAATTTAACAGAATTTATTACATTTGAATTATTAATATTATACCTTATATTGATATATTAAAGCACTCTCACATATGTTATTTATTTTTCCTTTAATCCTTTGAAAAAAGGTAATATCTACATTTGCCAAGTTACAAAAAAAGCTGTTCAAAGCAGAAGGCAGTCAAGTCACTATTTCAGCAATAATGATGTAGTATCAAGCCTAGAAATAGAATGTTAACTAATATTCTTTCAAGTATATCTATTCAAGATGTGTAGACCTCAGATGGCTGCTATTTAGTATATATAACAGTTATTTAGTAAATAGCAGCTATTTGAGAATTAGGAAGAATTGGGTATTCAATAGGATGGTAGATTTGAACAAACAAGAGAAATAATTAGTAAACATGAATACAGATTGATACAGATTATGTAATCTAAAGAATGGAGAGAAGGTAGAGGGAATGGAGATGCATGGAGCCTCAGGGAAATGTGGGACACCATTAAGTGCACCAAATATGCAGAATGAGAGCACCGGAAGAAGGTGAAGGAGAGAAAGCATTAGGAAAAAATATATATATGTATGTATTTGAAAAATAATGGCTGAAAACTTATCAAATTTATTTTTTAAAATTCAATCTACATATCCAAGAAGCTCAACAAAATCCAAATAGGATAGCACAAATAGATATACAAAGAGGTATATCATAAGATGCTGAAAGTTAAATACAAGGAAAAACTCCGAAAGCAGCAAGAGAAAAAGGACTCAGCACTAGAAGGTGGTGGAATAACATATTCTTAGAGCTCAAGGGAAAAAAATTGACGAACAATTCTATATCCAGCAAAGCTATCTATGAAAAGTAAAGATAAAAGACTTTCCTAAAAAAGAAAAAAATAGAGACTTTATTGCTTTGAGACCTGCCTTACAAGAAATACTAAGAAACTTCTTCAGGCTAAAAGCAAATGACCCACACATGGTAAATCATCCACATGAAAAAGCAAAGGGCACTGGAAAAGGCAATTCTGTCATTTTTTTCTGTCTTTTTTTCTCCTAACTGATTTTACAAAGGTAGTCATAGAAAATAAAATAATACAATATATTGCTGGCTGTATTAGTTCTCATGCTGCTAATAAAGACATACCCAAGACTGGGTAATTTATAAAGAAAAAGAGGTTTAATGGACTCACCACTCCACATAACTGGGGATGCATCTCACAATCGTGGCAGAAGGCAAAGGAGGAGAAAGGCATGTCTTACATGGTGGCAGGCAAACGAGAGCTTGTGCAGGGGAACTCCCATTTATAAAACCGTCAGATCTCATGAGACTTATTCACTACCGCAAGGACAGTGTGGAGGAAACTTCCCCTATGATTCAATCATCTCCACCTGGCCCCATCTTTGACATGTGGAGATTATTACAATTGAAGGTGACATTTGGGTGGGGACACAGCCAAACCATATCATTGCTCATGTAACATATGGAAATATAATGTGTGTAATATAGTTGCCATTAAGATCAAAGTTGTTTTGGGTTAAGGGAATGATGCCAGAGGTTAACTGAAATCCATGGAAACAAAGAAAACCAAAGATGAAAAATAGGAGGATTAATATAACAAAAGCTGTAAATATATATTTGTTAGTCATTCTTCTTTCAGCTTCCTTAGAAGACATAAAATTACACATAGTAATCAATATAACAATGTATTGTTGGCTTTGTTGCATGCCGAAGTTTAATATGAATAACAATAATATGAGGAAAAAAGGCAAAGAGTCATGTTTGTATGCATAAGTTGACATTACTACAAACCAACTAGACCCCAGAGACATCTGTAGAACATGCCACTCCACAACAGAGAAACATTCTAATCTCAGTCATATTTTCTCTCTGTCTCCCTCAAAGTATGCAGAAACTTAACGTTTATGTTTTTTTTTTTATAATTTCAACTTTTATTTTAGATTCAGGGAGTACATGTGCAGGTTTGTTACATGAGTAGGACGTGTGATTCTTAGGCTGGGAGTACGATTGATCCGGTCACTCAGGTGCTGAGCTTAAATTCCAATAGTGTTTCAACCCTTGCCCCCCACCTTCTCTCCCTGCTTTAGTAGTCCCGTGGTGATTGTTGTCATCTTTACGTCCATGTGTACCCAATGTTTTTATATGTGAACATGTAGTATTTGGTTTTCTGTTCCTGCATTAATTGGCTTAGGATAATAGTCTAGCCTCCAGCGGCATCCATGTTGCTGCAAAGGACGTTATTTTATTCTCTTTCATGGCTACATGGTATTCCATGGTGTATATGTGACACATTTTCTTTAACCAATCCACTGTTGATGGGCACCTAGGCTGATTCTATGTGTTTGCCATTATGAATAGTGCTGCATGTATCTTTTTGATAGAATAATTTATTTTATTTTGGGTATAAACCCAGTAATGAGATTGCTGGGTCAAATGTAGTTCTAAGTTCTTTGAGAAATCTCCAAACTGCTTTCCACAATGACTGACACTAACAGTATATAAGTGTTTCCTTTTCTCCATAACCTTACCAGCATCTATTGTTTTTTTGTTTTTTCACTTTTTAATAATAAGGATGCAAGAAGTTTACACCAGTTTCATTCAGCGAGTCCAAATCTAGTTTCCTAAAACACATGGGGATATGTGGACCTTCTTTACCCCACGGCAGCTAAACTTCCAAGTACCTCCATCTGCCTTTGAACGGAACAGCCAAGTGATTTATGACATGTCACTTACCACTAAGTTTTTTATCCCCAGATATGATATTTTATCCCTGATAAGGGCCATGCATTTAAGAGTAATATTATCACTTTTACTGTGATTAGATTAAGTTGGAAATGAAACCAAGAAATTAAAAAATTTATAGTGCCATCTTTCCCACAACTCTCCTCCATAAATCAATGCTCCCAAACACACACATTAACTTTTAGCAAATAACAGATATGTTATTAATATTTTTCTTATAAAATCTCAACTTGAAATTAACATTTCAGGTTGTTTTGAAGGTTCATGCACCAAATGTATTTAATCAAGTGTACATTCTGCCATGATTCAGTGCTCAAGTAGACCATGTAAACAATACTATTTCAGCATGGAACATAATTACACTGTCGAATTCAAAACATTCTAATACTGCAATAGTCTCAGCACCGAAAGCTCTATTATATAAATTTCTTCATGCATCTGTCTCCACCGTTTAGAATGTCAGGCCTCTAAAACCAAGGAACATATCTTATGTAAGCTCACACATTAAGCAGAACTTGTTATATTTAATTCAAATTGGTTAAATATATGTAGATGTACACAAAAAGGACAATGTGTATATCCTCTACACTATAACAATAGAACAATGCTGATGGATAAAAATCTTAAAGTTTTGTGAATAGTATTACCTGGAAAGAGAAATTATTAACTGCTTAGGTATTAGAATTTAAAAAAATTAATTTCTGATCTTCCAGAATTATCAAAATGATCACTGAGACCTCCAGGTTACTCAGCAAAGGCAGCACTGCTTCTTTGGAACCCATAACCATGGAAATGCTTTGACAGCCTCTCTTAAACTCCCACCAAGACAGTGAGTATCCAGACAACATCTTCAATGAGAAACTTTTCTTGATAATTCTGGAAGTGGTTCTACTGTGTTCTGGAAAGACCCCAAGTATACCTCTATCAGACCACTTACCAGGACATATACTAGTTTTCTTAATGTTTTTCTTTTGTAGTTGACACTAGTTTTCCCTGTAAACTATCGGTTGGGGAGAAAAAAATAAATTATTTTTCTACTCTGAAAATGTAGCTTTCTCAGGGCCATTATAGAAGAGGTCAACAATTATTTATGGTATTAAACAGAATACGTTCTGATCCCAGCTCATTCACATAATTCATCTACAGTGCCACTAGACGATATTACATGTGCATTTGTGTCCATTGGGTGTGCACATACAGGGCTGTATAGACATAGAGATGACACTAGAAGTTAAGAAGTATTCAAAGCCATGGTATGTGTCCATCATTATTTGCTATCTGCACTGCATTACACTAGTCACATTAGATCTCACAATGGCCACTGTAATTTGTCCACAATTTCACAGAAATATTTATAATCTCACTAGAAGACGTTTTGATACACGGTTTGATTCGGGTACTTATATTTTGATACGTTTGTTAGAAAGACCCATTACACTGAAGTCACACTTCAGAGAAATAAGCTTCATTTGGCTTTCATTTGCAGTTAGAAACCTCAGAAAAAACTACTGAAAATATTTTCAAGACAAAGTAGAATAGACTCAAATTAGTCATATCAACTTTTTATGGGTTCATAGTGCCCATCTGTGGAAAATTATGGCCCATAAGAAATGAAAATGAGTTAGTTATAGAGTAAAGGGATACTAATCAAATATTCCAAAAATAAGAGCAAAATCTCTGAGCATTAATTTATTTACAGCATGAATAATTTAATATCCACCTTAGATTTAATTACAAGTCATGGTCAATTAACTAATTTAGTAACAATGTGCAAATAATGGATAATTTCTGTGCACAAGATAAGACTTTAAGAATTAATGTAATATCAAAGGAATTTTAAATAATGGACTGTTTTTCAAACATTTCTGACAACAAAATATATTATGAGAATGTAGAATAAATTTTTTGTCTTTTTTAACTTTGTAACTTGGGTTGAATATAAATATTGTCCATAGAATTTTCTTATACATTCTGCAAAACGTTAGAGCAATAAGTTCATTTGTCTAAATTGTATTTTGTTGTAACTATCTATTTACATAATAAAGAAAGCCAATATTCGACTTACACTCTACAAAACACTGTTCTGAGTGCTTTTCTTTATAAATTCATTAAATTCCTACACTAACACATTAATATATGTATTATTCTAGTATTAATTCAGTTTGCAGCTCAGAAACTGAGGCATAGAGAAGATACAAATGTGCCCATGAAATAAAAGGCTGGTGCAAACTCAGTCTGACTTTAAGGACTGCCATTGAAAATGTCAGACTACATAGAGCTCAGCTTAACACCTGTACTTAGAATAGATATACTACTACTAATAATAAAATGATAATATGCTGATTAACATTAAGAGATACTTTCAGATGGGCAGTCACTGTAATGGGCAATTATCACTCTAATGAAGAACTAAGCTGTCCATTTTGAAACTTCATTATTTCCTAAGCGGAACTCAGGGCACCTGGGAAAGATCTCTGCTTAGCTGAGTATGAATCTCTGACCTCTAATAAATACAAGTGCTAATTTCTTTGTCTATGCAGCAATTGGAGCAAGGAACGTTTAGAAAGTTAGTAAGACCAAAATTTGAATCCTGGTATTATCACTTGGTAACTTTGAAATTTATGTAGAACTGTTTTTTTAAATACCTATCTGCTTCAATCTTATTCTGCTAAGTGGGGATAATGATACCTAATTTATAGTGTGAAAATTACGTGAATCGCATAAGTAACTCTGCCTGGTATGGGATCTAGCTGTATACATTTTAATTTGGTGTTCAATATAATTTAGTCTTCTCCACACACAAAGAAAATATTTGGGGAAGATAAACAAGATTTTTGCTTTGCTCTTTACATCTTGCAATTATGAAAATATTATAAAATGCAATTATTTGCCACAATAGGAAAAGACAGTTGTGGCTGAATTTTTAACACTATTTTGATTTTCAATATGGTTTTGTTACATAGTTTATACAATAAATTAAAATGAGTAAAAAATCGTTTTCTTATTTGTTGGTTTAGTTTTTATCCTTTTAAAATTAATACTTAATCCATTTAGAAAAAATCAATGGGTTGCTACTGAAAAAAGAAAGTGCCTATTAAATGCTCATTTGAACCACAGCTTCAAAGCAGAATTGAGTTAATTTGGTAGTTAATTCTTTTTTTTAATCTATGTTACTCCTCAAGGCACTTTATAACTAAGAACTGAGTATTTTGTGGAAGCTTTTTTGTCCATAATAAGTAAATATATCTCTTATGCTTTCAACATAACTGTAGCTAAGAGCAGTTTGCCCAGTCATTCCCTCTAATAACTCGTGTCCCAGTAAACTAATCCCAAGAGCCTGCAGGAGAGAAAATGTGTCTCAGTGGCATTACTGAGCCTTGGGGGAATTCTTAGTGAGGAGGCCCCTGATTCCTGCTGAAAATACCTGCCTTCCCTATAGAACAAAATTACAAGTCCTGAAAAGAAATGTGCTACATGCTAGATTGAATTTCTTCATCATTGCATATATCGTTAACGGATGTTTTTGCCAAGATGGCAAGTAGAAAATCAAATACCATGTATTGAACCATAAAAGCACACTACCTTGGGCAATACCGTGTATTGGGGCACTTGTTCAGATAAATTCAATTAAAAATGTATGCACACACACATAGAGCAAGTAAGAGAGGGAAAGAGAGAGAGAATAAGAAGTATTTGTTTTTACTTCTAGAAAATGTGATTTTGGCTTTTTTTTCATAGGTTATGTGACTAATATCCAGGTTGATTGTTACATATAACTAGAACCCTAATTAGACTTTGTACATTCTAGTAAAGTTTACACCAAGAGAAGTCAGAAAATATATAATTCAGTTTAGAATAGAATTTAAGAACATGGGCTTTGGAGTAGAAACTATTAGGTGTGTGTCTCACTTTTTCTTTTATGAAGTATTTAAATATAGCAAATTATTCAACCTACATAAATCTCAACTTCATGATGTATACAATGGACATAATGATATCTCATAGTTTTCTTATAAAGATAAATCACATGATTATGTAATTAGCACAGTGTCTTTCATAGGATCAATATTCAATAATTATTAGCTATTCAATCGTAGAAGGAGAAATAGAAAACCTCCTTAGAGGTAATATAGCCTTTAAACTGATTGGGCCAGAGTGGTCATACAAAAATGTTAGGAAAGGCTTTCAAGAAAATAAAAGCAATATTGGCAAAGGCTAAGAGAAAAAGGTTTATGTTGAATGTATGCAAAATGTAAAGATTTTAATTAGGCTACATTGTTAGTGTATGAATTGTTTTGTTAACGTAATATGGCATATTGTTCTATCAGTTACCAAAAGACATTTTAAAATTCTTCAGTGTGATTCTGTATTTGCCTGTTTCTCATGCTCTTTCTATTTTGCCTTGTATATTTTGAGGTCGTGTTTTTAGAAGCATATATTTTAGTGTTTTTATATCTTCTTTTTTAGTTTAACCACCATCATTATATTATCTCTCATTGGAAGAGCTTTTCAATTGCATTATTCTTTACACATGCTGAACTATTAAACATGTCTCAGTAAATTTAGAAAGGATTGGAATCATACAAGCAAATGAACTCTGAAAAAAATTGAGTTAAACTAGAAATCAGTATTGAAAATATACCTGGAAAATTCCCAAATACTTAGAAAATAAGCCCCATACACTTAAGTAATCCACGAGTCAAAGCTATAGTCATTAGGTAAATTACAAAGATCAATTATACTCCTATATATTAGCAAACAATATTTGAAAGCTGAAAAATTTTAAAACCAAATCAATCACATAGAATTAATGGAAAAATATAAGGATAAATTAAATAAAATATGTGCACATTCTATACAAAGAAAATGACCAAAAAATTTTGATATACATAAATAAAATTAGAAATACGTCAAGTCCTTGGATCAGAAGACTCAATATTGTTGAGATGCCGACTTTCATGAAATTGATCTTTAGATCCAATATTATCTCAATTGAAATCTCAGCAGGCCTCTTTACAGAAACTGCCATGAAAAAGCAAAAAACACTGGCAAACCAAAACAGTTTCTCTATATCAAAGTTGGAGGACTTACATCATCTGATTTTAAGATGTATAGTTATATATTATCCACATATAATTGATGTAGAGATTAATGGAACTGAAAAAGAGTGCAGAAATAGATCCACACATACATGGTCTATTGATTTTCAAAGATGTTGCTGAAGTAATTTTATGTAAAACGACAGTCCCTTCAATAAATGGTACTTATACAATGGTACATTCATATAGATTTCAAAGAAATGAAGTAATACATAACGTATTTTCCAATTATAATACAATTATGCTAAAATCGAAGATTATAATTCAATGTTTGAAAATAGAAGCATAATTCTAAATAACCCTTCAGCCAAAGAAAATATTGGGCTTAGAATATTAATTTGAACCTTATTATAAGTTCTGTGGTAATGATCTACAGAAATAATTTAAAGAAAAAAGTTTTTAAGGCTGACCTGACAAAAAAAGAGTCTCTTCTTAAGACTGTATCCAATTAACACTTAAAACATCTTAAACATATGCTACGATATTTCATGTTTCTTTCATACTTTACTTTTCTCCTGATTGATACTAAATATTAAGAGTTTAGAATTAATATATCATGTCTGTAAAAGAGAAGGTTTAGTCTTTCAGTTCAGGAAAACATTTGATTGGTAGATAAAATCATTCCAGATAATCCTTCCTTTGGCAGATAATTGAGCATCTAGTAGATTTAGTTGGAGTCAAGGTTATTTTATACTTGAATATGGTGCTTACTGTATAACCTACAGAAAATGACTTAACTCATCTATATTTCAATGTATCCTTTCTAAAATTAGTATGATAGACTCTGCATGTTTTATAAGGTTATGTCTAACATAAATATGACTATAGGTGTGAAAAGACTTAGTGGTCTCAGAATAATGGTATACACATAAGCATTAATCATTTGCATAAAATCATCATATAAAAATAATGTGTGAATGTAAGTTAAAACAATTAGCTTTTATTGTGGAGTACTATGAACTAATAGAAATCAAAGCCATCCTGCTCCCATCCTTCCAATCCCTGGGGGCAATACTGTCCGATTTAATCTAATAACAAGGATAAGGGAGTTTCCTTAAGGAAAATTATAAAAGGTATATATTTTTAAACTTCCACAGAGATCTATATATATTTCATAAAATATTTATATCTACATTTTAGTAACTGTGTATTTACATGACACATATAGAAACATTAATATTTGATGTAAACTAAAATGGATTATAAAAATGAAACCATTAGAAGAAAGGCAACTACAAAGTATAGAAGAGAACACCAGGGAGCTACTGGAGCTGGTATCTAATGCAAATCTCTGCCTTCTATAGAGCCTCAGTGCCTGACAGTTCACAGGTTTTGAGAGATTGTTCAAGAATAATTGAATGAATAAACTTAATCTCATAAGATTGTTAGCAAAAACTCTTGTGACAAGCTTTAACTCCAAAAATGCCATACAGAGAACACGCACTCATTATGTGACGTTTGGAAAAAACCTATCTTATTTTATGGTTAGAATAATTTGATGATTCTAGAGCAGGCAGGTAGATACTCAAATAAGTAATCAAGTACAGAGAGAAGAGACATAGGGAGACATAAGGCAAAAATAATTTAAAATGGTCCCACAACAATGAGAGGCAAGAATATCCTAGGACCGACATATTTAGAAAATATTAATATTGCTGCAAACCATTAAAATTCCACTTTCCACTTAAGCATTCAGCAATGGATACAATGGTAACTAAATATTCAAGCTTAGAAAATGGTGATGGGTTAGATCTCGTTTTTTTCCCTACATGAAATTCACATATCTTGGAGGAGTTATGCTGATAATGGGAACTTTCAATGGAACAATTTCAGTACTGTGAAACAGTATGTGGGGCAAAAACCTATAAAAAAAAATAATGAAATAGAATATCTAGATTTCCAGTAATGTATCTGCATAAAAATAAACATATCTGAGTGAGGAATCTGCATATTTTCACCATGCTTTTTCCCCTTCTTTCTATGACATTAAAAGAACAAAAATTGGTGAATTAATCTGACATATATGTTATTAGAAATTCTAACAGATTTATACCAAAAATGTTGAAAATCAATGTGCAGAAGATCTTGACTTGGGCAAACATGATCTGTGTTCTTTCCTCCAAAACAGCTTTTCCAAAAATGTCATCTGTATCTGTCATAAGGATATAACTTGCATTTTTTAAAATTATCACTTACGTATTTTTATTTGCCATTTATTAGTGGCCCCTTCAAGAAATCTCCAAAAAAATCATATAATTTAATCTTTCTTTTTATCTTCTTTTTTCCATAGAGTAGTAAACATTTCTCCAAAATATGTCTACTGCAGAATTATATCATCATACATCTGTTTCACTGATCATAATAACACACTTTTCTCATACATTGAGAAATTTCTAAAATGTCCCATCTCACTGAACAGAATCTTCCACTTTAATCCATAAAAAAGTCACACTTTTAAGCAGATTGATGCTGATATCCTAAGGAAGCTTAAACTTAGAATAAGAGCAGAGTCATTGCTTCACTTTCTGATGGAAAGATGTGTGGGCTCTCTCATCATTTGATCTTTATAAAGTCTACGTGATAAACATAACAATTCAATCAAATTCATTAATTACTAGGCTATAAAATAATTTGGAACATTTGAAAAAGGATCATTTTTTCATTCATTTTGAAGTGTGTATTAAGTCATATAACACTGTTATAGCTACAATTTGAATATATAATGGTCTCATCGTCAAAAATCTCATACAATGGAAAAGAAGATACAGCAGTAACTTATGAAAGTTCTATTAAAAATAAAGTACTATGAAAAGGAGGAAGAATACATAGGGCAGTTCCCTTAAAAAACTTTCATGTTTGACCTAAAGCCAGAACATTTCGCAGCAGTTTACTCCATTCACTCTACATGTATACTGAATTAACTCTTTGGTTGATTATGAAAGTTAGATATCTGTTTAGACTATATATCCTCTTCATTGAACTAGCACATACTTTTAACAGATTTACAAATTACAGATAATGTACAATGTATATATACTTCATTTATTGCCACTGGGATACTTTATATATAAAAACTGTATCTTTATGATTCTGTGTGTAGGTGTATTACAAACCTCTTCCTAGTTTTAAAATTTAGATGGCAAATAGAATATGTAATGAAATAAAAATAAGTATTTATGGATATGGAAGTGAGAGAGAAAGAATGGTAGAGAAATAAAATAAAGCTAAATGTAAATAAATGGATATCATAAACTCTTATATAGCACAAAGATAGGCTATAAATGGCTTTAAATTCCCTAATAGCCACATCAAAGTGTCATGTGATCATTTAAAAGAACTATTATGTCTAGAAAGAAAACAAGACATAACAAGACAGAAATCTCAATTGCTCAGAAAAAGCATAAATGTACTTTTATCATGCATGTAGATTAAGTTATTTGTTATTAAACTAAAAGATGAATATTACCAATTTTGCAGATACTATTATTCTTCTATATACTAATGCGAGCATTTCCTGACTCACGTGTTCTAACTTAAATAGAAAATGTTTATTCATGTATACAACCATTCATTCAACACATATTAAAAGAATGGCCACTATGGTGCCAGGTGCTGTTCTATGCACTGAGGATACTTAAAGCTCCTGCTCCATTCTAATGAAAGAAAACAGACAATAAACAATCAAATAATTACATGTCAGGTAGTAAGAGAGATATAAATAAAAATAAATTAGATCAAGTGGAAAGAGAAAAACAGAGAAGAAAGTGTGTGGTAGAGCACATTATTATACTGGTCTGTTAGGGCTGACCTCACTGATAAGAGAACATTCGAATCAACAGGACAATTGAGACATATATGAGGAGAGAAAAAGCTACATAAATGTTTGGTTTCAACTGTTTCAAGCAGAGGTGAGATGTTAAAGAGATTTAGAACATTGACCAATGGCTGAGACAATACTATGTTCCAAGAGCTATAATGAGAATCTTATATATTATATGTAATTTATATTTCTCAGCACCCTCAGAGAAATGAACACTTACAATCTATTTTTATGGTGGAGAATACTGGTTCTTATAGAATGGGAGGAATATATCTGATAGAAATGATGAAGTAGATATCATATATACCTAATTCAGAAGCTGGTGATATCCTTTAGGCAGATAGCTGATTTTAAAAAAAAGGCTTTCAATACAGACAGCCTATCTATAGACAATTGTGTATGAAAATGCTTAAGATTGCCTAAAAAGCAAATTATTTGATTCATAACTGCAATGATACACACAAAAAGAGATAAAGCACATATCTCACACATCTCTCAATGGGTAGAGAAATAGAATGCTCATTTTAAAAATTAGAATAAAAACAGCTAGGTGAAAGCTACTACAGATGTGATTCAAATTAGAAGTGCTTATCCCTGTCATATGTCTTTTTAATCAATGTTGTATACCATTATTGCTATAGGCTGAAAGGTTCATTTTGTTACATATTATTTTGTAATTACAGGAGGGTTTTCTTTTCCTTGTCTTTGCTTTAAAAATTATTTTAGAATACGATGAAAATAATAAATTGGAATAGCACAACTTAAAATACCACATTGATTATTGACTTGGACTTAATTATTTTTACCGATTCTGTAGACAAATATATATATATATATAAAATATGTATTATATATGTATAGTGCATATGTATATACTATGTGTACAGATAGTGTATATACTATACATTATATATAGTATATATAATGTATATGTTATATGTAGTGTATATACATAATGTGTACATGTAGATATAATGCAGGTAAAAAAAACTAAGACTGATTTGATCTGAAAGTTATACTTTAGGAAAAAAAGTAGTCACTGACCATTTTTAAAGGACAAATTTTAGAGTTAAGAATCAGACCTAAAACAAATATTCGACAACCATAACACTCTGGCTCTACACATTCAGCTTAAAAGCAGGAATTATGTTGCCACTTCCGTGACTACTGTTCTTTTCAAAGAAAATGATCACTTTACCAGCATAGAGTAAATGTACAAAACTGCAATCAATATGTCCATGAAAAGAAGTATATGGAAAATTATAAACTTCATTGAAGACATAATTTTAAAACCTAAGGAAATGGAGAGTAACAATATCATTATGGATTATGAAATAGGAAGTTTCATTATTGAATATGAATTCTCACTAAATTCATAGTCTCCCCAAATTAATCTATAAATTCAATGCAATGGCAGGCAAAATTCCAACAGGAAATCTTATGAAACTAGAAAAGATAATCAAAATACTTACACAGCACAGCAGTGGGCAAGAATGCATGAGACAATTTTGCAGAATATAAGTGGAATGAATAACTTTTCTAATCCGATGTAAATATATATGATAACGCTATTAAGTTAGCGTAGTTGTTGGAAAGGGTTAGACACATTAAGCAATGAGGTAGAATAAAGAATTGAAAAGCAGACTCACTTATGTAAGGAAATAAAGAATAGGAAAGAAAATTCTGCAGATCATTGGTAGAGGAATAAATCAATAGTATTTTTGCTATCTAAATGAGAAAAAAAAATGTCCCTAACTTACACAGTACTGAAAAAATCAATTCCAGGTAGATTAGAGACAAAAGGTAAAGATTAAATACGTAAATATTTTTTAAAAAAATACATAAGAATATGTGTGGAACAGGCAGTTAATGAACTAGGAGAGTTGATCATTTGAAAGTGGCCATTGGATGGGAGAAAATTTTTGCAATTTACCCATCTGACAAAGGGCTGATATCCAGAATCTACAAAGAACTTAAAAAAATTTACAAGAAAAAAAATCAAACAACCCCATCAAAAAGTCGGCAAAGGATATGAACAGACACTTCCCAAAAGAAGACATTTATGCAGCCAACAGACACATGAAAAAATGCTCATCATCACTGGCCGTCAGAGAAATGCAAATCAAAGCCACAATGAGATACCATCTTACACCAGTTAGAATGGCGATACCATCTCACACCAGTTAGATTAGAACCAGTTAGAATGACCAGTTAAAAACTCAGGAAACAACAGGTGCTGGAGAGGATATGGAGAAATAGGAACGCTTTTACACTGTTGGTGGGAGTGTAAACCAGTTCAACCATTGTGGAAGACAGTGTGGTGATTCCTCAAGGATCTATAACCAGAAATATCATTTGACCCAGCGATCACATTACTGGGTATATACCCAAAGGATTATAAATCATGCTACTATAAAAACACATGCAGACGTATGTTTATTGTGGCACTACTCACAATAGCAAAGACTTGGAACCAACCCAAATGTCCATCAATGATAGACTGGATTAAGAAAATGTGGCACATATACACCATGGAATACTAGGCAGCCATAAAAAAGGATGAGTTCATGTCCTTTGTAGCAACATGGATGAAGCTGGAAACCATCATTCTGTGCAAACTACCACAAGGACAGAAAACCAAGCACTGCAGGTTCTCACTTATAAGTGGGAATTGAACAATGAGAACACTTGGACACAGGGCGGGGAACATCACACACCGGTGCCTGTCGTGGGGTCCGGGGATAGGGGAGGAATAGCATTAGGAGAAGAGAAATGCCTAATGTAAATGATGAGTTAATGGGAACAGCAAACCAACACGGCACATGTATACATATGCAACAAACCTGCACGTTGTGCACATGTACCCTAGAACTTGAAGTATAATTTAAAAAAATAATAAAATTAAAAATAAAAATAAAAATAAAAAAGAAAGTGGCCATTGGTGACTTGGGTTTGGATTATTGGGTTTCGGGCAACTGTGGTTTCTATGAACACACATATAAAACACACATATATTTATGTGAAATATAAAATCACAGTATAAATTTGGTTTAGTATCCCTCTTCTTTTTCACTTAGCACTATACTATGATATTTCCTGGGTATTTAAGTATTACTTGAAAAAATTATTTTAACAACTACTCTTATACTGCAACAAAATTTGTGTAATCAAACATTCTGGACAATGCTGTTACTTCCAGACTTTTACTATTATAAATTCTGTAGTGATGAGAGATTTTTATGTATAATTTTTTACTTTATCTATATTCGTTTCCGTAGAATGGACTCTTAGAAATGGATTGATAAATAGAATCATGCTTCAAGTTCTTGATCCATATTATTATTTTTAAAAATTTGTCCTAGTTTATAATTCAATCAACAACACATAAGAATTTCCTCAACTCAGCTCTACCAGACTTAGACATTCGTTTGTTTTTATTGTTGTTATGATTACGCTATGGGGTTGTTTATCAGTTTAAGAAAACAGATTGAAATTTTCTTTTGTGAAACCCACTTACATGTTAGTATTTTTGTGTTTTACAGTAATTTTACTCATTTGTTTCTATTTTTGCTCTTAAAACTTCATTGGTGTTACAAAATCCTCTCATTACTAACACCTATTAAATTTGCATTTTTTCTGAGAAATTTGATTTCTAGTGTTTCAAAATGTAGCTCTTAAGAAAATTTGAAATGTTTTTGATTCAAAGTGAGATAAAGACCAAGATATTTAAATTTTTGTTCAATATATAATCTCCTTCCCCTACTGATTTAATATTAAGCAAGTTCAACAATACAGAAAAGTTGAAAATGGATTGTGGCCTTCTATGGAATCACAATCGTATAAATTCACATATCTTCGGTATGGGTTCTCATGTAACCAGAAGCTTTTAAAATCACACTAAGATTATGTCTTCTCATAACATAGACACTTGTCCACAAATTGCCAACATTTAGAACATTTTCTGGTCAATGAAAAGACAGCAATAAAGTGCTTTTCAAATAAGCCTCTATTGTTAAATGATCAGCAGCCTCAGAGAGCTTTGTTCAAATTCATATTTGAGAATAATTGCAAATTTCTACATGGCATGAACTGTGGTTTTATAGGCGAGAGATCTTTAGGACCTGTATTAAGACTTTGGTTATGGTGAAAAGAAGAGGAGGAGCTAGATTAAAAGATACTAGAATATAATGAATCCTTTGCCCTCTAAGGATCTGCATATTAAATCCCTATGCTAGTATTCCGTTCCATCAGTAAGTCTGACAATCCTGCTTCCATTATTATAATTCTGTGTGAACTGCTGCAGTTTTATGGTGCCACTGATATTAAGAAAGGGATTGTTCTCTCATACTTCTGTTTTAAAATATGTAGGCTTTATTTTTCTTTTCATTCACAGAAAAAATAAACTAACAAGGAATTTAACTTTTCAAGACTATAGTCCTCCCTCCATTCACCTCCAGCAATGATTACTACAATTGTATTGAATGTTTAGTAATTTGGAAACTAATTTGGGAAGAACTGACACCTTTACAGTTGCTGCCCAAGGTCTTGATACAATTCAAAGTCTTTAAATAAATTTTCGTAGTTTACCTCCAAAAATGTATCTTTCGAGGTTAAGTTTTTATAGCTTGTGATTCCTATTGACAATGAGATATTTTAGTATATATTTTACATATTATATACACATTATTTTACTTTGAAAAAGCAATTTTTTCAATTTTAGAACATTACAAAGTACTGAAAGTATACAAATATATAGTGGCATCTCAGAAAAAACCACTAAAGTCACCTTGAAATGTCTGTTTCTGTTATCTGACAGTACTGGTAGGTATTGTCCTATGATCCCATTTTACTGGCTTCATTGTCCTTTATATTATGCATATACAGAAATTTAATATTCAATTTTTGAATATCTATGTGATTCCCTAGTTTAGCTATTATAAATGAAAATGTCAAAAATAAAACATTTATTTAGATCTATGTTCACATTATGAAATATTTGCTTTTTTAATCTCTAAAATGTAAAATTATTAGTTTAAATGATATACAGGTATTTATAGCTCTGGGTACGTATTTCCAAACTCAACTACAGAGGTAAATGAGAGTGCACAGCTTCCTAGATGGTTGCCCAAACTTGTTATTACCACTATTTTTCTTCTTTTTTTAATCAATTCATTATTCTAATTTGCATGTTTACTAATAAAACAGACTGATGATCTACTCATCATATCACTTTTCCATTTATTTTTATCATTTTTAAAATTTCCAGTTTATGTATAGATATAGACTACGTTGTAGCTTTTAAAAAACATATAATGAAGATCCTTTCATAGCAGAAACCTAATTCCTTGGCTTAAGTAACTGTTCTGCCAGTTTTTGCCATGTAGAGCTGAGAATCCTCACGGACCCAACCTCCTGACTCCTGCTCGGGTCAGTCTGAGACTGAGAAACAGTGGGACAGCCAGACGCTGATTATCGCGGTGCAGATGATCCCAGGGACAAGGAGTACAGTTTCAATGTCGTTTTGACATTTGTAGTTCCATAGGAGAGGGCGGATTTTGGTCACAGTGACCTAGACATGCACTTTTCTTGAGAAATTTCTGTGCAGATGAATTTTGCAACAAGAGTTCTATAATATAATCTGAAGTTATTAATTGCCAATTGTAGTTTGGTCTTCATTTCACTTCAGCATGGGAGTAAGAGAGATAGGGCTGACAATCCTGGCCTGTTCAATTTAAAAAGTGGAAGAATTTAATTTGTTTAAAACACATTTCTCCTAGGGAAAGGCCAGAGACAACCTCATCAGTGACAGAGTTCATTTTTCAAAAAATGGATTTGTTCAGTAGAGAATGACTTAACTTAAAATAGGAATTAATACACTAAGGTGCAACTTTTAGAGATCCAAATCCTCCCTTAAATGTCTCGTCCAAGTTTATTTACTAGCTGTGTCTGGTTTAGATGATCAGAAACGTTTATCTTACTATACTAAATTAATTTATTTCCTCCCAGGAATCAAGTTTTATTATACAAAAAATTCCGTACTCTTATCTTTTGATAGGTATGTCTAATAATGCTAATCATAATGAAAACAACAAAGGGTTTTAGGACAGAAAGTAATTCTAAAATTCACCTTGTCTTACCATCTCAGTTTGCAGCTAGCAAAACAAACAAACAAACAAACAAACAAAAAACCTCATTGAAGTGTATTGAAATGCCCTTTGGTTACATTTCTATCTTCTACAATAGATAACGGTACATCTCAGAAAAAAACCATGCTGTGTTTATGTATACATTCCTAAAACCTAACATGACACTTTTTACCCACTTAAAAGGAATTATTAAATATCTAACAAATACAAGGCTTTCTAAAAGTTGAATATAACTTCCCAGGCAATCTCAAACTTACAGTACTCCAACAGCAATTACTTTTATTACTACTATAAAAACAATTGCTGATATATGTAAAAATTGGAAGGAGGGAAGTGTGTTTAATATGCCATTTTATTATATTTATGTATTGATTGGCTTGTAAGATACATTGTAGAACAAAGTCATAAAATTATTATTAATCAACAGATCAAAGCATAGTGCAGCAAAATAGCAAACCTTTTTACATCATGTCTAAAAAATCTTTTTTTTTTTTGAGATGGAGTTTTGCTCTTGCTGCCCAAGCTGGAATGCAATGGCATGATCTCGGCTCATTGCAACCTCCACAACCTCCACCTCCCAGGTTCAAGCGATTCTCCTGTTTCAGCCTCCCGAGTGGCCGGGATTACAGGCTAATTTTTTTGTATCTTTAGTAGAAACAGGGTTTCACCATGTAAGCCAGGCTGGTCTCGAACTCGAGAATCTTAATGCTTAATGTTATTTTTCAAATTTCAAATGAATAGTAATATTTTTGCATGAACTCACTCATTTGGTCAATAAATGTTAACTGAGCACCTACTAGTGTCAGACATTTCATGAAGCGCTGAAGAAGCAGAAGTGAATAAAGCATGTTTAACAACCTCAAGGTCAGCATATTGTGGCAGCAGGTAAACAGACAAAAAAATGATTACATAGTGTCTGAGAAGTGCTGAAATAGCAAAAAGTAGTTATTATGGCAACATCTAATCCACCTCAAACGTGTTAGCAAAGTCTACTGAGAAGACTTTGGTCTTGAATGAAGGGAAATGACCACTTTACTTAAACCACGACTAGGTCTACATAATAGGCTCACATCCTGGGAGACAGTGTAATTCAGTAGTAAAATTAAACTAAAACAAAACAAAGTTTAAAAAATTACAACTGGACTAAAAGTCTGTTAGATTGTATTTAAATAGAAGCTCTACTACTGGCTTTGTGAACTTGGGCAAGTCACACAGACGCTCTGAGACCCTGTTTCTTCAACTGGCAAATATAGATAATAGCATAGATCTCACAAGGTTGTTGAGAGGATTAAGAAAATACCAAATTGAAAGGAACTAGCATGATTACTTCTACTGGAAATATGGTACTAACTGAATAAAACACATTAAACATTAAACTGAATCATGTAATCAAAAGGCAAAATACAATAAATATATAAGGCGTTATCTCTTTTTTTCTGAGAATATACACAATAGGTCAAAAGACGAATAGTGACATAGTAAGAGAATATAAAATTGACATATAACAATATATAAATATAATTAACTTATGGGTAGTACAATTTGATATTAGTCATATACTATCATATATTAAACACACAAAATATATTACATATTATATCATTGAATTCTATTATGTAATAGAAAAAATATTAGAAAAAATCAATAATACTGTCAATAGCATATCAAAAACAAGAAAAGCAATAACTACCATTTACTGAGACCTCAGCATGCACCAGAAACTAAACTTGAAAACTTTATGAAATGCAATATCTTCATTTATTATCACAAATAATCTTGTGAAAGAAGTTTTCTTCTTATGCCCAATGTTACAGATACAGATATTGAAGTGCAGTTTGATTAAAAATGCAATCTAAAACCTATACCTAATAAATGGTGGAGCCAGGATTAAACTCTGGACCACTTCTTTAGCATTCTACTATGTGTTCATGGAAATAAATAAAATAAGGGCATATAACTGGCTGGTGAAAGAGGTGGATTTCTTTCCTAGGTGTTGAAGAAAATGATTTCCCCTCTCCCTATGTCTCCCTTTCCTCATCTCTCCTTCCTTCCTTTCCAAACATATGTTATTGTTCATATAATAGAGCTATGGTTTATAATTTTTGAGCATATGTTTTGTTTAAAATTTAATCTGGGATGAAAATATCAGGAATCCCAAATTAGAATGAAGGAAGTAAGGTTCCAATCTCAGAGGTAGACTTTAGACAGGTACCAAATAATTCAGTAATTAAGATAAACAATATTTAATGCATCCTTTAAAAATATAAAAATTAATGAAAAACTCTATAATTCAAGATGAACAAAATATTGAGATTTTAAATAAATACAAGATTCAAGACTGTATTTGTACAACCTAAACCTACTTGCCTTACCCTCATCCTGTCTAGAGTTCCAATAAAGCTTTATTTACAAGGCATGTGACCAGCCTGTGGGCCAGAGTTTGCCTATTTATTTTTTAAAAATTGCATTAAATATTACTTAGGTCGAGTACTAAACATGAGAGGAACTTTGGGAAAACCACTAAGACTGCATGGCATTCAATCAAGGAAAATGAAGCACTTTCATATAGAATTTTAAATTTCTAATTAAGAAAGTACATCCACATTTTATCAGAGTAGTTGAATTCCTGTATTACCACTGAAGGCAGCAGAAGGCACCTCTGGAGTGGTTACTGTCACTGTGCCAGCTACAGCATGGAGGTGTGAGAAGTGGCAGCAAGAGTGGCTGCGGGAGCAGCAGTGGCAGTGGTCGGGGGGCCACCAAGCCCCACGTCCGCGAGGCAGCCGACTGCGTGAGCCCACCCTTGTGCAGCCGGTCAGAACCTGCCCCAGGCCCAGAGCCTCTGCCTCTCTGGACCCTGGCCCTTCGTCACCACTTTTGCCCACTGCCATTGCAGTGCTGTTGGGAAGAGAGGGGTCCCAAGGCAGAGCCAGGCCCAAGGTGGAGCTGGGCCTGGGTGGTGTTATCCTTGCACACAGAGAGCAGGGTCCAGAGCGAGGGGCTGGGCCTGCGGCATGCAGCTGGGGCCACACTTCAAGGAAAGTGGTAGTAGCCTTTGCTTCGGGACCCAGCCAGCAGCATGGTCACTATGCCCACCCCGCCAAGGGTGCCAGGTTCCTGTACCCTGGGAGGAGGCTCTGCTGCAGTGCCGCCCAGGTGCCTGGGGTCTGCCCCACACTGGGGTGACTTCTGCATCTGACACTCCCGATGGCTGGGCCAGGGCTGATGATTCACTCCTGGAGCCCTCCCTCCACTCACAGGGCAGGGCCATGAGCCAGACAGGCTGGGCACAGGGCCCGGGCATCTCTGCAGTCTGCACCCTTGGGGGCCTAGGAAGGCCCCTCCCCCTTGCAGGCTCAGGGGTTTCTGCCCTGCTGCCTGACTTCTCCCCACTTTCAGTGCCTGCTCCAATGCTGGAATAGGGTTGAGGCCAAGCCCTGGTGCTATCACAGCCCAGCCAGGTGTGTGCATGCTCAGGGCAGTGCTGACATCTCAGCCCTCTGCAACCTCAGCCCTTGAATCCCCCAGTGAGGCCCCACCTTCAGGCCAGGGAGAGCCTGAAGGCTGGGGACTGGGCTGCCAGTCCCATGGACTGAAGTGGGGATTTGTGGCGCCTTTCCCAGGCCACCCGTGGCCGCTCATGGGCCAATCAGCATGCACTTTCTTCCCTCTGAGGCCCATAAAAGCCCTGGGCTCAGCCAGAGCACAGCAGAGGATGAGGAGAGCAGAAGACGGAGAGATGATGGGATATACAGCTACAGAGAGGAGCTAACCTCTCTGCTCTTAGCTGAACGCTTGTTCAGAAGACCAGCTACAGAGAGGAGCTACCCTCTCTGCTAGGAGCTGAACACTCAATGGGACACACTGGCTGCAGAAAGGAGCTACCCACTGTGGGGTCCCCTTTGAGTTGTTCCATCATTCAATAAAGCTCCTCTTCCTCTTGCTCACCATCTACTTATTTGCATATCTCATTCTTCCTTATTCTTCCTGGCCACAGGACAAGAACTCAGAGCCCACCAAATGGCAAGGCTAAAAGAGCAATAACAGAAACAGGGCTGAGACATGCTCCTTGCTCACCACGTTTTGGGTGAAGGAAAGAAAGAAGAGCTGCAGTCCTTCGGGGAATCCCAGACCTTGGAGCACCCAGAGCTAAGGCTGTGACTCCCTCCTTGAGGCCCTGCAGTTCCTGGCATCTCCAAGCTTCCAGGTGCCATCATGTTCCCTGGTGCCATCTGTGGAAACTTCTTGCAGTACACCTGGTCCAGTGGTAGCCTCACAGACAGCTGGCACGGGTGTTGGCACCTGAACCTGTCTGCCCCACTGCAGCAGCCACACAGAGGTTTCTGGCCAAAAAAGTGACACTCCAAAGATCCCATAACACTACTTCACAATATGACAAAGATAAAATTTAAATTAAAGCTAAATATTTGCTCTTCAGATATTTCTTGAGTCTCAAATTGCTGTTCATTTTCTCCCCATGGCATTATTTTTAGTTATACATTTTCATTTAAAATGTAATAACTGAGAAAGATTAGATAGATGGACGGAGGGATGGATGGACAGATAGATAGTAGCTATATAGATGATAGATAGATACATAGATACACAGGAAAATAGACAGATGGATACGTAGATAAGTGTGTATTTTACTAAAACTAAGATTTGTTCAATCTCCATTAAGTTGGTATCTACTGGATTAAAATGTAAAGAAATAATAGAATTACAAATACATTTTCTTTTCAAAAATTTCTTCTTGGAAATAAATGAACAGTGGTTCTAAGCATAGAAAAGAGGTGAGTGTATTTTTGCCTCTAGAAAACTGTAATTTTTTTTATACTTGACACTCAGGACCAGTCTTTACTTCCTCTGTTTGGGACTGGTTTACACTAGTCCTTTCCCATTTCTCTTTCACTCAGTCCCCTTCCTCACCATATCAGTTCCCAAAGACAGCTATAAATACAAGATCATTAGTTAAAAGACGATCTGGGTTTATTCTTTGTCTGAATGTGATTTTTCTGGACCAAGAGTTACTTCTGTCTGGTCCTAGGACATCTAAAATTTAATTCCTGGGAAATTTGGGCAACACAGTACCCATAATTAGGACAAACTTTCCTCATTCTTAGCTTTAAAGGTCTTACCACAAGAAAATGATACCCAGTATTCTTAAACAGAACTATAATAATGTTGGGAACTTTCATTTGCAACTTACTACAGGACACAAATTTCTTCAGTTTCATGGGCAATTAGTGAAATCTTTTTTCTTGAGCTAAGATAAGACTGATAAATCTCTGACCTAATGCCCACAAAATGTGGACATATTCAATAATATAAACACAAGCAACACTGAAGTTGAATTTTTCTAATAGTATTGAGAGGGACACGTGCTACTCAGGTTTCCCTCTTACAAACTGTGAATTTGGAAAAGTCACCTAAGTTCTCAGTTTTCTCAGGCCAAAGGAAAAAAAAAAGCTATGCATGTTTCTATATACTTTCCACAAAGGAAAGGATTATTATAAGTACTTATAAGTGTAAATTGGGGTCATGAATATGTTTCAAGGGCTAATCCAGTATTAATCGAAGATACTTAAACTTGTGTCCCCATCTTCAAAGAGGACAGTGGGATGGGACACTAAGGGTGTATGCCATGGAGTCCTGAAATGATGGGTGCACAGCCTAAGCATTTTGCCCATTGGAAGGCTTTATAGCTATTTCATATTGAGTGTTCAGGGTTGTCAGACACAGAGGCACAAGAAGAGTGTAGAGCTGGTCAACAACCAAGAGTAACTTCTAATCACTGAGTGGCATAAAGGTTCAGATTATTTTAGTCTACACATTTTGGGGTGAAGTCAAAGTTATTATTTTGAAATGGATGTACACATTACATGCATTAAATGGAAAGATATGGAACAATGAGAAACATCTGCAAGTATTGACTTCCCTAGGTGAGTAGAAGTTGTTCCTAAACCATTGCTACACTTAGTCTTTTCCCAGTTGGGAGTTGGAGAAAACATAACTTGTTGTTTAGTTGTCTCTAGCCAATTAATATATTCTTAACCTCTTTATATGTCATACTGTTAAACAGGTCTGTGAATATGATGAATAATGAAGCATTTTACCATTTACAAAGGACTTTCTCATTGGCTAACTTGATGATGACAGCAACCCTATGAGGTTGGATATCCTTCCATTATTTGTGGAGTTCTCCTTGTATGTGTCCTACCACCTGCTTTCTGCCTGGCCTCTTTTGCAGCTAAATCTTAATCATGTGATCAAGATATCAACAATCATAGGCATGCATGCAGTTGGACTTCAGTTTGGAGCAATAAATGAAAGAGAGAGTTTTTGATACAGAGTAACAGTTTCAGTGGAGTTTCTGGGAGGAGTGCAATACATGGGACCAAGTGATGAGTGTGACCAACAGTCTCCTCACTAAGCTTGTTGTGGGGTGGAGCTTTGGAATTTGATCGTTGCATCTTAATCTGGGCAATTTAGCCTGCTTTTCCAATGTTTCTATGGCTCCTCAGTATTATTTTAATATGTTAATTGTATTAAAGAATTGCATAAATCTCCATTGTGGATTCTGTTGCTTGGAAATAAGAACTCTGACTGTTACACCCATATATTACAAATGAAGAAGCTCGATTTCAAAAGTGAAGAGTTATTCAAGATAGTGACTTAGAAAATGACAGAAGTTTAACTCAGCATCTGACTTGTGGGACACTTAAGCCCTTTATCATTTTCACCACACAATGTTTTCTTATATTGTAATGCATGTCAGTCTTATGGCATGGCTAACAAGACAATCTATGAAGGATATTAGTATCTGTATACTCAGGGTCTAGTTTAGTTAGGGCAAACCTATGCACCAGGCTGCCAGGGACTGTCCTAGTTTACGCTTCCATCCTTCCTCCCAAAGGTTTATGTTAAGCGCTATGGTGAAACTAAAATATCGATTCATTCCTTCATTAAATTTTCAAAAATGTGCTAAACACTTACTCTGCCCTTAAGGGAAGTGCAAGAAAAGACATTTGACATAGATCCAGGCTTTCCATCTGTCCTTCACTATTAGTGTGACTGTGAGAAAATTCAGTAAACCTCCAAATCTTATGGGTCTTGGCTTGATTATTAACACCTTCATTGCTTTAAAAAATGTCCCAGTTTAGATGATAAATTATATTGTAGGCCTAAGCGTGGTGTCTAAGGATGTGTGTTCAACAAAGTTACGTTAAATTAATAAAGCAGTAGTGAAATATCCTGAGCATATTGTGACCTTTGAAAAAGAATAACCGGGGTTGAGTAGGGGCAAAATCAACAGAGAACTCCTCACTTGGGGAAGGGTCTCTTGGTGAACTATGCTGTCTAGAAATGGAATGATTCTTCCCTCTGAGCTAGCTTCCTGTAGTAATTCAGTTGGCATCCCTTGATGTAAGTGCTATTTTTATAATTATTGCAAATACACACACACACACACACACACACACACACACACACACAGGCCTACAAGCTAAAAGAAAGAAATAATTTTGAAATAATCACCTCCAAATCAGAAACCGAAACATGTTACTATTTATATCAAAAGGAAAAAACTTGTGTTAAAATCCTTGATTTGCACATTTGTAATCGACTAAAAAATAATGAGATATTTCCCACTCAAGCATCAAAATATATCAGTCAAAAGTACGGTAATTTGTTTACAGTTTAATTATGTTTTGACAAATAAATTAATAGCACCTCATACAAGTTTCAATATAAACAGAAATTTCTTATTTTTCCAATTAATAACAGAAGCTGTGTCCCAACATGTCCATGTGTTTTCTTGTTGAAATGGTACAGAAGCTCGCAGAAAGGAATGGCATTTACGTCTAAGAATGAGCAAATAGCTAAAATAAATGAGATTCAAATGAAATTATTACAAAATTCAGACTGACTTAAATCTACGTCTTTATCCAGGCAAATATGCTAAAAAAAATTGGCTTTACTTTTTAATGTCAAAATACCCTCCCCACATTCACAAGTTGCTCGATTGCTTTGAGTGAAGTAGTTCTACCGTACATTTATTATTTATGTCCTGACTGCTTCTGAACTGGACTAGAGGCAGCTTGCCCCAAAAATGCAAGTGTAAATGTAGTTTTAGAAACAGACAGAAATGTAGATATCAATGTAGATATAAAAATACCCACAGGAAAGTTCAAATAAAAATAAAATAAAATAAGAGAATTTATGAAGAAAGGAGGTGGTAGCTGTATCAGAAATCAATTTAAAATTTATGCAGGACTCCCCAGCAGCCAAGATAAAAAGGGAAAGGGAATTGGTTACATAACAACTAGGTCTCCCAGATTCATTCTGTAGAGTATTAATCATAATCAGTTCTAACAGGTTGTCCATCACATACTCCATGCTGTGTCACAAAAAAGGCAAATTTGAGTTGTCAGTCTTGGCTTTAGTGTTCTTTTTAGGATGACAATGACAAGTCCATGCATTTTCACTCTCAGAAAAAACAAAAGACAGAAACGGGAACTTAGATTCCCAAAGTGATTATAATTTGACATGAAACAGGCGCCTCTTCTGTCCTTACTATCTGGATATTCTTAGGAAAATCACCCAGTTTCTCAAAATAATTATTTTCCTCTATTCAAAAGTAGTGGCTAATAATAAAAATTCAATGGATTATTATCAAACCTATTCATGGAAATGTACCAGATAGCACTTTATGATCTGTAAAATGGTATGTAGATTTCAGTTGCCATTATTTTTATTGTTATGTTTATTAAGTTGCACAGAGGGGGAAGATCAGAAAGAGGATTGACGCAAATGTACAACTGACACAAATACTAGCGGTCGTCTCATTCAGCTAGGGCCCTGAGAACACTTGAAAAAGCTCAGATTCCACCAAACCTCAGTATGGAATCATCTCACTTAACCTGTCAGCTACACTCTTCTGTGAGAAGACTCCAGGCCTTACTTACACAGATCAGTTTTTTGAGGACGAATCTGGAGCTCCAGTCAGCATCTGCAAAGTGCAGAAGATGAAGGAGCGAGATGATAATCAGAACAAAGAACAACCTCATCAAGCCTGCCTGCCTCTGTATGCCTCTGGTATCTGTCTCACGCTGTCTCTGCATCTTACTTTCTCTCATGTGGTTCTTGCATTGGAATGAGCTGATATAAGTTAATTTGCCATTTTTTAAAGCAGCAGCAGGCCATTTCTTAATTTGATGTTCCGTATCCTAAAGTTCTGGGAGGAAGTGGATTTTGAAAGTGTACAGTCTTACTTCACAGAATGGGTGTACCTAGGTAAGCTTCATCAACCTTTACTGAAAACAAATGTACAGGGGTATATTCTGTAAGTAACTATTTTAATACTAATAAGTACTAACTGTCAGGTACTACGCTTGGTTCTTTATGTCCATTATTTCAGTTGATACTCTCAAAAGTTCTATCAGAAAGGTACTATTTTTCACATCTTACATGTCTGTAAACTGAGACTTACCGAAAGCCAGCTTAAATGTCACCTGTTAAGAAAGGCTTTCTCTAATATCTTATCTAAGGTGACATTCCTAAATTATTTCATATCACTCAGTTTACTTGCTTCATAGCAGTTATTAGAAGCTGTGTTGGTTCATCTGTTGACACACATTGTTGTGTATCTTCCCTACAAGGATTTAGGCCCCAGAAGCAGGATATATGCCTGACTTGTCTGCTGATACTTTGGTGTCTTCCACTGTGACAGTGTAGGCACAAAACAAATCATCAAATTATTGAATAAATAAATAACTGAATAAATGACTCCAAAGTGCAGGCACTTAAGAATATTCTTTCCACTCTAATTTATTAGTTTTTATTTTTTTCCTGCTGCACAAGGCAGACATTAAGCAAATTATGAATGTCTCTTGTGTGCTAGCAAGAGTATATTTTAAATTGGGAGCGAGAGCATAAAATAATTTTCTATAGGTCACCGAAGACACTCTTAATATATTCCTAAAATGAAAGATAGCTTTGGAATTTATGTGGCCACTTCATGATATTTAGCCCTTTGATCCTTGAAGTCTTTTAGCTCTATTTGATCCAAAGCATGACTGAGAGCTTAAAAGAAAATGAATTGTGCCAATAAATATTTACTTTCATCTCTTTTCTATATGCCCAAGGGCTTCTTCTTCTAAAGTGTTTTAAAGGTGGAAATTAAGTTTATCATTTGAATGGCTTCGTGAAAAGGCAAGCTAAAGAAAATCTTTTCAAGGTACGAATCTAAGTGTTTTTTGTTGTATTACTATGTATGAATTACTTCCAGATTGGTTTAAATGTAAGAATCTGATTTTAGAAATTCAGATGCTTAAGATAAAAAATCAACAAGCTCAATGAATGTGTTGTTACACAGGTAGTAAAAGCACATTTCTCTCCCATTATCTTTTGGTACGGAATGTTCTGTGTTACTTTTTGCCTTTGAGCTTTGTGCTACCTTTCCCATGACTTGTACATTCCTGACAACTGCCCCCCCCCCAACACACACACATCTTCCTGTGAATAAATCCTACTGTAGTTCAGGATATGATTCATATGTCACTTTCCCAAGAAAGTCTTGCCCTATTAGCTCCCTTCCCACGTTGTTTAGGCTCCTCTTCCCTCCTATTTCCATAAAACATTTTTATTGCACTCATAACACCTTGTGCCTTTATCTGTTTAACCCTCTTACTTATGCAAGATCACTTACAGCAACAATTATATCTTATGCATATCTGTATCCACAGTACCTAGCTCGATGCCTGATGAATAATAGGTTTCAATAAATATTTGTTGAATAAGTAATGAATGAGAAGGCTGAATCTAGTTTCTTTCTTGGAGAATGATGGATGGCCAATAAGTCTTGATAGAAGACATCCCATGAGATGCTATTGGGATGGCTCTGGCATGATTCTGGCATAATTCTGGATCCTGATCTTGAAATGAAAATAATCAAATGACAAGTGCCAGTTAAAAGGGCAGCGTGGGGCAGTAAAGTCACAGTGAGGGCGGAGGTCTGTGGAGGAATACTTATTTGAGTGTAGAATATAGGAAGTAAAGGGATCAGTTACTCCTGAATGGCAAAATAAATTTTCGGGTAGCTTTTAGCCTAGGAAAATTATTTATGTGACTGCTCCTCTCAATGCCACCAAAACAGGATAGCCTGTTGCTCAGAAGAGTGTCATTAGAAGAAGAGTGAGCATCTTTAAACTTCAACTTCTACAAAGTTCCCTGTGAAGAAGTATAGGGAAATAAGTAATAAAGGCTTAACCAGAATTGGGAATGTTTGTAGACAAGTTCAAACAGAAGGAATATGAATTCTTCGTGGTAATTTTCCAGTCTCATACAAAGAAGTATGACATCCACAGAGTTTTTACATTTTTTGCTATTACAAATAAATCTGCAATTAACCTGCTTATAACTCATATTTTTAAATATTTACACAGAATCTTCTGTAATAGCTTAAATGTCATTAAAATCACTGCTTCTTGAAATAATTTGCCTGTGAGTATTTCTGGGGCTCTTTATGTTATATTTGCCTCCATATTATTTTGGAAGTTGAAGTTCAAAGTCAATTGTGGTTACTATAATTCATAGAAAATTATGTATATCATGTAGGCTTTATCTGTTCAATGAGATTGTGTCTGTGGTTATCTTCTCATTTAATTCTTAATTTTATGTATATTTCACGCTTCCCTTTTACTACTTGCTTATATATTTGTTTTACTAATTGTGGGATTTATTTCTCAAGTCTCCTATTTTACCATTTCATAACTTATTATTATATCTTTATTGATTTTCACATTTTGTTCCCAATAGTCATTTTTACTCTACTATAAAATTCTTTTTGGAAAGTCAGTTAATTCATTTTTATTCTTTGTTATTATGAAATTAATGTTAATGTTAAACATTTTCCTTTGAATAATAACAGTTTAAATTGTCTCTTTGACATTAATGCTTATGATACTTTTAGTATTCAGTATTGTTTCTATTCCTTTCTATTTAATTTAGTATATCTATTAAACTTAACTTTTAAGTATTGTTTATTAGTACTATAGTTTTTTTTTTTTTTTTTTTTTTTTTTTGAGAAGGAGTTTCACTCTTGTTGTCCAGGCTGGGGTGGTACAATGGCTTGATCTTGGCTCACTGCAACCTCCGCCTCCCAGATTCAAGTGATTCTCTGCCTGCCTCAGCCTCCCGAGTAGCTGGAATGACAGGCATGTGCCACCACACTTAGCTAATTTTGTATTTTTAGTAGAGAGGAGGTTTCTCCATGTTGGGCAGGCTAGTCTTGAACTCCTGACCTCAGGTGATCCGCCCACCTTGGCATCCCAAAGTGCTGGGATTACAGGCATGAGACACCGCACCTGGCCTTGTACTATAGTTTTGTTCATATTTTAACCAACTGTGATTTCGAGAGTTAAGCTTATACTAACAACCTGCTTCTCATACACAAACACACACCTACACATGTTTGTGTAAGTGATTATATGTGTGTACATACATGGGCAAGTCAAGCTCTGTGTAGTGATTTAGCAATAATTGTGTCTGAGAAGTCAAATAAGATTGTACTTTTTCCTAATATCTTGCTTGAAGAATTATTACTTCTTTAATTGGAGAGCATACTAATTTTGTGTAATATTTTAAGACATTTTCTGAACAAAGATTATTATTGCAACTACTTACTCTTTGCAGATATAATTACCAATGCTATTGAGCATTAAATCCTGTTCCTCATATGTTAATTTCTTCAATAAGTATTTATTGAGTACCTTTAATCAGACCAATACAACGTACAGGGGACAAAATAATAATCACAAAAGACATTGTGGATCCAGTGCTTATGGTTAACCATTCAATGCCAGAGATTCCACATCAATGAGGAGTTATTTGGTTTCTGAGAGTTGATTTTTTTCCACTATGACATTTATTAGACATATTTATTTTACTACAATACTCTGGAAAACTCTCTTTTTGTTTTATGCCATTCCATGTGGAAATGGGGGTTTCTCTTCCCCTTCCATAGGCGGCTTTTTCCCCCAATGTGTTTGTGCAATATTTTCTTAATTCTTGAATTTTAATTACCTCACCAAATTTAATCTCAATCTCAATTTTTTAAAAATTATTTTTTCAAAAGCTAATGACGCCTTGCCCAATATCCTTTTGCCATATCTGAATTTGTCTGTCAGCACCGACAGTTTTCAGTATGCTTTCAGTTTCCCACCTCAATAACTTGGGTTTTTTTTTTTCCTCCTCTTCTCTTTCTAAAGGCTTTTGCCAGTGCCGGGAGGTGTTTGGCAACATGGGAAAGTTAATGTTCCCAGAATTCACCTCTGTCAATGGAGGATGGGAATCAGGTGCTAAATGGCTCAGTCTCCTTTCTGGTGGGATTATGCCAAGGTTTGTTGCACATTGCACTTCTGAGCCCAAGGGGTCCATTGTGGAAACATGCTCATTATAACACCTTTCCCCTGTCCTAGGTTCTCCACTTCCCTCCTTGTATCCTGAGATAATTTCTCCAATAAACTACCTGCACGTGTTTTTGTTTCAAACCATGATAAGTATCATGTACACGCATATTTTAGAAAAAAGCCTTATCTATTTGATATTTTCTACTCTAATAGTATTTTGCTTATATTATTTAATACTCACAATCTTTGTGGAAGCACCTAACTTCCAGGTAGTATGTTTTGTCTCTAATTGCTTTTCTTTTGGCTCATTTCAACTTCGTTTTTCAGAATATTTTAAAGCTAGTTCTCAGCATAACTGACTATATTTTCTTCAAGTCAATTGTAGACATTGCTGGTTCTGATTTGATTTTAAACACTACGGCATAATTTGTTTTAATTTCTTTCCTTAGTGCTGCCATTTTTCACTTCATCTGGAGCTCTTAATTTTGGATCTGCTATTGGATGTCTTGCATTTTGTCTCAGGCTGGATTCTTTAGGAAGCCGACTCTGAGTCAAGTTTAGCACAGAATGTTTATTGGGAAGTGATCTTGGAATCAACACCTGTGAAAGGTGGAGGAATAAGTCAGTATTGGGCAGAGGCAGAATTCAAGCTCTGCTGTAGTTTAAACAATAGTGTCAGCCAATCTCACAGGGAGCTCTGGAACTGAAATAATTCATTAGTGAGGACCCGTGTAGGGCCATATTGGGCAGAGCTTTATATTCTGACCATGGTTGGTCAGTGGATGCCGGCCACCCTGAGAACAGCTTGGATTTGTGCTAAATGGTTCTCTGCAGCCGAGGCAACCCCAGACTGCCAGCTCTTTGCTGTCATCATGACAGCAGCAAGTCCTGTCGGAGGGAGATCTGAGGGGCACATTTTCAAATCCATTACGAATCATCCTCCAATTATTAGTTTTAATTGATATGGATTTTCATTTCCTTGAGGGTGCAGTTAAGTGTCTGTTTAACATTTTCGTTTGTTTATTTGGATATTTCCTTAAAGAACTTCACCTTTCATCATTATTAGGAATTTGGTGTTCCTTTCTGTGTGGAGTGACATGTCTAGGATACTCCTCTAGACTGGTCACTTCTGCTTGTTATTTTATACTGAATAGGTAGGTTTTTATTATCCATCTCTTGTCCCAAGACCATTGTGAATCGACTTGTCTTAATTTTGCTCTCTATTTGCTTGGGCACCGGTTCCAATTGTTTTCTCTTGAAATTCATATTGAAGAGCTGGATATTGACAGTTTGGGATGTATGAGTAGTCATTATATCTGTGAGTGGACAGTGTGCTGTGAGTATCAAGGGATGGCCAATTGTACCAGTGACCAGCTGCCAGGAGCTTGTGTTGTTTACAGAAGCCATTCCCCTTGCCTGAAGCACTCTTCTTTCTGGTATTTACCTGGGACTTGCAGACTCATTCTTCAGCTCTTGGATCAGAAGTCACTCCTCAGGGACATTGTCCTGATCTCTCTAACCAGCTTAGCCTTCCAATTATAAATACAAACAATCTTGATGAAAGGTGGAAATGATTAATTAAACTGACCTTTAGTGAAGAAGTATTTGCCAGTCATTTGGTTGTCTTTGGGAATATAAAGCTGACTAAAACACAGAACATGTCTTCCACATTTTCGATTTTATTTTAACATGTTTTCACAGCACTTACCACAGTTCCCCTTTTACTGATTTTGGCGTAATTTTTTTAATGAATATATGTCTGTCACTGGACATGAGGTAAAAGACCAGCTCTGTTCACTCACCCTTGAGTCTCAGCATCTAACAGTGCCTGGCACTTAGGCGGTACTTGATAAAGTTCAGCTGAATGTAATATTTGAAAAAATTTGTGAATTTTAAAAACAAAATAAAACCACAAAAACAAGATTGTTCTGGATACCAAAAGTTGGCTAATTAGACTTCCAGATTCATATACCATCTTGCAAATGCTTGTTTCGTAGGCTGTGAAATGCAAACCTGTTTAAATGTACACTAATAAGGACATCATCAAATATCTGATAAAGACCTGTGGTATTCAATACTACTATTGGAAAAAGGTAAAAAGCATAGTCCTGGGCTTTGAAGAGCTTTCAACCTGAGATAAAACACTATCTAGACCAACGACACATCTAAAGAAGTGTGTGTCAGTCACAAACACCAGACAATTCATGCATATTCATCACACTGATGAATGTTTAAGACGGGTAGTGAGAAAATGTACTTATTTCTTATCAATATTTTCAGACTAATAAGAAAAAAATTAGATTATATGTTAAACCAATTTATCACAAAAGTGTCAGTGATTTTTTAGGTGATTGAAAAAATATGCTTTTGCCTTTTTGTTTTGTTACAGCTTGTGGTAAAACATCGCAAAAATCACCCAAGGGGAATTAACCCTTCAAATTTTAAATTTTGTGTTGTTAGATTTAAAATTTTTTTCATAGCCTTAAAAGAGTTTTTATTGGTGAAATCTGCACAAATAAATTTGTTTCTTCTAAAGTTGCATGTTTTCAAAATGGTAAGTTTTGCGCACTGTAAGATATATGCCCAATCTTAAGAAAGCTGAACTATCTTTACTGGTGAATGTTTTAAATATACGTATGTTCAGGTGACCTGAAAAAATATCTCACATTGTCCATAAAGGTATGTAAATGTCAAATACTCTGAAATATTTTCCAGAAAGAAACTGATGGTCTTAAAAAATCTTTATTTTGATCTTAAAAAAAATTCTTGAATCTCCTTCCCCTGGAAAATAATGGAATGCTCAGTTTATATGTTCTGACTATCAATCCTTTTTCCCCTGGAGCTCTTTTCCTTCCCAGACAACATCTCAAACTCCTTTTATTATATCACTCTGCATATTTCAATTACCATAAAAAGTGTTATTTTGTTCAAAATGGCAAATTGTACACCCCTTTAAAAATCACTTCTCATTAGAACTATAATCAAATCCCTTTTAAAAAAACATGAATTTCTTACTTCTGTGATTAACATATTTCTAACTTAATCAGAAATTCACTGAGTGGAGTAAGAAGTTTACTGTCATGTCATTAATCATCTGATATTAGAAAATCACTAATGAGTGTGAAATAGTTTCTGAAAAGTTGGCATGAGCCATTCTTTGCTTTTTTTTTAAATTCAAGGAACTCTTATTCTTATTGAAATAATTTCTAACATGAAGAGTCTTTAATGAATCTTACTATGATAGACTATTTTACTGCA
Organism: Homo sapiens; assembly: GCF_000001405.40. Taxonomy (NCBI): domain Eukaryota; kingdom Metazoa; phylum Chordata; class Mammalia; order Primates; family Hominidae; genus Homo; species Homo sapiens. The sequence goes on from NC_000002.12 coordinate 14,196,279, forward strand.
ATATATAGACGAATCAGCCAATTTCACAAGAATGAAAGTCCCAAAAAGAAAAAGTGACTTATTCAGTATATGAGAGTTATTAGTTACAAGCAACAGAGGCTAAATAGGAAAAATTTATGCAAAAGAATATTGAACTGTTCTCTGGAAGAGTAGGATCCCAGATTTTGGGGTAAAAAGTCAGGAAAATACCTAAAATCATGTCACAAAACTGGTTCACTAGAAAACTACCGTCTCTCCTGTTGGGCATATGTTACATAGTTTCCAATGCCAATCCCAACCCCTGGACACTGGGCAGGTCCCACTAGAATCACAGCCATTGCCATCTCTAGAAATTCAGTGCATGACAGCTGCTCCCATTCTCACTGAAATTGATTCTTTCTGGTCTCTGGTTCTTTGCATCTGCAGAGGATGATTCAAAATATGGGAAAGCAAAATCTGTCCCAGAATTGCAAGAAAAACCACAAAAATGGCTAGGCAGGTAATAATATAGAATTTTCCTGTTCTATAGTGAGTGGCAAGTTTTGTCTAATAATTTGGAAATTTCATGCAGTGCAATTCTACCAGTATATTAATGCCTATAGAAAGGGGGTTAATACACCGGATAGAATTGCACAGTAAGAAATATTCTTTCTTTCTCTCCTCCCTCCTTTCCTCTCTGTCCTCTTCTCACCTCTCCTGTCCTCTCTTCTGTCTGTTCCCTTCCCCCGCTTACTCTCCTTCTCTGTATCTACTAATAAGTTGTAAGAATGAGGCATGCTATATAAAGAAATGTCTTGTGTTATTTCAAGTTCCTGACGAAATTTGCAACGTTGATATCCAGAGGCTCCTGGAGCCCTGAATACACTCACAGCGCTATTTGATTGCCCTGATAACTACTCTCAGAGATGCTTTGTGAAACTAGAGAGGTAAAGATGTTTTAAACCTGAGAGACTCAGTATGAAACCTGGCCACAATACCAATAAAGAATACAAAAATGGGGGACTATACAGGATGAGAACACTAAGTATGATGTGAAAACTCAGGGAAGGAAAGCAAATTCATGCAGGAGAATCACCTTCCTGAAATACAAAACATAGCGTTCCCTAGGAGAAGTCAGGAGGAAGGAAAACTACTATCCATACCAATGACCTTGATATTCCTGTAGGAATTTTCACTTCCTCTTGTAGTGTTATGTTTATTTAATTAAAGAAGGGATTTCCTTACAAGTCACAGGGCTAGCAAGCAAAGTAGAGACCTAAGTAGGCCCTGTCGTTTTGGTTTCTTCCTCACTCCTTCTCTCTGCCCTCTTTTGTCAATGCTGGGTTCAGCCCATGTATAATTCCTTAGGCCTTGAACTTGTGTCTCCATCCTCTTTTACCAGGTTAACTCCTACTTACCCATCACCTATCTACAGCAGACTTTACTAGCATACCCCATTCCTTATTCTGGGTGAATGGCCTACACAAGACTAACAGCAGTGGAATGTTTGCAGAAGTTGTGGAGGTGAAATGACAATGCAGTTCATTTTACTGTGTCCTCCAATTTGTCAAATCATGTCAGAACAATTTTTGCCAAAGCCATCCTAAGTTTTGCCAAGGCTTTGGTTGAGTGAGCACAGGAATGCTGGCTGATGGACTGAAACACTAAAATAAGACAGTTTTGCCATTTGTCTGAGAAACAGAATATGTCGGTTCATCCAGAAACTAGCTTCAACGGATAAGCTAAATATCAAAAACTGTATAGAGAGAACAAAGCTGTAACAGCTTTCAAAATGGTACTAGCTTGGCAAAATGAGGACATGCATTTGCTTTTTCTCCAACTCCAAATCTAAAAAAATTCTTTTTAAAAAATTAAAATGACAAAAAAATAGAAATCCAGACTGGATAACCCTAGAATATGGAAGACCACCTGACTTTATATATTTTTACATATCTTATCCCTCCCCCAAAATAATTCTACATGGGATTAGCACTAGGCACAAATAAAACGGCCCATGATACAGCTTCAGCAATACTAAGAGATAGAGAAAGATTTAACATATTTAATAGTAAGTCTAGAATGGTAGGAACATGAATGCCATAGACAGTAGACACATATTATATGTACTGCAAAAGCAAAAAGATTGTATCTTTAAAAAGTCAAAAAGGGGATAGAACAAAGACAATAGAAAATGAGATAATTCAATACTGTATACATTGTTAAGTGGAATCAAAGGATGATATTTAGAACTAACAACCCAGATAGTAAATGGTGAAGGAAGAATAGAGGGGATTCAGGACACTTATAAAAGGCATCAATATGAAGGTAGCTGCTAGAACAGAAATACAAACATGACTAAATATCAAAAAGTAGAGAGAGAGAACAAAGAAGACACTCCACACAAAGAAAAATTAATATGAATAAAGAGAAATTATAAAATAAAATATTATGGTAGAGCTGGGACCAAATACTAGTCATATCAATAAGGATAAATGGGCTTACTTTCTCTACTAGAAGAAAATAATTTTCACATTTCTAAAAAGTTAAACTATCATCATTTATAATTGCAAAGTATTAGAAATGAATAACTGCCCAAATGTTGAAAAATTGTTGTTATAATAATAAAGTGTTATGCAACTGTGATCTCCAGATTGAGAAAAAAAATCTGTAAATTAACTGGCCTGCAGATCTCCAGGATATAATGCTTTTAAAAAGTTAAAAGAATATAGAAATAATTCTATTTTTACGCAAATAAAATCAAAAATAAGGAAATATATGTATTAGTTTTCAATGCTAAGAAAAAATACCACAAATTTAGTGGCTTATGCTTTTTTGTTTTTCTAATTTCTTATTTTCCATGGGTTGGGCATCTGGGCACAGCTAAACTGAATTCTCTGCTCAGGGTTTCACAGGACTTAAGTAGAGGTGTACTGTGGGCTGCATTCCTTTCTGGAGCTTGAGATCCTCTTCTAAGTTCATGTGGTAGTTGGCTGAATTCCTTGTGGATGACGGACCGAGGCCCTTTCTTTCCTGCTGCTGTCAGCTGGGGCCATGCCCAGCACCTAAAGGTCTCCACAGTCCCTTGTCGAGTGACACTCTCACAGGTCTTCTCACAATGTGGGAGGTCCTTGCCTCAAAGCTAGCAGGAAAATCTCTCTCTCTCTCTCTTTCTCACTCTCACTCTTCAGTTTTATATAATGTAACATAACCAAGGGAGTGACTGTCCCTTCGTCTAGCCTATGTTTATTGACTGAAAGCAAGTTAAAGATTCCTTCTGTACCTAAGGGGATGGGATTATATAGGGATATGACAGACTCATTGGGGGTCACCTTAGAATTCTGCCCATCCTAAAACATATCTCTTCTTAGTTCTGCTATGAACTGCACGCACACGTGTGCATACACTCACACACACACACACCCACACACACACACACACACACACGGAGAAAAGATAGATAAACCAGAAATTAATAATACTGGTCACTCAAAAGAGGCAAGGAAGGAGGGAGAGACAGAGTGAAACACAGAAAAACAGAAATACTTTTCCAAGTATACCTTTTATGTCACTTTTACTTTGGGAACCATGTTAATAGTTGACTTATTTGAAAAATAAAATTAAATCAACAAAAATGGGGAAGTAAATCCTAGAGCCAGATGCTACCAGACTCAGATTTAGTTTTACTTCAAATGAATAACAATTACACTGTGGAGGCAGAGGGGCTAAGCCAGATAACTTTGGAACTCCTAACTATGATTATATAACTTCAGTCCAAATAAAAGTATAAGAACATGAAAAAATCATGGACTCTTAATAGTAGTTTTATTTTTTGCACTGATATAGGTAAAGCAATTATGGTATTATTTGTATGTGTCAGAAGACTGAGAAATAAATATGCTTATGTTATTGAGAATCAAGGATTTTACTACGATAGAAGGAAGAGACAATATAGAAGGAGGGAAAAGATGCAACAACACTTTGGGGTTAAATTAGAATTAAAGGGAGTTCTCCGACTTCTGAACTCTGAAAGGGACCAGAATCAACAAGACTCCCATAGTAATGAGCACAGATACTGCTCAGATATTGGTTTCTTTTCTTTCTTTTTTTTTTTTTTTTGAGATGGAGTCTCACTCTGTCGCCCAGGCTGGAGTGCAATGGTGCCATCTCGGCTCACTGCAAGCTACTCCTCCTGGGTTCATGCCATTCTCCTGCCTCAGCCTCCCAAGTAGCTGGCACTACAGGCTCCTGCCACCACGCCCGGCTAATTTTTTGTATTTTTAGTTGAGATGGGGTTTCACTGTGTTAGCCGGGATGGTCTGGATCTCCTGACCTCATGATCTGCCCGCCTTGGCCTCCCAAAGTGCTTGGATTACAGGCGTGAGCCACCATGTCTGGCCTCAGATATTGGTTTCTATTAATAAATACTATTCCCCAGTAAAAGGAACCAGGAGTCTCAAAAAAAAAAAAAAAAGAAAAAAAAAAAAGGCTATCTCCATGTTCGAGGAACAAAATACAAGATGAACCTGGAACATGTTGCACCATTAGAAAATAAAAGAAAGCTCCTGAATGAACGAATAAATCAACAAGGACATATTTTTAAAACACAGAAGTCATTCTGGAGCAGTCCTCACTGGTAGCTGGTTCTGGGAAAATTTTAGCATAAAAATAAGGAAAGTAATAATGGATTATATCCTATTGTATCAAGTAAGAATCCAGAAATAAAAAGAAAACATAGATGATATACAACAAAAATCTCTCCTTTTTATATTTAGAATGCCAACTAAAAATATGTAAGAATGATAAATTTGATATTACTGTTTCGTAGCTATCATAGTAAGCGTGAATCAGGCATGAATCACTAGATACTAAGTCCAGGGAAAATAAAAGAGATTTTTACACTTATATATTTTATATTTAAATGTAATTTATATTTCTATATAGCTCTCAGTAAATTACTTTATAAAAGGAAAATATTAACTATACACTGAAGAAAATGGACAACAACACTCCTAACCATTTAGAGGAAAAAATATCATCCAGTACCCCCTGACATCAAACCCTGAGAAGCACATAACCTCACTGACGTGGTACCTCAGCCAAATACACCAAAATATCCAATCAAATTATAAAGAGACATCAGACAAACTCAAATGGTGAGACAAATACAAAAACAACTGCCATGGTGTCTTAAAAATGTCAATGTCATTAAAGACAAAAAAGGCTGAGGAATTTTCAGATTAAAGAAGGATTAAAAATATGCAAATATTATATGAAATGTGTAATTTGGATCAAATATCATAATGGAGGGGGAAAATGTTATAAAGGACATTAATGGGAAGTTTTTTTAAAATTGGAACGTGGACAATAGATCAGATAAAAGTTTTGTCATGTCAATGTTAAATTTTCTCAACTACACTTTACTGTATTTAACTAAAAGGATATCCTTGTTCTTAGAAAATACTGAAGATCAATACAATGTAGTAATAAATTGGTAAAAGCTATAAATATATATTCAACCTATATTCAAATAGTAAGAAAAAAATACAATAGAGGACCAAGGGTAAATAAATCTGGTAAAAATGTAAATGGGGATGAGATCTCTTAGTATATTCGTTCAACTACATTGCAAATTTGAAATCATTTCAAAATGAAAAGTTTTTAAAAGAAGGGCTAGAAAATAAGAGTGCCATCAGAGAAATGGAAATTTTAACAACCTTCTGCAGTATAGATTGATAAAGTAAATGTTATAAATACATTTGGATAAAGCAAACAAAACAACACAGCAACCTCTTAAAGGAAACCTCAGTCTAGTTCAGGCACAGGGGAATCTTCTGTCACTGGAGGAATCTCTTCAGAAATACCAAGGTAAGACACCCTGGAAGGAAGAAGGCAGGCTGGGTGTTTCAGAAAGTGATTAATTAAGGAGCAGCTTTTGGACCAGCTGGGTCATCAGCCCTTTCCCGTAACACATTTTTCCTCAGCATTGGAACTCAGAGGAGAACAGTGCAATGGGCAAAATGGCCAAATAAGTAGCACCAGTGTCCCGAGTTGCTATTTACTTTCAAAAGTGTGACTAGTCACCAAACCCAGGGAAAAAGCAACCAGAGAGCCATACACTGCAGCACAGACTGCACTCTTTGGAGACTGAATACAGCAACCAGCATCTAGATCCACACAAAAATTAGAAGGCGATCTCAAATAAAATGGTGAGCACCAAATCAAGACTAATCTAATATTTAATAAAAGAAAAAATACTTTGAAAAATGTACAAAATTCAGTAAACAGAAACTAAGACACTGACAAGTTGGTTTATTAGAGAAAAAAATATATGGCTTTCAAAGAACAGTATCCTTAAAGGGATAAAGAGGTATCTTCACTGTAAACAAGAATAAGTTGTTATAAAAAAAAGAATGAATTCAAGTTGGTAGAAATTACGAATATATACATAAAAAATAGGTGCTGAATAGCTGAATCATAGACTAAATATTTTAATGTCATATTATTGATCAGGAAGGTGAAAGATAAGATTCTCCTGGAGTATGAAAAATGACTTAAAAAAGACAAACTTAAATGATAAGAAAAGTTAAGAATTCAGTATTAACTCATAAACCCCAGCAAATGTTAACAGAAGTTCCAGGAAGGTAAAATAAGAAAGAAGGTGGGGGGGGGGGGTGGGAGAGAGGGAGGGAGGAAGGAAGGAATGGAGGGAGGAAGGAAGGAAGGAAGGAAGGAAAGAAGGAAGGAAGGAAAAAGGAAAAATGTAAGTGGGATAGAAACTCTATATTATTTCAACTATGTTGTAGATTTGAAATCATTTCAAAATAAAATTTTACAAAAAGAGCTAAAAACAAGAGTGTCATCATAGAAACAGATATTTTAACAGCCTTCTGCAATATAGATTGATAAAGTAAATGTTGTAAGTAAACTATATTTGGAAAAAAAAAAAACAACACAATAACCTCTTAAAGGAAACCTCCAGAAGGGAAAGGAAGGAAGGAAGGGTGGGAGGGAGGGAATAAGGAAAAAGGGATTATTCAGATATGGAATTATTATGACAGAGAGAAATTTTCCAAAACTTTCAAAATATCAAAAGACCTAAATTTTCAGACTAAAAAGACCCACTAAATGTCAAGTAGTATACATTTTTAAAAAGGCCGTGCCTTGCAACATGCATGTGACATTTAAGAACACCAAAGATAATATAAATTTCTGATATTTGGCAGAATATTAAAAAAATACAATTTGTGGGGACTTACCAGCAACACTAGATGCTAGAAGACTATGAAGTAACTTCTTCCAAAAAATATGATTTTTTTACCTGAGATTTTCAGTTATACCTAATTGTGAGTTAACTGTGGGGGAAAAATAAAAGACTGTTGTACATTCAATAACTCAGTAAATGTACCATTCAAGAAATACTACTTGTAAAATATGTAGTTCTCAAGGATATACCACCATAAAATGGTGGAAAAAGTCAACAAGCAAAGAGAAGTTATACAATAAAAGAAACAATAGATTAATGAGCTAACAATATTATAAATTATTTTCAATATAAGGAATGGTTGATGTATGATGTTAAAAATGTAATAACACTCTAAAATCAATTTTCAGATAATTTTAATGAGAAGTTCGATTAGGAGATTCCAGGGAAATGAGAAAAAAATCAATTCATCTTGTTTTATTTTTAGTTAATTTTAACTAAAGCTTTTATGTGATAAAATTCTGAAGGTAGCTGGAAGAATTGAAGAAACACAATATATAATTTTCATAACATTAAAGGTATAGGGGCAATGATGAGAAACAAAGTTAGCATAATCAATAGAGCACCAGAGTCCCTTACTTAGTGATCCACAGACCCCTGAGACAACAGCCTGGTAATGACGTATCTTTAAAATTAGCCATGTTATTTGCTCATTAGTTGGTGAATTTCATCTATCCCATTGCCTTGGGGCATGCTGTCATGCCCTTCCTATGTGTTCCTAGAGAATCTTATTTTCCCCGGGTTTATGATAGGGACAGGAGGCAGAGAAATTCTAGGCAGAAAAGAGCAGGTCCCTGGTGAAAGCCCCACCCTCAGGCCGAAAAGCCTGAAACCATGGCCCAAAGTGAGAACTTAACATTCCTCCTGTTCCTGCCTCAAAGTTGCCTTTTCCAAAACCACCCATGGCCCACCCCAGCCCCCATCCTGTGCCTATAACAGCTGGGCGAGAGAGGAGAAGCAGCTGGACATCGGAGGCTAAGGCTGGACATTGGAGAGAAGTGGCTCGACTTCAGAACGATAGCTTGATGGTGTAACTTCAGAGAAGAATCCAGCCAGAGACAGACAGACTGCAGGGGAAGATTACCTTCCCGCCCCATCCCCTTTTCAGGTCCCCTTCCCACTAAGAGCCACTTCTTTCATCAGCAATAAAATCCCCCACATTTACCATCCTTCAGTTGTTCATGTGACCTCACTTCTCCTGGATGCTGGACTAGAACTCGAAAACCATGAGTGAGGATGCAAAAGGCTGTCACACTGACCCTTTGCACTGGCTGGCGGAAGGCAGCCGACTCACGCAAAAATGCAGAGCATCCACTGAGCTATTAACACTTAAGCCATCCACAGCTAAAAGCACTGTAACACTCTTTCTGGGGCTTCAGGGGTCACAGGCATCCCCAGATGCTGCTACTTGTATCTGCATGGAGTTTGCTCCTGCGAGTGCCCAAAAACGCTCACCTTGGCTCCTGCACCTCTCACCTGTGTGCTCCCTCCCACAAGGGGTTGGAGTGCAGTGGTCCCAGTGAGTGGAGTTCACCTCTGCCAGTGCCGAAGTGGCCAGCTAGTTCTAGCATGGGAACCGTGCATTCCAGTTCCCTTGTTGTTTGCTTACGTGTTCCCTCCTGCGAGAATTTGAGGGCTGCGGGCTGAGTAAACGAGGCACCGCCTTCATGAGTCCGCCGAGGGGTCAGGAAAATATCCTGCTTCATTTATACTATTTACCATTCGACACTGGTTATTCTGTTTCCTCAGTAGACTGTAATCTTCATGAGGGGAAGGAGAGAGCCTGCTTACCAATCTTTTTCTTCAGTGGCCAGCCTTGTGCCTAGTAAAACTTTTTAAAGATGGAGAAATCAAAGTCATTCTATCTTAGAATCTGGCCAATGTGGATTGGAATAACAATTTTGAAACTTACTAACTGGATGACACTAACACAGCTGTGATTCACAGAAGGCATGTAAGAATTCTAGCTGCCACGACATTATGACCACAATCTTATCCGATTTCAGCATCTTCTCTGATCCATGCCACTCCTATCTTTCCTGCTCTTCTCTGGGTGCGGGACCTCCCTTGCACCCTGCTCCCAATACCCTGCATCCTAATGGCCTTTTCTCTGACATTTTCCCTAGACTATTCAACTGTGACTTCAATGAGGGCTTCTCTCACTAGAAATAATTGCTAAAAGTTCTGATTTTGAGAGGATTCTTGTAATAATTAAAAAATGTGTTTGCTTTTTGTCCTTGTGATAGTTTACAGAGAATGATGATTTCCAATTTCATCCATGTCCCTACAAAGGACATGAACTCATCATTTTTTATGGCTGCATAGTATTCCATGGTGTGTATGTGCCACATTTTCTTAATCCAGTCTATCATTGTTGGACATTTGGGTTGGTTCCAAGTCTTTGCTATTGTGAATAGTGCTGCAATAAACATACGTGTGCAATGTGTCTTTATAGCAGCATGATTTATTTAACTATCGCAAGGACAAAAAGCAAACACCGCATGTTGTCACTCGTAGATGGGAATGGAACAATGAGAACACATGGACACAGGAAGTGGGACATAACACTCTGGGGACTGTTGTTGGGTGGGGGGAGGGGGGAGGGATAGCATTAGGAGATATACCTAATGCTAAATGACGAGTTAATGGGTGCAGCACACCAGCATGGCACATGTATACATATGTAACTAACCTGCACATTGTGCACATGTACCCTAAAACTTAAAGTATAATAATAATTAAAAAATAAAAATAAAATGTGATGATCAGTGATCAAGTTTAATACTCCATTTGACAACTGGAGTACAAGGAATTAGCAAAGGAAACAAATTTCAGCAGGTTATGCAAACAGGATTAGATGCAGTAGATACAGTAGTCTATGTTCATATCTTAGCCCAGCTCTATATACTAGGTACTAAATGCAATTCCTATTATCACTTTTATTATAAGTGTTCCTCATGTTTATCAACACACAGGTACTCTGATTCCCAGTCTAATTATCTTTCTACTTGAACATCCCCCGTACAATTTCACCCGCTGTACTTGTTACGTTAACATCACCTAGAGAGATCTAAATTTTACCTATTCTTAAAGACCCAAATTAAACCTCCCTACCCCAAGGAGGAAATAGAAATAAAAACAAACAGAAAAGATTTTATTCATAAGATATTTACATATATCAGGCAGTCTTATAAGTACTTTACATATATTGTCATTAAATCTTCACAATAATTTTATTAAGTGGGGGTTTAATTATCATTACCAATTAAAATGAAAAATTGAAAGAGAATTTAAGTAATTCGCAAAATGGAAGCAAAGAAGTAGGAAGGCTATCTTGATTTACATAACAGCAACACCAAAAATAATTGTTTGGAGAGGGGAAGGCACCTCCTCAGATCTAGTTTATAATAGATACTTAGTAAATAGTTGTTGAATTAATAATTATGATAGAACAACATTATAAGTCATTTTAGTTATGAGCCTGAGTAAAGGCATAATAAAGGAAGCTGTAGCTTGTAAAAAGGAATATTACTTACCGTATGGAAGAAAAATTTGGGTTCAGCTAGGTTCCATAACATACTCAGAGCCAGGTCATGCTCCTGAAGCTTGCCTATGAAGTCCCACAGAAGATTTCACAGTCATACTACGTATGAGCTGGATCATTCTGCACTGAGACTATAGGTGTCTTCCAAACCTGGGGCACCAATGGGCAGCCACTGTATTTGTCTGTTTCAGTGAGATTCGGAAAGCTTGTGATAGTCTATGAGTGTCTCTTCTATTTTGATTAGCCACAGACCTCTCTCAACTTCTTATTCCAGCCCCAAGATGTAATATTGAAAATCACTTTGATTTTTAGAAGCATGTTTAAAGATTCAAAAAAGTAGAAAAACAACTGGTTAAAAGAATATCAGAAAAATGAAATAAATTTTGGCACAGAATATAAAAACACTCATTTTATTGTGGTTCAAAAGTTATCCCACAAAGAATCAGAAGAGAGGGTTTTTGATTTACCATATTGACCAGTTGTACCGTATAGTAAGGCCAGCTCAAATTGCCTTTCTGTGTAATAAGGCCCAGCTCTCCTCTAATAAACTTCTCATTTTTCCCCAATCAAAATCAATTTATCTTTACTTTGCATAGTGTTGGCTCTTTGCTTATTTTTTATGTTATAATAGTTTTTATTATCTCTTATTTTATACATATATGTTTGCATTTCTTTAACTTCTGAATACCAGAAAGTCGATCACATCATTTAAGAATTCACTGTTATTTCTCCTACACTACCTACACAAAATTATCAAGCTCCCACTACCATCCAAGACAAATTGTAGGTATTTAGTAAATGTATGATGTAAAATATCCTTAGAGAAACTTTGAAATCTCCATGCATCTCACACCAAAAAAATAGAGTTGTTTCCACAAAATTCACATTTTCCTGCTTCATAGCTGCAAATTACCAACTGCTTCATGCTTCCAAAAATTAATGGAGCTGATATTACCATGAAGTAACAGAAGAAAAAAGAGGAGAAAGGGGAGTAGGAAGATGACGGTAACAGGAATTGGAAAGTGCAAACCAAACAGGTGAAAACTGTGGTAATACTCAAGACAATGGCTAACCACCCGCAACCTCCTAGGCTTGCTTCCTGGGGTATGAGTTGTGAGAAAGGTAAAGAGTTGCCTTCACTATAAGCTCACCGTATAACTGAGGAACTGAAGAGATAGATAGCAGAGGAAAAAACACCACCACAACAATTTGAAGGAATTATATCAACACTAGAATTATGGCTGCGGTAGAATGGCATAGACACTTCTATCTGCAGAGGTCTGGGTCAGTTGCATTCTCTCTGCTTCAGTTTCTTGCTCAAAAACAATAGACTTCAAAATATTCACCTTTCAAAACTCTTGAGAGGATAAAATGGAAAATATCGAGGAAAAGAACAATCACAGGAGTTCTGTGCTGCTTTCTTTCTCCAGCTTCCTTCTATGTCAGGGGTACATTTTTCCATAAGGCACTGATTCCTCAAAAGCCACAGACTCTGTTTCTTGGCCCTTACCTTATGTTTTTATTGATGCACACATGCCAAGAGTATCTTCAGTCATTATCGCTAAAAAATATTAAAATGGATAAACACTCACCTGACATGCCACATTTTTGGAGGGCTGTGGGGGACTCTAATTTCTGTTTTCCTCTCAGTGAGACTCACTTATTCCTTGTCCCAAGAACCTTTCTGTGGGAGGCAAGAACTGCAGTAACTTCTGTCTGCATGTTGGCATGCTTGACTTTCAGCTTTTAGATCATTGATAAAAATCACGTTGTCTTTTCCCAGGAAGACTTTCTATTTTAACCTCCTCTCAAGAAAGTTCTCAGGGGCTCATTTCTAGCCTCTTCAAAATGTTCACTCTGCAAGGCGGCAAATTTTTCTTTAAAATATTTCCTAATATGCCATGTTGTCTGCTCAGCCCGGGATGTGATAACTCATTAAGAACTGCAGCTGGCAGTGCCACTGGGGGAAAACACAGCTACAGTCTCTGAATCCACGCAGAGAGAGCTCACAAGCCCATACCGGCAACTTTATCACTCTCCTGGACCTTAACAACCAATCCCCCCCCTCACCTTCCTAATCAAATGTGCTATTATTTGGCCACTGCAAGTACTTATATTTTATTAACCTACCTGGGAGTGTCTTGCAAGACTGCTAATACTGTAATCCATTTTTTTTTTAATTGTGTGCCCAAGAGCTTTGAGCAATGGAGAGATTTTTTTTCCCCATTTGCTAAAGCAAATAAAATCACAGTGGGCCAGATTCCCCTAATGTCTACTAAACTCGCTAGAAAAATCTTACCTGGGGAGCCCTAGATTTATAGCATCATATTTACCCAACATACTTTAAAGAATGATACTTTCCATCAGAGATACATGAATATTTTGTGTTCATCGGCACATCAATATATTTCATAAACTTGCGTTTAATAAGCCTTGGGGGTTTGCCATTCTAAGGACCATATTTTTTACATTGCTATTTACACTCACATATAAGGATGGATACACACACAGATAGTGCAGCTGCTGTGTTTAAAAAGACTTCCATCTCAGTAAGTGTCCTGTTTCATCATCAGCCGTGTAATACAAATCCAAGCTTTCCTTTGCTTTATGAAACTTACACACGTTAGAAATCATGCTTGGCATCAAGACATTTTTCCTCCCAAGATACTGCCTGCTGCTTAGAGTAGCGATTAGTAATGAGCGTAATAAACCAGGCTACAGTCGTGCAGGAGATGAGAATTAGCCAGGCTTGTTTTCTGTGGAAGCTGTTGTTTAAGAATAAGTTGTGGCCGGGCGCGGTGGCTCACGCCTGTAATCCCAGCACTTTGGGAGGCCGAGGCGGGCGGATCACGAGGTCAGGAGATCGAGACCATCCTGGCTAAAACGGTGAAACCCCGTCTCTACTAAAAATACAAAAAATTAGCCGGGCGTAGTGGCGGGCGCCTGTAGTCCCAGCTACTTGGGAGGCTGAGGCAGGAGAATGGCGTGAACCCGGGAGGCGGAGCTTGCAGTGAGCCGAGATCCCGCCACTGCACTCCAGCCTGGGCGACAGAGCGAGACTCCGTCTCAAAAAAAAAAAAAAAAAAAAAAAAGAATAAGTTGTTAGGTTTGTCTTAAAACCAGGAAAACATGGCTCCCACTCTGTTCTGCCCCCCTAGCTGGATGAGTGATGTTAAAGAGATTTAATTCACACCCCTTTACTTTTCTTGTCTATAGAATGGGATGACTGTCATCATCCCAGGTTTATTGTGAGGAACAGATGGCATGATAGATCTAAAAATATTTTCAAAGTACAAACTTCCTAATATGTATCTTTATGGATTATTTGAACATATATATATCATAATGCAAAAATATGTTTATTGTATCAAATTATATCAGTTTCTTTGTTCATACACAATGTTTTTGTTGCAACTATTTATTACTGTATAGTTTAAGTAGATGATGTTCAGCTTTTATTGTTGTGAAAAGAAACTAAAATGTAAAGATCCATCACAGACTGTCACCAATGCCTAGGTCTACCAGACAGGCTTGATTTCTTTCCTCTTCTGCTCAGAACATGTGATACCAAGTAAAAGACCAAATACCCCCCACTGCTCTGTGTAACCTGGATGGAGCTGCTGACTTTTCTGCTTTAAAAGGAAACAAACATAAAAACATAGCATCAGAGAAATGACAACTTCAGGTCACTCGGGACCCTGTTTATATTTTGCGGACTATAATGTTTCTTTCCCCAATCATTAGGAAAATGACATAGTGCAGTAAACCCAAAGGGAACCCCACTTATGACCAATGTACCACAAGCATCCATTTCTTTCTTACCAACTAAGGAAGAAAATACCATCATCTAACCCTATGACATGACAAAATTCTGTTCCACATTGCTAACTAACAAAAAAGCAGAAAGGAAAAATGTAGAACTCCTGTCTCCATAGTAGAAATAAGGATTGGTTTTGCTTCTTGCAGTGCTTCAGGGCAAGTTAATTATCATACATTATACCTCGAGTTTCATTAACCACTACTAGGTATGCTGAAAAGTTAACTTAGACCAGATAAATTTTTCTTAATAAGAGTAACTACAAAACAGAGTTTATAATTCTACAGATTTGCTCTTATAAGATACATTAGGTAAAATAAGTTCTTTATTTATCAAAACCAATAGTGTATGCAAACCAGAATTTTGTCACTAACAATTTGAGGGAGATATTCTGAGAGCCTTAGGGTGGCTGGAACAACCCAATGAGTCAAAAAAATCATTTAGTTCCTAAAAAAAAAAAAAAAAAATTGCCAGAGTGAATTGTTTAGGTCTTGGAGGAGAAGACTGTGAAAGAAAATACTTGAAAGTTAAATCTGAAAAAATTGAGGGAGGGGAATAGGTTTAGATAAAAATCTTGTAGTTTTAAGGCATAAAGTATGAAAAGAGAGCAAACAAGGAAAAACCTCAAAGTCATCATTTTATTCTAATGTTGACTTCCATTGAATTAATCTATTTATTAATTTGGAAATGAGTTACCTGTTTGCTCAAATCTCACATCTGGGTAGTGCCATGATTTTAGCAAAGTATTTAAATTTAATTGTTACAAAAAGTAGTTCATTTTTACCTGCATTCAGACTTAGTCTGAATCTTTGTGAAAAGTATATCTTCAATCTGATCAAGCTCTGAGGATAATGATCTCAATTTTCCTGGGAATAATGGAGTCCCCATATACTTAATAATTATGTAGAGACAAACAGTATAGCTAATATTTGTGGACTAAATTGCGTTTTACAAAACACCCCTCCTAACCATTACTTTATTTAATTGTGAAGCCTGTAAGAGAGGTACTTCACTGGCCATCAGAGAAATGCAAATCAAAACCACAATGAGATACCATCTTACACCAGTTAGAATGGCAATCATTAAAAGTCAGGAAACAACAGGTGCTGGAGAGGATGTGGAGAAATAGGAACACTTTTACACTGTTGGTGGGACTGTAAACTAGTTCAACCATTGTGGAAGTCAGTGTGGCGATTCCTCAGGGATCTAGAACTAGAAATACCATTTGACCCAGCCATCCCATTACTGGGTATATACCCAAAGGACTAGAAATCATGCTGCTATAAAGACACATGCACACGTATGTTTATTGCAGCACTATTCACAATAGCAAATACTTGGAACCAAGCCAAACGTCCAACAATGATAGACTGGATTAAGAAAATGTGGCCCATATACACCATGGAATACTATGCAGCCATAAAACATGATGAGTTCATGTCCTTTGTAGGGACATGGATGAAATTGGAAATCATCATTCTCAGTAAACTATTGCAAGAACAAAAAATCAAACACTGCATATTCTCACTCATAGGTGGGAATTGAACAATGAGAACACATGGACACAGGAAGGGGAACATCACACTCTGGGAACTGTTGTGGGGTAGGGGGAGGGGGGAGGGATAGCATTGGGAGATACACCTAATGCTAGATGACGAGTTAGTGGGTGCAGCGCACCAGCATGGCACATGTATACACATGTAACTAACCTGCACGTTGGGCACATGTACCCTAAAACTTAAAGTATAATAGTAAAAAAAAGAGAGGTACTTCAATCTCTATCCTATAGAGAAGGAATTTGAGGCTTAGAAATGCAAAAATGAGAAAAAGCATTCTCAGTCACATAGCTAATAAGAGAAAGAAATTAAATTTCTTGTCCACAGATTATACTATCCTTGCTATCCTTGTCCTTTTGAATACAAAGCAAATGTGGGGTCACAGGATGAAGGGGCAGGAGGAATAGCTGAATTATGCAGCACGTTAAACTTGCATTACCCCCATCTTTGCAAACTAAAATATTACCTCTTCTTCTCAATGCTTACTACTGTGTTATGCCACCTGTAATATCCTCAGATGGAAGTAAACTCGGCCTCCTCTAAATTCCCATGCACTTCACTAGTACTTTATTGGGCCTTTTATATCATCATTATTACAAACTACTTTTACATAGAAACAGCTAACATTTACCTAGCATTTCCTGTGGTCCAGAGTGTCCTACGTGCTTTACAGACTGTGGTAAGCTCAACAATGTCCCCTAAAGATATCTACATCCTAATGTCTGAAACCTGTGAATACCACCTTATGTAACAAAGGGACCTGGCAGCTATAATTAATGTAAGGATATTGAAATAGGGGGATTATCCTAGTTTATTCAGGAGAGCACTAAATGTAGTTATAGGTGTTCTTCTTACAAGAATGAGGCAAGAGGTGATTTCACAGAGAAAGACAGAGGCAATGCGAAGACTGAAGCAAGATGCTATGCTACTGGCTTTGAAGGTGGAGAAAAGATCAGAAGCTAAGGAATTGCAAGAAATGCAGTTCTAGGAGCTGAAAAGGCAATTGATTCTTCCTTGGAGCCTCCAGAGAGAGGCCCCAACACCTTGACTTCAGGTGATACATATTTGGACTTCAGGTGATACATATTTGGACTTACAACCTCCAGAACTATGAGAGAATGAAAAAAAAAAAACCGTATTAAGCCTTCCAGTCTATTATAATTTGTCATAGCAGCCACAGGACACTCATACATTGACATTAATTAATTTAATCCTCCTAGGATACAAACCCCAGATAATCTGCCTCCAGAATCAATGTGCTCAACCACAATACAATACAGACTTTTTGATAAATTATGGATTTTGTTCTATGATTATGTTAATTATTTTATCTTCCACACTTGCAATACTGTATTGAATCCTGTAGCAGTAACAGAATGTAACAAAAAA
Organism: Homo sapiens; assembly: GCF_000001405.40. NCBI lineage: Eukaryota > Metazoa > Chordata > Mammalia > Primates > Hominidae > Homo > Homo sapiens. The sequence goes on from NC_000002.12 coordinate 14,213,804, forward strand.
TCAGCAAAGGATCCTAAGTTGTAATTCACAAAAGGGTGGAAGAGAGGTAAACAAACAAATGGAAAAATATGGGACTGCTCTATAATTAGTCATACATATATGCTTTTTCTTAAAAATAAATGTATTCATTTATGCTTTTAGCAACATTTTTGACAAAGTATTTTTTCTGGTCTTCGATGAAATTAACACTACTATACATTGCTTCTTTGCTGGGAAATTATTTGGAAAATAAGAAGAACCTTAAAAATGTGTATCTCCCTTAACCCCAAATTGGGCTTATCATTTTTATCTTAAGTATGTAATTTAGAATAGCATAAAAACATTTTGCAAAAGGTGTTTATACCATAATTTTTTCAATATTGCAAAAAATAGCATTCAATAGTTAAACCATTCATTGGAATGTTTTACTGTGATTTAAAAAGATAAATATAAAAATGGCCAGAATATTTGCACATCAATTTATACAAAAATGAATAATACATATATGAAAATGTGCTCAAACTATGTATTGTTCTGAGAAACATGATAAAAATATAGAGTTCTATTTTTATTATATTTTCAAAGACTAAGAAACAGAGTATAATATCTGGTGTTTTTAAGACCATAGGAAATATGATACTCCATGTATTATAGATTGAAGAATAAATCGGTACAACATTTTTAGAGAGTAATTTGTCAGTACCAACCAACTAAAAAATAGCTGAAACTGCTGACCAGAAAATTCTTAAGTTAACTCTCATTAAAAAAACACTCAGAAGAGTAGACAAGAATGTCTCTTGCAGCCTTGGAGCATCAAAATATTGGAGAGAACTTAAATGCCCATTAGTACATCAATTATAATATAAATGTTGCATATTTATTCAACAGACTAAGCTGTTTTGCTTAGTAAAATTGAAGAATGTCCATTATATGTTATTGAGTCAAAAAGCAAATTACAAGCCAACATATTGAGTACGATCCTATATTTGTGCTCTCTCTCTATCCTAGCTACTGCCCCACCTATCTTTTTACCCATTCTTATCTGAGAATCTGGAAACATACACGAGGAATTAGAAAAGTTAAGAGGTGAAAGCTTTCACATTGTAATTCTGTACTTCATATTTTCACTTCCACATATGTAAATTTGTGATAAGAATAAAAGAAAGGAAAAAGCTATCACATTCTGATGAGAAATTTATAGTATATTGAAAGCTCATATTGTTAAGTTTAAATAGAGAAGAATGAAAAATTGCTAAGTATGTGTAGAAGAATACACAATTCTGTATTGTATTAAGCCTGAAACTATATAAAACTAACAAAGAAATCTATAAGCATGAAACAGTACAGAAGAATATACACCTGAATACTAAATGAGCTTATTTCTGGGATACGAGGGTTAGAAATAATGGGTATTTTTTCTTTCTGTATTTTCCAAATATTGCATAATGTGTCACCATAAATGACTTTTTATGATGTTAAAATGTATCTAAAATGGTATTTTTAAAGCATTTAATTTACAGGAACTGTTACATTTATTTTTCAGAAAAATTATACATGTATGACTAATTATAGAGTGGTTGCACATTTTTCCATTTGTTTGTTTACCTCTTTCCCCCCTTTTGTGAATTACACCTTGGGATCCTTTGCTGATTTTTCGATTACATTCTATTACTGCTACAGGATTCCCATTTTTGTAGTGTTCCTGGGCTTTTTGGATACTGGATCATCAAAAGAAAAGAGCAGTTGTTCTGATAAAACTTTATTTAAGAGATGGTCAAGCAAATGCTCTTTAGCGGCTACTTCTGCTTTTTCCACACAACATGCACAGATAATCTACGTTTTACATTAATGCAGTTGGTTTATTTAAGAGGGATTTAAGTAGCCCTCTTAAAATAGCCAGGTGTCTAAAATTACTTATTGGGAAAACAGAAAACATCAAAAGACTGTATACACGTGTCCAGACCTTCAGAATTACCAGCTCTAAGGAGAACGGGCCTCCCTCCTTAAACATCTTCAAAATGCTATTTTTTGTTTTTAAATGTTCAAAGAATACTTCATAAAGAGATATAGAAAGGAATGGATATGGCATGTCAGCAAAGGAATCAAGCCCTTTAATGGCCATTTCATCTAAGAAGCAGCAGCAATGGCAGAGAAAGCCATTTCCCTGAAGTCATGGGACAGCAAAGCTACAGCCACAGAGCATTGACTTGAATCAGCTTATGACTTTGAATCTAGCATATTAAGCCTAGGAATTACATATATAATTAAAGAACCAGTTATAAACTATATGAGTTGAAGTCCTGATATATAATCATACAATTACAAAGTGAAAAACACATCTCAAGGCCCACTTGACTTGGTTCCATAAAACACTTAACTTGTACAGTAACTTGGTTTGGCATTGTTGGGTTAAATCTGCCAAAGTAGTGAAAAATGTCAGAAGAAACGGGCAAAAAAAAAAATTAAAGTTAATAGCCACTACTTCACATGATAAATATGTCTATCATCTTATCATTAAATAAACTTTAAAACACATCATCATAAATGCAACTTCAGGAAAGTTGCTCCTAAAACCCCTTAGACTTGTAGTGTGTGGGGAAATATAAGTTTCATTTCAAGTTTCCAAAACTAAAAAAGGTTTTCTTATTTAATATGACTTTATGGTTTTCAAATGTCAAAAGGAAAACACTCATGAAATGATGAAAAGCTATAACAATTTGAATATTCAAATTAAAATTGTAACTATTACAAGAGCAAAATGGGTAAATGAAAACAAGTGTTTTAAGCCAGTATAAGCCACCAAATAAATATATACAAGTTGCAGGAATATCATTGTCTTAAAGCAACACTACTCTATGCCCTATGATCCCAATCCCAATCATTTGTGGCATAGTAATGGGAAATACTGGATATTTCTCTCTCAATATGAAAATTGATTCTACAATTTTTGCTTCATTCGCTCCATGACCTATCTACCAAAGCAAGAGCCAGCCACAAAATTTCAAAGATCTTTTAATTGTTGGAAATACATGAACACTCACTGATATGGTTTGGCTGTGTCCTCACCAAAATCTCACCTAGAATTGTAATAATCCCTATGTGTCAAGGGTGGGGCCAGATGGAGATAATTGAATCAGGGGGCAGTTTCCCCCATATTACTCTTGTGGTAGTGAATAAGACTCATGAGATCTGATAGTTTTATAAATGGGACTTCCCCTGCAAGAGCTTGCCTGCTGCCATGTAAGACATGACTTTGTTTCTCATTCACCTTCCACCATGATTATGAGGCCTCCCCAGCCATGTGGAACTGTGAGTCAATTAAACCTCTTTCCTTTATAAATTACCCAGTCTCAGGTATGTCTTCATTAGCAGTGTGAGAACAGACTAATACACTCACAAACATGTGCATGCAGTGAATCCAGTATAGAAAGTGCAAGGACACTTAATGATGGTTGACTTGAGTTTGAATTGAGCTTCCCCATGTTTTTTAACTTGTAAAATCATGTGCAAGACTACTGAATTCAGTGATTCAATTTTCCAACTGTAGAAAGTGAAGATTAGTAGTAAAAATTATTCAATATGACACCATTGGAGTTTCTAAATACTAAGTAAATAAGATATATTAGTGCCTGAAGAAGTGTACAGAACTATCTGAAAAATAAGCTATTACTATATACATAATTGTAGATTTCAGTTAAAAGTACTCCTCTTAAATTGGGGTTATTTATAATGAGAAATATGTTTTCCAGTTCCATTTATTTTCTTTCAAATACGGTTGACCCATGAACAATATGAGAGTTAGGGATGCTGAGTCTTCATGCAGTCAAAAATCTTGCATGTAATTTTTTACTCCCCCAAAACTTAACAATTAATAGCCTACCACTGGCTGGAAGACTTACTGATAATGTGAATAGTAAACACGTATTTTAATATTCTATGCTTTATATACTGTATTCTTAAAATAAAGTAAGCTAGAGAAAAGAAAATGTTATAGAAAAATGTTATAAGAAAAATTATAACGAGGTGAAAATATATTTACTATTCATTAAGTGGAAGTAGATCATTATAAAGGTCTTCATTCTCCTCCTGTTAATGTTGATTATCCTGAAGAGGAGGAGGAGGAGGAGTGGTTGGTCTCACTGTCTCAGGGGTGGCAGAGGCAGAAGAGGTAAAGGAGGTAGAGGAGGTGGAAGGGGAGGTAGGAGAGACAGGCATACTTGGTGTGACTTTTATTAAAAACAATCCAAGGATAAGTGGTCCTGCATGGTTCAAAACCATGTTGTTCAAAGGTCAATTGTATGTATAATTTACTTCCTCAACTTTTTTTTGATGAAACGCAAACTTAAAGTTGAAAGAGTAGTACAATGCTTATGTACCCCTATTAGTATTGTAAATTCACCAATTATTAATATTTTGCCAAATTTTCTTTCTATAGCCTCTGTATCTGTATGTATGTTAATATGTATGTATGTAAAATTTTGTAAAAGTTGCAGACATTATTCTACTGTACCCCTATATCTCCTAAAAATAAAAACATGCTCTTGCTTAACTATAATATTATATTCACAACCTTGAAATCTAACATTAATACAATGATATAGTTAAGAAATAATTTAGGCACAATTTTTTTATCTAGAATCTAATCAAGTCTTTTGGTGTTTTTTTTTTTTCTTTTTTTAATATAAAATACCCCTCTTATTTTTATACCATTGATATTTTTTAGAAAGACAGGCCATGGGCATTGTTAGTATCCCACAGTATATACTTGTCTGATGTTTCTTTATATTCAGATTAAACATAAGCAAGGATGTTTCTCAGGAGATGTTAACTTATTCCCAGAGTGTTTCATCAGGAGGAACACAGTTCCAGTTTTCATTATTAGTCATATAGTATTTTAGCCCTCAGTTGTAGTATCTGCTACATTTCCTTCACTTGAGCCCAGGAGTTCGAGGCTGTAATGAGCCATGATCACACCACTGCACTACAGGCTGGGTGACAGAGCAAGACCCTGTCTCAAATTAAGAAAAAAAAAAAAAAAAAAAGATAGTTTGAAGACCTGTATTATGACCAAGCAGCACAGAGGGTCATGGAGGCCAGGGTCGAAAGAGATGTCGTTTGTCTTCGTATAGACGGAAATAGGGGGAAATCAAAAGATATTTCTTCATTTTAATTGGCTTTATTTTTAAGGAAAGGTTATTGTACGAATGACTGTGTTTTCAAAAGACATAAAATATTTTAAGTAACCTTGGGGAGTTTTGTTACCATTTTAGATAACTCAAATTGACCACCTAAATAAGAACTCGTGAGAAGTATGCAAATGAATCTATAGGTATCCATAAATGGTAGCAATGGACTGCAAATGTTTCTGAAAATTCTCTCAGCTGAATATATACAGACTTATTATGTTTCAAACCTTTGCTCCTAAGCATTCATGTAGGCTGACTTTTCAATTTCAAGGGATTTCAGTGCAGTTCCCTGCAATTTATCATGTGAAAGGAATTAACAAGAAAGAAAATTGGAAGCACATTTACACTTGCCAAGACATTTCCCTTCAGATGGAGAAAAACTACTGAATGAATAATAAAAGAAAGATGATTTTCGAGCATCAAAAACAGAAAAATTACTTAAAGTCCCAGTTAGTAAAGCCAGGCTTCCCTTTCCTACAGAGCATGAATAAGCACCAGGTACACAATAAAAATCCGTTATGATCCAGCTCATAATCACACAGGTTCAGGCATGCTAAGGGCTGCCTTCAGTGCCCTGCCCCCTTTACAAAACACTCTGATTAGCTAGGTACTACCACATGTCTCTACACATAAGACAAATCCAAATAAAATTGATCCCCTATTTTCCCAATTGTCCAATGGAAAAATTTTCCAAAATAAGGCTTTTTTTTCAGCCAACGTGAATATTTAAACTTGTTAAGCATATTTGAAATCTTTCATGTTGTCATTGCCCAGGGCTAATTTTTGGTTCTCTCATCTGTATTCACTCCCTGGTGTTCTATTGCCCTTTCATGGTTTAATCATAGGATATCTATATTCCAATGGCTCCTAATTCAATTAGTAACTTTCCCCAACCGAACGTAGATATCTCATTTCTACTCAACCTTTTCTGTTGGATATCTGATAGTTCACACATGCACCAGAACAAACTCTTCTCTGTGCCATTCCTAGGTGTTCTTACTTGCTACGCCCAGCAATCTTATGCCTCCTCTTCCCCCATGTAGCTTTACACAACTCAGGTAATGACAATTCAGGAAGCAAGCAGAGGGGAAAAGGTTTTTGAAAGATAAAGAAGGGTCATAAATATAGTACTCAGTCAGAAGATAATCTTGGTTTATCAGACTGTATACTACCATGATAATGTTAAATTCCACCTCCCAAATGGCAGAGAACCTTTTGTCATTTCAATGTCTTTCAAGAGATTTATACCAAGACTCAGTGAACAAGAAATCCAGAGCTGAATCAAGAGACCCAGGGCAGGAGAAATTCATCATAGGCAGAGACCGCCTTATGCAAATTCCTGAACCCTGAGCAATAACAGGAAGTCAGAGAAATCATAGCAATTAGGATGAGGTACCAGTAACACTGGTAATCTGGCATGCAGCAGAATGTGACAAGAAAATAGATCAAGTGGGTCAAAATCAAGAATATTCAGAACAATATAGCAAAAGTGCAAGAAGATCCAGGCCAAATCATTCAAGAGGCCTTTCCCTATCCACTGTTAATTAGCCCATCAAAGAGAAATAAAAATTTAAAATTGGAATTACATTTATGTGATTCTAGTGTATGTACTAATTTGTTATATGAATCTCTGCTTAAATTAGTGCTTACACTACTGTTCTACAATGTGAGTTTAGCTCGTCTCATTTCATGTTTTGTTATTAATGAACAAAGACCTTCCATTTTATATAATCTCCTTTTAGATTATCCAAATACCATCACATGCTATATTCATATAACTATGATCACAGAACCAGTAAAAGATATTATACATAAGAGAGAACACAGACCAATGTCCTACATAAACATAAAGATTGCTTTCAATTATTTCTATGTTTCCCTATAATTTTGCAAATAGAAGAGTTCCTCCTAGCATTGCTAAGAAGAGATACATGTCTAGGATTATAATAATTAGTACTTGAACAGCACCCCAAAATTAGGATGAGATAGCCCAAGTAAGAAACACCCGTGAGTAAATTCAGCTATTATCATTGTCAAAACGAAACACTGGTTTTTGGAACCAAGAAGTTTGAATAATCCAATCCAGAGTTCTTAAAAACTACTGAGATTTTAGTTTTTAAAAAAATTGTTGGGGAAAGAAAGGATTAAAAAGCAAACAAGTCAATCCTTGGCTCAGTTTCTGCCTCATATTTATGCACCCATCTGCCATAGCCTAAGGTTAAAAAGTACTCATTTTAATCATGGAAAACATATCCATCACAAGTTAGCCTGAAATAAATCACTCCCCACAGGAAAAGCAATTTAAACATGGATGGCTCTACAACAAAGTAGAAGAAAAAAAGAAAGAGAGAGAGAAACAATAGTTTTGTTTTTTTTTTTTTAACTCCCCAATTTACTGAAAGTTAAATCTCAAATCAGCATTCTCCAAACTCAACTTCCCCAAATATTTGATGAACAAAGCAATTACATTTGATCTTCTCAAACAGATCTTTCAAATTTGGGGATTGACATAATATTGCAATGTCATATAGCTTGCAAGCAGCATTTGAATGTGGTAAGGAAGCCAAAGTATATATTAAACGCACTAAAATTTATTTCCTTCAGCCTAAGAATGTTTGTTAGTTTGTGAAATAGACCCACAGATAATGTAAATATTTTGACAGAAAATTGGTAGTGGTGACTACGCGTAAAACTATCTGAGGACAAATGTACTGTGACTTGGAACATAAGATACAATTTTCTTTGCATAAAGGCAAAATGAAGTGATGACAGAGTTCACAAAACCTATTCTCCTCTAGAAATTGCATTCCGACTTTTTCTTTCATTGGGCATCTTTCAAAAAGAAAAACTTGACACTCCAAGCAATCCCACTGGCATTGGTTTGCAAGTAATCACAATTCCATAATTTACTTTTTTCCTTTTTTATACTCTTTTTACCTTCAAGAGTATTAAAAAGACATTCCTGCTCCTCCTGTGTTTAAGAAGTTTACTGTAGGGGAAAAAAATTAAGGTAGCCTAAACTGTACATCCCACTTATCTCTTCCATTTCCTTTATGATTCTGCATGTTCTGCTTCCTTCTTTCCTATCAGATAAATCCAACTGAATAATGCCAAGCACAGTGCTAGTGTGAGAATACAATTTTGGATTAGATGTTATTTCTGCTAACCACTTACTTCCTAAGTAGTGTCTCCCACATACTTAATTATCCTTTTTGTCCTAGAATTTCCTAGAATTCCTCTTTACATGATTCACATTCTAATGAAACTAAACTATCCCCAAATTTCAAACCATACCCTACAAATAGAGGCGCCCATTTGTGCCTCTTCTTAAGCTATCCATTCTGTCTCAGGTGTCCTTAGTCTGAATTTTTCCATGTCCACATTTGATACATTTTACAAGTTCCAGCCTAAATATTAACCTACTTGCAAAGTTTTTCCTCATCTGTCACCTGGAAACAGTTTTACTTTCCTCTGAACTCTCAAAATGCTCTATGAATCTCTCAAGTTATGTGACACGGTGACTTTTGCATTCAAGTAATTTACGCGCATCTCTTCTCTCCCTATTTGGATGGCTGCAATTTGGGCAATCTTGTTGTCTTTCCTTTGAATCCATCCCTGCCTGTCTCCCAGTACCTAGGCCCATGGAGCATTCTGTGCAGGCAATATGATATCCATGATTCTTTGATTTAAAAAAATGATCATTTATACTCTCCCAAATAAATGCAAAAGGCTTAGAAAATCTACTATTGACTAGGCCCCACTTCATAAAGTAGACTATAAAAAATGGCACTAAAAAATTCCATTTAAAAAAACAAAGAAGTTTAACTTACAGAAGATACTTGACTTCTGTTTAACGTTTCAGAAAGAATGTTTCTCAAAAGAAAACTCAAGTATGAACTATTGACTAAGCTAATTTGCGGAAGAATAAAACAACAGGCCAATTGCAGTATAACGTCTTAAGCAACTCAGTTCATTTTGGATCTTGGTATTATCACTTTGATCTTGGTTTCAAGTTAATATAACTTGAAAACAGGCTGGGATAAGAAGACAGAGGCACATGTTCTCATTGATTCCGTCATATGCTGGCTCGATGTTAAAATGTGTGGCATATGGTGGAAAAGTTTGCAGCAAATTCATTCTTCTTGAAGTCTTTAGAAAACTTTTGCATATAAAAACAATAAAAATTAAAAATCCGTGCATTACCAAACAACTGATGTGCACTTCTTATGTCCTTTGGTACTACCTGGGAACAATAAAGGGTATATAAAAAGCACAGAGAGTTTGTACAGACATACCTTCATTTTATGGAGAACAAGGTTCTCACATTTGAGACTCTCTGCAGTGCAAAAGACTTGGATTTTTGAGCAAATGTTCAGATAAAGCCAAAGGATGCATATTTCAATAAGAAATCAGCCAAATGAGAAGTGGGCCCAGGAAAAAAGCATGTTTGAAACCCCAGACCTTTGGTTGATAATGCTATGTAATTTACAACGAACATGAATATTTAACACTGTACCAAGCACGAGATTAATTATTAGTTAACTGATTCCTCAATGCCTGCTCTAAAAACCCACACTAATGAGAAAATTAATAATCAAAGATTTCAGAATATCATAAAATGATTAAACTTTGAGGAATATTAGAATTTCTCTAGTCCAATTCTTTCATTTTGTGATTTTAGATAGAGGCACAGACATTGGAAATGTCTTGTGTAAAGTCACTAATTACTTCTAGTGATGGGGCCATTACTCATTTCTTACCAGGGTATGAAGAGTTTACTTGCCACTTTCTTAAAAGGGGTTGCTGATTCAGAGCTCTCCTTGGAGTGGGCCAGTTGGTGAGTGATCAACAAAGCATATACTTTCTCCAGAAGCAAAGCTGCTAATATGTTCTCTGCATCTGCTCCTGGAAACACAGCGTTTCTATATCCTCTCTTTGGTGAGCTGCAGCTATGAGTGATCCCTAATGAGCTTATAAGTAAATTATGTCTTTAATTTATGCATCAATATAATAGGATCTTCCCCTTGATTTTTAATGTAACGATCACTTTTCAGGAGATGTAGAAAGAGGCACAGAATGAGTCAGTGGCTTAAGGTTTTAATCTGTATTTTCTCATGATGCTACCTTAGGCAATTATTTAAATTCCCTGAGCCTTGTCTCCTCCCACCAATAACATCAGGGCACACTGATAACTATGAGATAATAAAACTTACATTTATTACATGCCTAACATGAATCATAAATTTAAATGCCTCCTTTATTAAATCACAGATACCTATAACACAGGTATGATTACTATCTTCATTTTCCACGTGAGAAAACAGTGGTTAGCAATTTTAGGGAGGCAGTATAATACAGTGGTGATGAATACAGGACTTGGATGCAGAATGGGTTTAAATTCTGGCTTCACTACCTTCTAGCTATGTGATCTTAAGGAAATGACTTAACTCTTTATGCAACTGTTATCTGACCTGTAAAATGGCAACTATATTAATATAAAATTCATTTGGTTGTTGTAGAGATTAAATGGAAAAATATACACCTCTTAAAACATCCCATGAAACACAGTAATTATCAATAAATGTAGACTAATTGCCATCATTGTAATATATTGTCCAAAATCATAGTACCACAAAGTGGCAGACGCCAAATCAGCCACTGCTCTAGTTTAATAGGAGGAGCCCTGGATTTTACCTATCATGCTGTGCTCCTTAAAGATCTTCATTGTTTCTTTCAGATTTTATGACCCTGATATATAGGCTATATTAGGGAGACATTGACCCTTTCAACTTTTATATAATATGTTAGACATTTAAAGCTATGTGAATTTACTAATTGATATCCTATTGCTTAAGAGTATGATTTTTTTGCTTTTTTTAGTTATAAAAACCACAAAAAATACATATATAATTTTTATTCACCCAAATCCCCAAAAAGGGGTAAACTGACAATGTGTGCATTCTGATATGATGGACTGAGAAGGACACAACATCACTTCTGTGGGATTCTGTATACGTCACCTAGATGCACTCTTGAGGAAGCAATCAGTCTAACCCCATTGAGGCACCATACAAAACAACTGGGCAATGCTCCGTAAGTGTTCCGAGCCATGAGAAACAGAGGGTACTGAGCAGCTGTTCTAGAATGAAGTCTTGTGAGACATGAAAAAATTCAATGTGTATTTCTGATTGGATTCTGATCCAGAGCAAGGACAATAATGATAAAATCTACTCTATTCTGCACAGATTGTCTCATGTCCTGCTGCTGATCCTGAATTCAATTCAGGAATACATGAATCAATGTTATTTTCCTTATTTGATATTTCCTGATTGAATATTTGGAGATTTAGAAACTGTAGGATTACATAAAACCTCCTTTAGGTAAATAACATGAGAACATGAAGGAAAAAGTCCCAGCAACCATCCTGCAGATAGAAGACCTGGGCTCCAAATGAAGATTGGGTCTGGCACAGTGACTCACACCTGAGCCACTAATCCCAGCACTTTGGGAGACTAAAGCTGGCAGATCACTTCAGGCCAGGAGTTCACCACCAGACTGGCCAAAACGGTGAAACCCCATCTCTACTAAAAATACAAAAATTAGCCAGGCATGGTGGTGCATGCCTGTAATCCCAACTACTCGGGAGGCTGAGGCATGAGAATCACTTGAACCCAGGATGGGGAGGTTACAGTGAGCCGAGATCACGCCATTGCACTCCAGCCCAGGCAATAGAATGAGACCCTGTATAAAAAAAAACAGGTAGTTGCTTATGGTAAGTGGCAATTCTGGATTCTGTCTCTCATCTCTCAGACCAGTGCTCTTTCAGCTACATCAGACTGTTGAAAACATTCATGCCTTTAAAATATTGCCTTAGTTTCCTACGACTGCTTTAATAAGTTAACAAAAGTGGGTGGCATAAAACAATACACATTTTTTATTTCACTTATAGTTTTGGCAGACAGAAGTTCAAAATCATTTTCACTGGGCTAAAGTACAGGTTGTTAGCAGGGCTGTGATCCGGCCAGAGACTCCAGGAAAGAATCCCATTCCCAGCCTTGTCCAACTTCTAGAGCAGCCACTCATGCAGTCCTTGCTTGATGATCCCTTCCTCCATATTCAAAGCCAACAGTTTTGCATCTTCTTTTTCCATCATAACTTCACCTTCCCTTAATCTGCCTTAAGATCTCCCCCTGTCTCACTCTTATAAGGACACTTGTGATTTCACTTAAGGCTGGCTCAGATGATCCAGGATATTTTTTCAATCTCAAAATCCTTCGTTTAATCACAGCTGTAAAGGCCACATTACCATACAGTGCAATGTTCACAGGATCGATGGATTAGGACCTGGATAACTTTGGGGGTCATTATTCAGCCTACCACAAGCATAGAAAGTCATCTCCATTTTTGCTAGATTTTATTTTTATTCATATCCTCAAGTAGGCCTTGATTCCTGTTCAAGCTGGAACTGAAATTAATAGTTGGGAAGCAGTTAATTCTTAATCATCTTTTTAGCAACAAAATACTTACTTATGCTCTCAGAGTGTGTGTCTCACATATTTTCTAAGCTTTTGGTAATCTTATGTGTCTCTCGGGTGAGCTTCTTCGAAGGTAGAAGCATATTATATATTTGGCATATCTCCAGTGTGGTAGGCTGAATATTGGTCCCTAAAGATATTCAGATCCCAATTCCTGGAACCTATGAATGTCACCTTCTATGTGAAAAGGAACTCTGTGGAGGTTATCGGAGGATTTGAGATGGGAAAATTATTCTGGATTATGTGAGTGGGCCCTAAATGCAGTCACATCGGACCTTAAAAGAGCGAGTAGAGGGAAAATTGACACAGAAGAGGAGAACACAATATGACAATAGGAACAGAGAGTGGAGTGAGTGACAGGGCCATAGCCAAGGAAAATCGACAGCCACTAGAGTCTAAGAAGGGCAACAGAAAACAAATTATTTCCTGGAGATTCCCAGGGGAGCACAGCTCTGCCAACACCTTGATTTAGCTATGTAAGACTTAGTTTGGATTTCTGGCCTCTAGAACTGCAAGAAAATAAATGTTTGTTATTTTAAGCCACGAATTTCGTGGTAATTTGTTACAACAGTAACAGGAAACCAATATATCTAGTAACCAGCTCAGTACCTGACACATAGAAGGAACTCAACGAACGCCTGATAAATGTTAGAAAGGAAAAAAAAATGGAAGAAAGGGAGGAAGAGGGGGTGGAAGGAAGGATTAAAGTTATAAGAAAAATCAACATTTTGGATATTAAATTAATATTTGCCCTGTTTTCCTCAACTGGGGAATGTTACTGACCTCCCAATTGAGAATACTTAAGACTTTTTTTTTTTTTCCTTCAGTTAAATGTCTTCTATCGAAGTCTCAGGAACTGTATTTTTTAAATCTACATTGGGACAGGAAGACTACATGACATGTTTCACCTTGAGAGGATTTTTGCAGTTGAGTTATAAACTTCTGCAAGAAGAAGTTATAGTAAAAGCCAGAGGGGTTGTTTTCTAAGGGAGAGCTTGCAGGCCTGTTCCTGTAATTGGAAAGTGGTTGGAATTTAGAGGTGAAGGTACATCCTCTGACTGCCTTAAGAGATTCATTCATTTCTGTCTGAAATTTTTAGGCTGAAAACCACATCACTACAGGCAAAGCCACTTTAAAAAATGTTCTAACGTCTATTAGCCCCAGGCAAACAATTATTACTTGTTAGATTTAGTGATACATGAAATATGAAAATCCAGATATATGGCTTCACAAATAATATATCCTGACCCATATTGAACTCCTTAATTTGTGATATTTAGTGAAAACCTGTAAATGACTTAAAAGGAGCTAGATCTGTCTATAATAAAACACTGGGTGGTTTACTCAAGTGTGAAATTAAACAAAACTGAAGATGGAAAGGTTGCAGCAATTAAGCTATTATCCTGTAGACATTTTTCTGTGAGTCCTAAGCTAGGATTCAATTAAAATGAAGATGTGTTTTTTTTTTGTCTGAAATTATCATTGACTTATTGAGTTTGACAATACTCAACAATGCCTTAATGTTTCCCCAAGTGAAAGAAATCACTTTGCTCTGTCATAGAGATAAATGAGGTAAATACATCAGGAGACCCAACTCAATAAGAATATTGATGAAGTTCTGCTTGGATGCATAGACCCTTCAGTCATGAGAGACTTGTCAGATATCCAAAGTGAGTTCTGTGTTATTGTTTACCAAAAAATGTCTAAAATGAATCTAACCCCCCTATGCTGTAATTTCCTCAATTATTTTTCAGGTTATGCTACATTTTTCATTGCGAGCTGCATTAAACCCGAGCTTGAATGAGAAAGGTTTTAAATAAATAAAGTAAAAACAAAATAACTATCCAGCTGAATCCAGCTCTGTATTTGCTGACTTTTTACTCAAATAATATTTGTCATTTAGATTTTAAAACTAGGCTAATGAGTTATATGTAAAGTATTTCCCCTCATTTTTCAGGAAAATATTTTATACATTTTTCTTTACACATATGTAATTTTACACAGTATTCAATTACAGAACCGTATAATACACACTGTTTACTTAATGAGGCTAGCATTTATTTTGCTTTTTAATTGCCTGCTTCCTTCCTCTTTCCTTCATCTCTTCACCCTTATCACGACCCTTCTAGGTAAACCATGTTAACATCTTCCATACTTGTCTCTATACTTAGGTGTATCCAAAAATGCATTATGTATATATGCATACGTGGACAAACACATAAACCTAAATTTTAAAATATGTGCACATATTTGAATCATGACTTACAAAAATTAAAACATGTCATACACATTTTTCTTCACCTTGTTTTCTCAATACCTGATAAACATTCCTTCCAATAAACAGCTATAATTCCAATCCATTCTTTCTAATGGCTTTTTTTTTTCAATTTTTATTTTAGGTTCAAGGAGTACATATGCAGGTTTGCTACATGGGTAAACTGCCTGTCATGGGAGTTTTGTGTACAGATTATTTCATCACCCAGGTAATGAACATAGTATCAGATAGGTAGTTTTTCAGTTCTCACTCTCCTCCTACCCTCCACCCTCCAGTAGGCCCGACGTCTACTGTTCCTTTCTTTTTGTCCAAGTGTTCTCAATGTTTAACTCCTGCTTAGCAGTGAGAACATGCAGTATTTGGTTTTCTGTTCCTGTGTTAATTGACTTAGGATAATGGCCTCTGGCTCTATCCATGTCCCTGCAAAGGACATGCTTTTGTTCTTTTTTTATGGCTGCATAGTATTGCATGGTGTATAAGTACCACATTTTCCTTATCCAGTCCACCATTGATCAGCATCAAGGTTGATCCCATGTCTTTGCTGTCTTTGCTACTGTGAATAGTGTCGCAATGAATATATGTGTGTTCTTTGAGGAAGTTCTTTGAAAGATCTCCAAACTTCTTTACACTGTGGCTAAATTAATGTACATTCCTACTAGCAGTGTATCAGTTTTCCCTTTTCTTCAGGACCTCACCAGAATGTTATTTTTGACTTTTCAGTAATAGCCATTCTGACTGGTATGAGATGGTATCTCACTGTGGTTTTGACTTGCATTTCTCTAAATATTTGTGATGATAAGCATTTTTTTCTCATATGTTTTTTGGCCACATATGTCTTCCTTTGAGAAGTGTCTGTTCGTCTTCTTTGCACATTTTTGGATAGGGTTGTTCACTCCTTGTTTGTTAATTTGTTGAAGTTCTTTATATATTCTTCATATTAGACCTTTGTGGGATGCAAAATTTGCAAATATTTTCTCCCATTCTGTAGATTATCTGTTTACTCAATTTTTGTTGTTGTGCAGAAGCTCTTTAGTTTAATTAGGTCCCATTTGTCAATTTTTGTTTTTGTTGCAAAGGCTTTTGAAAGCTTTGTCATAAAATCTTTGTCAGGGCCTCTGTCCAAGGTGATATTTCCTAGGTTTCCTTTTAGAGTTTTTACAGTTTGAGGTTTTCCATTTAGGTCTTTAATCTATCTTGAGTTGATTTTTATAAATGGTGAAAGGAAAGAATCTAATTTCAATCTTCTGCATATGATTAGCCAGTTATCCCAGCATCATTTGTTGAATATGGAGTCTTTTACCTGTTGCTTGTTTTTGTCAGTTTTGTCAAAGATCAGATGGTTGTAGGTTTATGGCTTTCTTTCTGGGATCTCTAACCTGTTGTATTAGTCTATGTGTCTGTTTTTGTACCAGTACTATGCTGTTTTGGTTACTGTAGCCCTGTAATGTATTTTAAAGTTAGGTATCATGAGGCCTTCATCTTTGTTTCATTTTTTTTTCCTTAGGATTGCTTTAGCTATTCAAGCTTTTTTTTGGTTCTATATGACATTTGAAATAGTTTATTCTAATTCTGTGAAAAATGTAATTGGTAGTTTGATAGAAATAGCATTGAATCTGTGAAATTGCTTTGGGCAGTATGGCCATTTAAAAAATACTGATTCTTTCTATCGAAGAGCATGGAATGTTTTTCCATTTCTTTATGCCATCTCTGATTTCTTTCAGCAGAGTTTTATAATTCTTATTCTAGAGATGTTTCATCTCCCTGGTGAGCCATATTCCTAGGTATTTTTTGTATGTGGCTATAGTGAATGGGATTTCATTTTTGATTTTGCTGTCAGCTTGGATGTTATTGGTGTATAGAAATGCTACTGATTTTTGTACATTGATTTTATATTTTGAAACTTTGCTGAAGTTATTAGGCCTAGGAGCCTTTTTGCAGAGACTATGAGGTTTTCTAGGTGTGAAATTATATCATTTGTGAAGATAAATAGTTTGATGTCTGTTATGGTTTGGCTGTGTCCCTAGTCCAATCTCATTTTGAACTGTAGCTCCCATAATCCCCATGTGTCATGGTAGGGACTTGGTAGGAGGTAACTGAATCACGGGGATGGGTTTTTCTCATGCTGTTCTCTTGATAATGAATAAGTCTCATGAGATCTGATGGTTTTATGACGGGGTTGTATCTAATGGTTGCATTCATGAACATCCATGGTATAGATGTACCATAATTTGAATAACTACTTTATCATGTTTGGGTATTTTTCTAATATCTAATGCAAGAAAATTATTTATTCATAGGTCTCTACTAGTAACCCTTTGGTTTCTATAACATACATTTCTAGATATAAAGTATTGCTTGATGAAAAAGTGTATGTACATTAAATTTTAATACCCTCTTTATCATGGCTTAAAAATTAAAGATATAACAATGCATATTCACTCTAGGAGTTTTTAGAGTACTATTTTCTCTGCATCCCCAACAAAAATAAGTATTGTCATTTTTGCATGTGTTTCTATTTTGATATATATCAGTGATATCTTTTAATTAGCTTAACTTGTGCTATACTACTACATAACTATACTTCCACCTGATATTGTTACATTTCTGAAAATCATCATTCTTTAGTGAATTTAGAATAAGACAAAACAATTTATAAAGAGGAAAATGAAAGCAACTCCTATGCAGTAGATGTACGCCTCTGGATGTGAGTGGGAGGGGCACTATTCTCCTTTGGTTTGGGGGAAGCCCAGTGTCTTTCTGAATCCAAAGGAGACCTATGTAATATGGGAACAGGAATCATCTATGAGCTTTGTACTACCTAATCTTGGCAGTTCATTGTCTTTCTGAATCCAAAGGAGACCTATGCAATATGGGAACAGGAATCATCTATGAGCTTTGTACTACCTAATCTTGGCAGTTCATTGTTTATTCAATGTTTGCACATCCCTGGGAATTTGGAACTCATTTTATTTGAGTGAGTCCAGCTGGAGCAACTCTACTATTAGAAATCCATGTATCTGAAGAGTCTACTCCTTACTTCTACTTGTTGATCTTCAATTGTTTTCTTAACAAAATAGATGAAAAAAATCTAATCTCTCTTCAGTAGGAGTTCATTTAAACATAGTATTTGATGACACTTAGCACTTATTAAGAATTGTTTTCTTCTCTATGTATCTTCATGTATTTCAACCATTCCTCAGAAAAAAAAATAAAGTCTCACCACTGGCACTTCCATTTTCTATTACAGCTCTCTTCCTTCAGCAAATATTTAACTTATTACAAGATACTAAGAGAAAAAAACAACAACAAAATGAAAACGTCATATGATTCCATTCAAAGAAATACTTAAAATAGTATTTTACCAATTGTGTTTCTAGATATGAGGAACTAGGAAACAGTTTCCATGCCTGTCACAAATGTGAATTCTCCCACTAGAGAAAGCAGAAATTGCAGAAACTGAGCCCAAGAATCTGAAAGCATTTGAAAACCGCTTCCCCAGGTAATTATTCACAATCTCAGCATAGAGCTAGTGCCTTTAAGGCCTTTATCTTGTTCTTACCACCTGGATTGATTTAGGATGTCAGTCAGTTGTCAGAAACAAAGGATAGGAAATGCGCTAATTACCTATTAAACACCTCCAATTGGCTCGTAAGAATAACTTTCTTTTCTTCAGTCTGAGAAGCATGCATTTGGCCTCCCTTGCAGGAACCTCAATCCCTTGAGTGCTTTATTCATGCTGTGAGACTGTAGTTGAAATAAAGGTTTCCCTGAGCCTTAATTGACTTGCTCCCACTTTTCTCTTGTAACTGTCTTTCTTTCTACAAATTCGCTTCTTAAAGATGTCACATTTTTCTTTAAGAAAAGTTGACATTCAGTAACCAAACTCTTTGGAGAGCAAACCAAATCATAATGGCTTTTTCATAAAAAGGAAAGCCAAGTTGTTTATTTAAAAGAGAATGGATGAATCTCAATTTGAATATGAAGACATGTAAAAATGTCTTCATATTCATGTTTTCATTACCTATAGGCTATGGTATTAGAAGAACTTGAGTAAAGATCTTGTTCAGTGTCCTTTCAGCTTTGATTCTTTGGAATATTAAGGGTTTAGATATCTTAAAGCCCCGTATTGACTTATCTATGCTCCCTAGGTGCCCCAACGATCATATCTTAGCTAACATTGGAAAGCTTCTCAGAAATTCAACATGATATTGAGGCTGTAGTGGAGGTCATGCAAAACAGACAAGGAAACCAGAGAATCAAGTGGTTTCAAGAAAAACATTTACCTACAGCCTTGTCTGTACTTGGAGAGGACTTTGAGTTCAGAGCTGGAGAACTTGGGTTCCAGTGGTACAACCAAGTCCCCTAGGTATATAGACAAGTGATGTGTCCTTTCCAAATTCCTACTTACTTGTCTAAAAAATGCAATAATAATTATTTCCCACCAAAAGTTATTGCTATGGTGAAAGAAGTATCATAAAGTAAAATGGTAACTTATTTTTCACTGAAATCTGGACCTCAAGGGCCAAAATCTACCCACCTACACTAACCCAGGTATGTAGACTGATGGTCTGTATAATCTCATTATATAAACTTACCTAGGCAATATTTAAAACACTATGAGAAATAGTAAAAACTATAAATCTGGGTTGATCCTATATTTAGTTAACCTTTAACAACTGGTTAAGTGAGGTTGAAAGGGTTTTGCAGAAGCAGATCCTGAGATGAGGGTTTATGTGCAAGTGATTCTTAACGAAGTACTCCCTGGAGAATCACGTGAGGATGTGGGAGGAGGAGTGCAGGGAATGGGAGAAGTCCAGCCAGGTTGGGGCTTTAGGTGCAGTCGCAGCAACAACCTCAGAAACAGTAGAATATAACTTACACCTCTGGAATTTGTTCACCCTGAAGGTAAGGCAAATTATTTTTCATACCTCTGTATTAGCTTGTCCTTGGGTAAAGGCTAGGGGTGCCTAATGAAGATGTATAAACCCTCTGGCACCTTGGCTGTCTGTGAATAAGGGTGAATGAAGCAGGAGGCTCAAGGGATCCAAAAATAGTCCCCTGAAGAAAGTCACTGGTACAAGCCAGTAGAGGCAAAGCACAGAGAAGGTGAGGGAACTGGCATACAGAAGAATAAAAGGTGCATGAAGGGATCTGGGGAGAGTACCAACAGTAACACCTTCATTTGCCAATGCCAGTGCTGAGGCTCAGCAATAGTAAGAAGCATGCCCAAGATCACACAGCATATCAACGGCAAACTTGATTTCCCAACCCAAAACTCCCGGCTCAGTATCCCTTTCACATCGCCAGAATGCTGGCAGGTCTTTTCTAAGTCCTGATATTATTGTGCACATTCTTTATCCTAAACTGATTTTTTATTCATGTCAGAGAAAATTCCCCACCCCCATACAAATTGATATGTACCCACCACAGCAAGAGTCAATTATTTGTCAGACTATAAATAACTTAGGAAGCAGTTGCTGATAACAAATCCCTTGCAAACACTGCAGTGAGTGAAAATGCTGTCCTTATTTCCATAAGGAAATGATAAAGGGAATGAGGAGTGAGACACACTCCCTCAAATGTAAGAATTGTAGAGAAATCAGTTTTTCTGGGATGTTTGCAAGATTTCATATGTATTGGGCATTTCCATTAATACAGGACAAAACATTTAATGAAAAATAAGAATAAAAATAAGAAAGGACTTCCTGTCGTGCCAAACCCTGTTGACTCCAGTGGGGATGGCACCATGTTCAAGAGGCCAAGGAAGAGCCCTGGAGCCAGTGAATGTGACATGGGGTTTTATTGGGGGCTTACGTAGAGGGGAGAGAGTCCAGCAGTGGCAGGCTGGACAGGAGAACCATAACCCTTATAAAAGCCGTGCAGTTTATATAGCATCTTCACTTAACATCCTCCCCCTAAGAACCTCCACCTGACAACCTTCATTTAACCCACAACAAAGGGTCTTGATCCCCTTTACAGACCACAGTCCATGGGAATGGCTAGGGGCTCAGATGTTCCTCATAGATAGGGAATAAATCTCTGGGTTGTCTACTCTTGGATTCTCTCGCTCGGAACTCTGAACACACATTCAAGGGCATCTGCCATACAGAGTAGTTCTCAAGGTGAGCTCAAGTCACGTTATCACTTTGAGATGTGTTTACCACACAATCCCTACCATGATGAATGTGAACAAATTGCCTAATGATCTTGCTGCTTGGAGAAGGCAAATCTTGTTGCTTCATATTCAGAAAAGAATGCAACACACCCATCAACACAGAAGTGAAAAATACAGGGTTTCCTCTTTTATGATATCACCAAGAAATCAGTGACCAACACTGGTCTGAAACGAGGAAAAGCAAATTGTCAAAGGCTTACAGGATTTGTTAAGATGCCCATGAGAATCCACATGAAAGCGACCACTGCAACGTGGCTGTGGGAAAGCTGCCTTCTGCCGGATGCCTGCTTTAACAGCTGCTTCCTTCTGACATGGCCAGCAAATGTTTGGGCTCTTCTAGGTTCAACAAAATGGTAATTGGCTAACCAGAAATAAGAAATGATCATCATTTTATATTTTGGAATTTTATCCCCAGATATTCACAGAAGAATCACAATTAAAAGAAACCCACTTGAAAAGCATGGGCCATTTTCCAGTAATGTGCTGGCACAACCATTTTATTCTACCCTTATTTTGCCTTCACTTTCCTTTGTCCAGTGATGTTCCAAAAATAGAAGAGAATGACAAATAGTCATCCTGAGAGATTCAAAAGGTTACTACATCAAAGAGAAATTTGTTACAGTTTATTTCACTCCAAAAGGCAGCAGAATCAATAATGTAGATATTAAAGGATTCTATGCTACATGGCTTATATATCTGATA
Source organism: Homo sapiens (assembly GCF_000001405.40). Taxonomy (NCBI): domain Eukaryota; kingdom Metazoa; phylum Chordata; class Mammalia; order Primates; family Hominidae; genus Homo; species Homo sapiens. Next base: position 14,235,656 of record NC_000002.12, read on the forward strand.
TGGTTTGGCTCTGTTTCTGCACCCCAATCTCATGTTGAACTGTCATCCCCCAGTGTTGGAGGTGGAGCCCGGTGGGAAGTGATTGTATCATGGGGGTTATGTCTAAGAGTTTAGCACCATCCTCCTAGTGATGTCTTGTGACAGAGTTCTCATGAGATCTGGTTGTTTAAAAATGTGTAGCACTTCCCCTTTGCTCTCTCTCTCTCTCTCCTGCTCCACCATGGTTAGACTTACCAGCTTCCCCTTTGCCTTCTGCCATGATTATACGTTTCCTGAGGCCTCCCAGCCATGCCTCCTGTACAGATGGAGGAACTGTGAGTCAATTAAACCTCTTTTCTTCATGAATTACCTAGTGTCAGGTAGTTCTCTATAGCAATGTGAGGACTACCTAATACAACATCGTTACTCAATAATTCTGCAAATTTTGTGTCTATTTATATAACAGGTATAAAAAATACAACTTGTAGAGATTACAACCAAAATTTCTTACACATTACCAGCCCAAATCCCAACATCCTAATAACCCCCACAACCCTTCACACACATACACACCCGGGTCAGGAGACCATGTACCTGCTGTGAGATGACCTTCCTAAAAAGAGACTGATAGAAAGAAGTACAAAAGGAGACTGCAGAAGAACAGAAAAAGTGTCTCCAAAACAGATTTCAGGTGAAAAATAGGGACATTATTGTCTGTTTCTGAGCAGGGAGGCTCCTTAAGGAGGAAATGGGGAGAGAAAGGAGGATGTAGCTATCAGGTAGGAAGCAACTAGGTAAGCATCCTCACAGCCTTCCCCTCAGAGGCTATCTGGTCATACCTTAGCATATATAAAATTGATAAAGTATTTTAAATGTGTTACATCACTGCTCTGAAACAAACAGGGCAAGGGAAACAAACAGGAGAGCAAGTTTTCCTGATTTTTCCTGACTATTCATTCAAAAATATTGTTGTACTGGGTGACATTCCTTTCTGATTCTACCTCAAATCAAGAGTTTGTTAGAAAAGCTAATCTAAGCTAAATTTCTCTAGCATAACACACGTCTTAATAGTAAAACACCCTAGGGATTTTAAGCAGGAAGAATAGCCCACGGTGGCACTGAATTCAAACATTAAAGCTTTCCTTAAATTTATGTGCTTTCTTATAGATTCTTGTGAACTCTCTTAGTCATTGCCTAAATTCAGCCTCAAAATATGTCTGTGGAGTAATGAAGATTATTACTTTGTTCCAAAAAAGGAAAAACTGGAGCTTAAAGATGTAAAAGGGGAAACTTGTAACATTCAAAGTTGAACAAAGGTGGGAACAGTGAATGCCTTATTTAAGAAAAAATGCAAATAGACTAAGGGGAGAGGGATGGCTCCTCCCAGTGCTCTGGTTGGTGACCATTTAGTCTAACATTTTAGTCACAAGGTGAGAATTCATTTGGGTGTCATATGTATAACACCATAATTTGTCAACCCCTGAGTGCCTGTCTCTACTAAGTTACTTTATGTGTTATGATAATGATGAGAAATAGCAGTGCTCTCTAATAATATTGCACTTATTTAACAAGTTCCAGATGGGCAATTTTGAGTAAAAACTCTTATATATCTTAGACTATTTATCAATTGCTTCAAGAGAATGGCATATTTAAAGCTAGGGTGTTCACTTAGATTTCCTTTAAGAATTTCCAAGTTAATTATCCTTGTATAAGTGAGATTAGTGAAAATATTGGCTTTGCTCTTAATACTCATTGATGCTGTATAACAAATAAAATATATGAAATTATTGAAAAACGAATGAAAATTAGCATTAATGACAATTATATTTAAAAAATATTTCATTAGAGCAAAATATATGAAGATATATAAAGATCTAACTTTTATTTAAATGTGCTTTCATCATTGCTTGAATAAATGAAGCAATATCCTGCTTCATTTATTCCTGGGATTTTCCTCAACATAAAGAAGCATGATACTTTTGAACACATCTTGAATTTTATCATAGAATGAGGTATATTGCAAGACAACCTCTGGAACATAGGTCAAGGAGCTTCCTAAGATGAACTAGTTACCAAAACCACTCTCCTATAATAACAATATTTTTAAATTCCTTCTTGTTCATTGTTTATATAGCTTCATTTTTATTACTGGCATATGTCAAGGGAAATGAAGTGGAAATTGATAGCAATAAGCACCTATATAAGCAGAGAAGAAAGTTCTACAATGAATAAACTTAACTTCTGCTTTCAGAAACTGAATAAAGAAAAGCAAACTAAACACAAAGTAAGCAAGATAAGAAAAGAATAAAGATCAAAACAAAAATAAAGAAAAAATCAAAAACAGGAAAAAAAACAGAAAAATAAATAAAACCAAAAGCTGAATTTTTAAGACCAATAAATTGATAAACCTGTAACCAGATTGATCAGGAACAAAAGAGGGAAGAAAGACACAAGTTTCCAATAATTGATATAAGAAAGATGACATCATTATTGATTCTAAATATATGAAAAGAATAATAAAGTAATATTGTAAACAAAGTAATGCCAATGAATTTGATAATTAAGATAAAATGGAAAAATTCCTTGAAAGATACAAAGGATCAAAGCTCATTCGAGAAAAAACAGTTAACCCTAGTAGCTCTAGGCCTATTAAAGAAATTGAATTTGTAGCTTAAAACCTTTTAACAAAGGTAACTCTGGGCTCAAATGGTGTGACTGGTGAATTCTACCAAACAGGAAAAAGCACTATTGATTATAGATGTAAGAGACAAGGAAATAGTCTCTATGACTGTTACAAATGCACAAACTCTTCCAGGAAATAGAAGCAAAAGGAATACTTCACAATGAATTCTGAGGCCAGTGTTAACTTAATAACAAAAGCAGACAAATACATTGTAAGAAAATAAAACTACACATCAATATCCCTTGTAATCATAAATATAAAATCTTTAAAAAAATTTAGAATTAAAACAAAATTATTTTTAAGGTATATGATATGGTTTGGGTCTGTGTTCCCACCCAAATCTTATGTGGAATTGTAATCTCCAATGCTGGAGGAGGGGCCTGGTGGGAGATGATTGAATCATGGGGACAGATTTCCCCCTTGCTACTCCTATGGTAGAATTCTCACAAGATCTGGTATTTTAAAACCATGTAGCAACTCCTGCTTCACTCTTTTCCTCCTGCTCTGACCATGTAGGATGTGCCAGCTTCCCCTTTGCCTTCCACCATAATTGTAAGTTTCCTGAGGCTTCCTCAGTCATACGTCCTGTACAGCCTATGGAACCATGAGCCAACTGAATCTCTTTTTTTTTTTATTTTTTTTAAATTTTATTATTATTATACTTTAAGTTTTAGGTTACATGTGCACAACTTGCAGGTTTCTTACATATGTATACATGTGCCATGTTGGTGTGCTGTACCCATTAACTTGTCATTTAGCATTAGGTATATCTCCAGTGCTATCCCTCTCCCCTCGGACACACGAAGGGGAACATCACACACCATAAATCTCTTTTCTTTATAAATTTCCCAGTCTTAGTTCTTTATAGCAATGTGAGAACGGACTAATCCAGCATATCATAACCAATTTGGGTTTATCTCAGGGATGCAGACTTGATTTAACGTAGTCAACCAATGTATTCACCAAATCAATAAACAAAAAGTAGAAAAATATAAATATGATCTTCTCAATAGGTACAGATAAAGCAATTGTCAAAACTGAATATCCATTCCTTATAAAAAAAGCTCAGAAAACTAGAAAACTAGGAAGGACATGAAAAAAATCTATAGCTAAACACCATACTAATGTTGAATGGCTGAATGCTTTTCCTCTAAGGGCAGGTATGAGACAAACATGTTTGCTCTCACTGTTTCGAAGCCAATGAAACAGGGCAAAATAATAATAATAATAATAATAATAACAATAAATAAATAAAACATCCAAGCTGAAAAGAAATAAAACTGCTTTTATTCACTGTTTCTTAAAAATTGAAGCATACACCTATCATATATTCCACCCATCTCGCTACTAGGAATTTACTCAAGACAAATGAAAGCGTATGTTTATACAAAAGCTTGTATACAAGTGTCACATAGCACTTTAATTTGTAGTAGCCCCAAACTGGAAAAGACTCAAATTTCTATCAACAGATGAATGGTTTAAAATATCACGTGATGCACATAAAAACATAGGTGAATCTCAAAATAATTATGCTGAGTGAAAGAACATAGACCATAAACATTGCATAAAATATGATTCCATTTTTATAAAATTCTAGAAAATAAAAGCTGATCTATAGTGCCAGAAGGTAGATTAACTGTTACTAAAAAGTACCAGGTACTGGTGAGGGGGAGGAGTTCAAAGGGACAAGAGGAAATTTTGGGGGCGTCATTTATATGCTCACTATCTTGATTGTGGTGATAATTTCACAGACTTATATATTTGTCAAAACTAATCAAATTGTACACTAAATGTATGTAGTTCATTGTATGTCAGTTATACCGCAGTAAAGCTACTCATATTTGTTTCTGCTAATCAAAAAGTTGAAATCAAGGGAGAGGGAAAGATGAACCATAGGCATAAACAGAGGAATATAACAGCACATGCCTTGACAATTCATGATTATTCTCTCCTCCAGATCAAAATAAGAGGTCTTTTTAGGTAAATGAACCTATTTTTTATATTTTAAGGAAAGTTATATATTAGCTTGCAATGTTATATACTAGCTTAATATAATATTACAAATAATGAATATCCCTGTGATTGGACTCTTAGAACATTAGTTCATTTAGAAAACAGCACTCAGGCCGGACGCAGTGGCTCACGCCTGTAATCCCAGCACTTTGGGAGGCCGAGGTGGGCAGATCACGAGGTCAGAAGATCGAGACCATCCTGGCTAACATGGTGAATGAAACCCGGTCTCTACTAAAAATACAAAAATTACCCAGGCGTCGTGGCTGCCTGTAGTCCCAGCTACTCGGGAGGCTAAGGCAGGAGAATGGCATGAACCCTCGAGGCGGAGCTTGCAGTGAGCCGAGATCACGCCACTCCACTCCAGCCTGGGCAACAGAGCGAGACTCTGTCTCTAAAACAAACAAACAAACAAAAAAGCACTCAAAGAGTTGATTGTTATCAACAAGAACAACATGCAGTTAATTTTGCAATACACTGAAGCGCAAATAGGCTTTTTAAAGAATACAAAGAAGTTAAAATTCACTGACTAGATGTCTTTAAGTTACGACATTTTTCACAATATTCTAGCAGGAAAAATTATATTACCCTCTGGCATGAAAACGTGGTTTCTTAAGAATTTTAGACCTGACCTGAAATGTCAAGGTTACTCTCCAGATCAAATGATTTTCTGAATGATGGTCTCAAATGAGAGTGGCAATGGCCAAAACATCCTTTTATTTGTTTAAAATGCAAGCTAAGCATTCCAGAACCCGCTGCAATCTCTCCACCAGTTCTCTCACCTTAGTACATACATTGCACTGATTCTTACTCTCAACTCTTCACCACTGTGTATAGTCACAGGACTTTGGAATTGAAAGGGATCACGGGAATCAACTTGCTCATATCTTTTATTATTTTTTTAAGAAAAGAGATCAGATAGTCAGAAAAGAAAAGCGAGTGCCTCAAGGTAAATGGTTCAGTTGGAAGCAGGTTAAAATATATAATTTAGATCTCTTTATTCTCAGTCCAAAACTTTTCTTGCACCACTGGATTTCTTAAAATCCTCAACCCCTATCACACCTACACATGTGTGCATGCGTGTGCACACACACACACACACACACACACACACACACACACTGAGATACTAACATTTTCAGGATAGAAATCTTGATCTGAAAATATCATTATTTCATACCCAGTAATTTCATTTGACAGAACCCCCACTATTTTGTTTTTCTTCTGCAATTGATTCCAAGATACATTAAGCTCAGGTCTTGAATAGAGCCAGCTTAATTTGAGAATTAATGTTCCTGTCATCACCAATATGCTTCTTTGCAGTTTTGTTCTCTATATGGGAATACATATCTGACAATTATCATGTCTGATATCTTACTTTAGGTATATGTGGCCCAGCCTGAAGTGGAAACACCTGTGAAAGCATGGACAATGTTGGCAAGTCCTGGTGCATCTCCTCTATTTGATTTAGCTGAACTGAGACATATATGCAAGGTGATTAGAGTCTTACGATTACTCTCAGTGTGACAACAATTTTTAAAAATCACACCTTCATAAGATCTGTGAAATTTCACTGAAGACCACAGCCAAGATACCATCTCATCAATAAAATTCTATTTCTGAAATTTAATTTATTTTTTAAACCCTCTTTTATACGAGAGATGAAACAAATATGAGAAAGTTGTCATTGGCTTTAACCTAATACCTTTACACCAAGCTAAATTGCCTATAGTCTCTGGTGGTTGCTGCCCAAGAGATCCAGCCTTTTCCAGTCTGGCTCCTTTAAGCAATTTTCTTGACCTTTTGGATTTCCTCTGACTTTGTTATCACAGTTTGTCTTATTTAAGGGTTTACATGGAAAAAGAATCTTGGTGTTTTTTCTTTAGTCCCCATATCTACAGATATAACAGGTTCGATTTCCTTAGATTTATTGCCATGTGTTCCCAAGCACAGGCATGTGTATATCTGCTCCTCAACTTTGACAATTTGGGGAAATATGATCCAACATCAGCCTTTAGAGCCTAAAACTCGAAGTATAATAATAATAAAATAAAAATAAAATAAAATAAAAATATTTTTATTACACTATAAAATGGACAAAAATTTACAATATTGGTATTTGTTGTAGAGTAAAATAAGAAAACTGATGGTTTCAGGATTTGATTTTTTTTAAAGTAGTAGGTGACCTGTACAGAAGTCCTATGTGAGCTCATCATACGAGACTTACAAAAGACATTAGGATGAAAAAATAAGTGTTTTATCCTTTATTGGCCACCAACTTTTACCTTCTAAAGAAGTTAGAGAAGCTGAGAATAGAACAGAAGAAGAGGATATGAGGGCCCACAGCACCCCAAGCCTAGGGAAAGTGGCTTTCAGTAAACAACATGGATAATAATAACATGCTTGTTTCCTGAAGTTTGGAAGGCAGAGGGGATGAGTATTAGATCCACAGGCAGAGACAGAGAAATCTACATGGAGAGAATACATCTTGCTAGTTAGGCTTATAACAAAGCAAGTCACTGAAGTGGGATTGTCCAGAGCTCTGAGTTTGTCAAAGAAAAAAAAAGTGAGAATGTCTGTCATGAATCAGTTGTGCTCTGTACAAAGGGCAGAAGATTCCATCCAAACAAGGCACTTGGTGGGCTGAAGGACCTAAGCACACAGAATGTGCCCTGCTGAATGTTTAGAAGCTACAGAAGGAGTAGTCCGTGGCCATACAGAAGGAAATATATTTGCCAGCATTAAGAGAACACTACATGTGTTCCCTGGTGGGGAAAGGTTTAAGAAGATCAACAAACATGCTCCTGTGTGAGAAAGAGTAACCAAACACCTGCTAAGCCCAGGGAGACTGAAACCAACTCACACCACCAATCAATTGGAACTTTCTGACACCGTTTGTTGCCTCCCATCACCATTTTCCCATCAGAACCATTAGATAAGCCCACCTTTAAAACAAGTTCAATTTTTAAATTTACACCAGAAATGGATTGTTTATTATATTTAGGCTTTTCCTTTGGGGGTTGTTGGATTTAAGTCATCAGGCTTGTTGGTAGATATGTATCTACTTGTAACTTTATTTTTTACCATAATCATGTACCATTTTGTTTTCAAATATAGCTTTTAAAATATTGTAAACATTGCCTGGAAAAAATGTGTAGCACTGCTTTACTATGTATGAGTTGGTTAGTCACACCATTCAAACACCCCTATGTCTTGTCTCTCAGTCAAATATTAAAAAAACAGTACACACACAGTTACTACTGGTGAAATATGTACATATGTTGAACACAATCTAATCATATTTATTAGAATCAGGCTAAATGTAATAGTTTTTAATTTTTTGAATTAAATTTGTCAATTATTAAGTATTATCATTTAAATTATCTTATTTGATAGTAGCAACAGCCCTGTGGAAAACTGTATCCCTTTCTAGGCTTATAATTTGTTTGTTTCTATTCAGGGACCTAAAACTCAGAGATATTAGGGACTGTACAATGTTTGCTATTGTACTGTGTCCTTTTGATACCCAATGCAGATTTCTATCTTCAAAAATTTTGCAATATTGCATTAACTGTATTAATGTGAAGTAAAACAATACTAAGGAAATGTATTGATTTTATTGTCATATTAAAAATTAAGTGGTTATTATTATACATACCCACTCAGTTTTTGTGCATGTGTATACATATAGAGTATATTTATAGCAAAGACAATTCTTTAGGTTTTTAAAAATTGGTTTTGCTTTTTTCGTGTTGTCTTAACTTTGTATCATCATTTCAGTGCTCTTTTCATAAGATAACATCAGCTCTCCACAGAGGAATCCTAATGTAAGTTGTTCGTACAACAAAAATTTTATTTGGAGCAATCTGAAACTTGCATAGCAAAAGTGTGAATTCAGAAATAAGAAAATAGTTATCTTAAAGCTTGTATAAATTTGATATATTAAAGGGATCCTCATTCAGAAATTACTGATTCTTTGTTACTACAAATTATAATAACTGGTTTCCAGATTTTCTAAGCCATATTACATTTAAAGCACAAAATATAAATACTATTTGATAATTGTTTTATTAACTGAGTACTTATTGCTTAGTTGATACAGTTGAAGCCCTGTAGTAAGCTTCAAGTCTACAAAAACTTAGAACAGATGGCCCATGTCTTCAAATATCTTATATGTTTATAATTTCACATACACAAAATCTGTCAATCAGCATGCAGTTCCTCCATTCTGAACACATAAAAACCACAGACTCAGCCAGACTCACTCACTCGATGGAATGACCTGCCTGCGGATAGGAGCTATACATTTCAGATCTTCTGAGAGCTGTTCTGTCACTCAACAAATGTCCTCTCCACTTTGCTCACCCTCAAATTGTCTGCATACTTCATTCTTCCTTGATGTGAGACAGGAACTTGGGACTCTGAATGGCAGGACTGAGAGAGTTGTGACAAAAACAGGCTGACACATATCCCCCACCACTTGCTACATTGCAGGTGACCAGAAGCAGAGAAGATCTACAGCCCTCCTGGGAGCCCAAACCTAGGGGTTCCCTGAGCCAGGGTTGTGACATGCTGTAACTATCTCTTTGGGGCTCTGTGGTTGTGGGTGTCTCTGAGCTTTTGGACACCACTATGTTCCACTCATCCAGATGTGGGTGCCTGCAGTGGAAGCCACTTGTGGTACAGCTGGTCCGACTGCAGCCTTGCACAGAGCCAGCACCTGTGCCAGTGCCTAGAGCTGCCCACCCCACAGCAGCAGCCAGCATGATAGACTGCGCACAGTGTCCAGACCCCATGCTGGCATGCTTAAACATGCCTCACCACTCTGTGCCTGGCTTGCCGTTGGCAGGTGTGGAATCCATGTCAGTAGTATGGGCTGAGCACAGCCTGCCAGGTCAAGTGGGAAGAACAAACCCACCAGCCCAAGTAAAGTCTTCCCCAGCTACAGAGGTTTCCAGCTGGTGAAGTAGCAGAGAACAAATGCTGTGTCACTTCTATTACATTAGTCAAAGCCAGTCATGTGGAGAAACCTAGATTCAAGGAGTGAAGACTCCACCTCCTGAAGAAAGAAGATGCAACATCAATTGCAAAAGGGCAGGCATACTGGCATAGGAAGAATTTGTGGTCACTTTTATAATTTGCCTCAACAGACTGTAGATGGAATAGAGTATTCCTTGGTCAGTTGGACTAGGTGACATGGAATGTCTTCTGCACCCTCCTGATTTGTCTTTTCACTGAGTGTTCTGTTCTTTAATGGCAGAATCTTTCTCTTACTTTACTGTATCCTCATATTACTTAGTGCAGGGCTAGTCTTACCTCTTCTACACACACAGTGATTGCTGACTTACCATAAATATTTCCCACAGTTTCAATTGAGCTATTTCTAAGAGAATGTGGTCAGAAAGATTTATAAAAGTTTACAGAAGTCCATAATAAAAAGTTTGATAATTTTTATATGAATCTCTGTTAGACTATTAGAATATAATAAAGGTAGAATATTATAGACCATCAATAAACTAGAACTTATGTGTAAACTATTCACATTTAGACCTTATATGATGAAGGGACGCAGCAGAATGAAAGGGAGAAGTAGCTTCCTTCAAAAAAGAAAACAAAATATTTAAAAATACAAAATTCTTTAGAGTTGATCAGAATTGAGAGATAAAGCTCTAATTCTCAGTAATAAGAGTTTCTTTCTTTTTGTTGACAGAGGATAAAGAGATGAGTGTACTTAGATGGAACTCATATTGTCTGGGGACTTTCTGCAAAAGCCAGATGTGGCATGGAACCTCTCTGAATTACCACTTATGCAATATTACAACATATTGTCAGGGAATGCTGTGCTACAAAATTAAAACAGTTTAAAAAATTCAGTAAGGAAAGATGCCAAGCATGCTTATGCTGAAGCCAAGGGTCACAAGGAAAAAAGATCAAAACATAATGGCAGGTCAATCACTTATTTTTTTATTTAATCATTTGTTTATTGTTAATTCATATATTCCCTAATTCATCCAACCAATATTTATTGATAATCCACAATATATGAGATATTAGAGATAAGGAGATCATAAAAGAACAAATAGCAAAAGCAAATAGACAATCATTCAACAAAACTACCGCTGACCTATGCTTTCAAGGAGGCAAACAAGAAAACAGATAAAAAATGTATCCATAGCAAAGACACATACTTAATTATATATTTTTGGACACGGATAATGCATGTAAGCTGTAGAACAATACCTTTGTTTGTTGATTTGAAATGCATTTTTCTACTACAAGAGATGTCACTTTTTCTACATAATTTTTTTTAATTAATTTTTTTCAAATGCTTAGTTATATGTTTTTAATACATCTCAAAGGAAAACAGAAATACCACAAGAAAAAAGCATTATGAACAGTGATCCTCAAGAATTTATAATCATTAGACATAACTCTAATGGGCAAAATTTTTACCCACATGGAAGTAACTTTAAGCAAGTCATTTGTTCTTGTTATGAAAAATCTGTTCTGGGTGATCTGAAAGAATCTTGGGTTTTGTGGTTAGGCTGCCTATTTAGAATTTAAATAAATGTTTTCACTCAACCGTATTGAATTTTAAGATAACAGACAGAGAGCCAAATCATGAGTGAACTTCATTCACAATTGCTACCAAGAGAACAAAATACCTAGGAATACAACTTACGAGGGATGTGAAGGACCTCTTCAAGAAGAACTGCAAACCATTGCTCAAGGAAGTAAGAGAGAACACAAATAAATGGAAAAACATCCCATGCTTACGGATAGGAGGAATCAATATGAAAATGGCCATACTGCCGAAACAAATTTGTAGATTCAATGCTATCCCCATTAAGCTACCATTGAATTTCCTCACAGAATTGAAAAAAAAAAAAAAAAAAAAACTACTTTAAACTTCATTTGGAACCAAACAAGAGCCCACATAGCCAAGACAATCCTAAGCAAAAATAACAAAGCTGGAGACATCAAACTACCTGACTTCAAACTATACTACAAGGCTACAGTAACCAAAACAACATGGTACTGCTACCAAAACAGATATGTAGACAAATGGAACAGAACAGAGGTCTCAGAAATAACACCATACATCTATAACCATGTGATCTTTGACAAACCTAACAAAAACAAGCAATGGGGAAAGGATTCCCTATTTGATAACTGGTGTTAGGAAAACTGGCTAGCCATATGCAGAAAACTAAAACTGAACCCCTTCCTTACATCTTATACAAAAATTAAGTCAACATGGATTAAAGACTTACATGTAAGACCTCAAACGACAAAAATCCTAGAGGAAAACCTAGGCAATACCATTCAGGACATAGGCATGGGCAAAGACTTCACGTCTAAAACACCAAAAGCAATGGCAAAAAAAAGCCAAAATTGGCAAATAGGATCTAATTAAACTAACGCGCTTCTGCACAGCAAAAGAAACTGTCATCAGAGTGAACAGGCAACCTACAGAATGGGAGAACATTTTTGCAATCTATCCATCTGACAAAGGGCTAATATCCAGAATCTACAAAGAACTTAAACAAATTTACAAGAAAAAAAATAAACAACCCCATAAAAAGTGGGCAAAGGATATGAACAGACACTTCTCAAAAGAAGACATTTATGCAGCCAATAAACATGAAAAAAAGCCCATCATCACTGGTCATTATAGAAATGCAAATCAAAACCACAATGAGATACCATCTCATGCCAGTTAGAATGGCGATCATTAAAATGTCAGGAAACAACTGATGCTGGAGAGGATGTGGAGAAATAGGAACGCTTTTACACTGTTGGTGAGAGTGTTAATTAGTTCAACCATTGTGGAAGACAGTGTGGCGATTCCTCACGGATCTAGAACTAGAAATACCATTTGACCCAGCAATCCCATTACTGGGTATATACCCAAAGGATTATAAATCATTCTACTATAAAGACACATGCACACGTATGTTTATTGCAGCACTGTTCACAATAGCAAAGACTTGGAATGAACCCCAATGCCCATCAATGTTAGAATGGATAAAGAAAATGTGGCACATATACACCATGGAATACTATGCAGCTGTAAAAAAAGATGAGTTCATGTCCTTTGCAGGGACATGGATGAAGCTGGAAACCATCATTCTCAGCAAACTAACATAAGAACAGAAAACCAAAACCATATGTTCTCACTCATAAGTGGGAGTTTAACAATGAGAACACATGGACACAGGGAGGGGAACATCACACACCGGGGCCTGTCAGGGACTGGGGGGCTAGGGAAGGGATAGCATTAGGAGAAATACCTAATGTAGATGATGAGTTGATGGGTGCAGCAAACCACCATGGCACGTGTATATGTATGTAACAAAACTGCACGTTCTGCACATGTACCCTATAACTTAAAGTATAGTAAAAAATAAAATAACAAAATAAAATATACACACAAAAGAAGCAATTTAGGTAAACTTTTCAATGTTGTTTATACATTGTGTAACTATTACAAATTTAAGATTAAGATAATTAAGAGGATATTAAGAAGGTAATTTCCATCACTCTGTACATACTCTTTGTGTGACTTCACAGTCTCTAGAAATTACATTTGCCTTTTCTAGAGTTTCATATAAATGGGTTCACAAAATATACACTCTGGTCTATGGCTCCTTCACTCAGCATGTTTCAGAAATTCATCCATGTTGTTGTTATCATTCACTACCTCCATTATTCAGCACATTCAGTTGCTTATAGTTTTGGGATATTAATCCTCCTATGGACTTTTATGTATTATTCTTTGTTTAGACATATGTTTTCACTTCTCTTGCATAAATATTTTAATAGATTTTCTCTGTGTGTGTAGTGGTATCTCATTGTGACTGTAAGTTGTATTTCTGTGATGACTAATGACAAGGAATTTTTTAATAAATTGTATAAAAAATTGTTGTATTTCTGTGATGTATAAGTTGTATTTCTGTGATGACTAATGACAAGGAATTTTTTTAATATGCTTATTTGCTGTATCTTTTGTAAAGTGTCTTTTCAAATATTTTTTCACAGTTTTAAATGGGATTGATTGTCCCATAATTGAGTTGTAATTTTTTAAATTAAAATCTTTTATTATATGCACATATGCACACACACTTATGTAGCAAATATCAAAATATGCAAACTATTGCAACTACTTTTTCCAGATTGTGGTTTTTCTTTTTATATTTTTTTGGTGTTATACAAAGAGAAAATGTTCTTAATTCTAATACAGTCCTATTCATCAATCTATTTATTTTATGATTTGCACATTTTATGTCCTGAGCATATATGACTACCTCCAAGATCATAAACATCATTTCCTATATATTCTTCTAGAAGTTTTATAGTTTTAGATTTAGGTATGAGTATATTATCCATGTTGAATTGATATGTATGGCATTATTTAAGGATTGAGTTTTATTTTCAGGTGGATATTCAGTTGTTCCAGTAACATTTGATAGAAAGGCTTATGATTTCCAATTGAGTAACTTTGGCATCTTTTTGGAAAATCAATTGCACATACATATATACATCTATTCCGGGAATCTTTTTCTGTGCCCTTGTCAATGCTTGTTTCAATAAACACTTTTTTGCTTGGTGTAGTTTTATAATAAGTCTTAAAGTTAAGTAGTGTGACTCTTATTTTGTTTTTCTTATTTAAAATCACTTTGACTAACCAGTCTTGGTGGCATACACATGTAGTCCCAGCTGCTCAAGAGTCTGAGGCAAGGGAATCCCTTGAGCCCAGGAGTCTGAGGTGGCAGTGCACTATGATTCCACCTGTGAATAGCCAGTGCACCCCAGACAGGGCAATATAATGTGGGACTGTCTCTTAGAAACAAATGATTTGACTATTACAAGTCCTTTGCATTTCTACATTTATTTTATAATAGCTTGTCAATGTCTCAAAATAGACTGCTGAAGTATTTTCTGAGTTTGTATGAATTGATAGGTCAAACTGAGGAAGTGTGCCATTTTAGAAATATTGAGTTTTCTAAGCTTGGTACATGATATTTCTCTTAATTTACTTATATCTTAATTTCTCTCAGCAATGTTTTCAAGTTTTATTATAAAGGTTTTACACAAGTAGTGTTAATTTATCTATATGCATTTAATTTTTAATTGTATGTTTCATTAATGTTTTAATTTGAATTTCCATTTTTAAAAATTATTGAAAATAGACATACAATTGATATTTTGTGACCTGGTATCCTAAAACCCTACTAAATGCAGTTTTGAATTCTATTAGAATTGTTTTGTAGATTTCTTAGTGTTTTTTTTCTTTCTTTCTTTCTTTTTCTTTTGTTTTTGATGGAGTTTCGCTCTTGTTCCCCAGGCTGGAGTGGTGCAGGGGCATGGTCTTGGCTCACTGCACTCACTGCAACCTCCACCTCCCAAGTTCAAGCAATTCTCCTGCCTCAGCCTCCTGAGTAGCTGGGAGTACAGATACGCCACCACACCTGGCTAATTTTTGTATTTTTAGTAGAGACAGGGCTTTGTCTGCAAATAATGTCAGTTTTGTTTCTTTCTTTACAACTTGTTTGATGTTGATTCATTTCTCTTATTTTATTATGCTGATTAGGATCTCAAATATGGCATTTGATAGAAAAGGTAAAAATGAGCATCCTTTCCTTTTTTCTGACCTTAGAAAGTATTTGGACTTTCACAATAAATACAATATTAACTGTAGTTTTTTGTTTATTTGTGTTTTTGCTTTTATTTTTTGTTTTTTGAGACAGAGTCTTGCTCTGTCTCCCAGGCTGGAGTGCGGTGGTGTGATCTTGGCTCACAGCAACCTCCTCTTCCTAGGTTCAAGCGATTCTCCTGCCTCAGCCTCCTGAGCAGCTGGGACTACAGGTGCCCGCCATCATGCCCAGCTAATTTTTGTATTTTTAGTAGAGACGGGATTTCGCCATGTTGGCCAGGCTAGTCTTGAACTCCTGACCTCAGGTGATCCTCCCGCCTCGGCATCCCAAAGTGCTGGGATTAAATGCGTGAGCCACCACGCCCAGCCTATTTGTGTGTTTTTGTTTTGTTTTTGTAGTTGCCTTTTACCAGGTTAAGGCAGCTCCCTTTCATCCTTTCTTTCCTGTTTTCTCAGAGGTTTGTTTGCTTTTTTATGAATGGGCGTCGAATTTTGTCAATTTTTTTTTTTGCATCTTTTGGGATCCTACAGTCTTTTATTAGTCTGTTATAAGTGATATTTCATTGATTGTTTTTTCAATGTTGACTCGGCCTTGCATTCCTGAAGTATATACCATTCGGTCATGGTGAATCTTTTTACATAATGCTGGATTCAGTCTGCTTATATTTTAGGGATCGTTGCCTCTATGTTCACAGTATGTGTTTCTGTAGTTTTCTTGTGATGTCTTTGTTGGGTTTTAATATCGGGTTTTAGCTTTGTGAAAAGTTGGGAATTATTCCTCTTGCTCTATTTTCTGAAGGTTTAGTAGATTCAGTATTCAAAAAATATTTGATTGAATTCATCTGTGAAACAATCTAGGCTTAATATTCATTGGTTGGTTTTGTTCTTCTGTCTATGTCAGGGGACATGGTTAATTACTATTTCAATTTTAAAAATATATGCAGAGTTGTTAAGATTTTAATTTTTCTTTCTTTTATTTTGAGACAGGGTCTCACTCTGTGGCCCAGGCTGGAGTGCATTGGTGTAATCTTGGCTCACTGTAACCTCAAATTCCTGGGCTCAAGCGATCTTCCCACCTCAGCCTCCGGAGTAGTGGGGACTGCAGGCGCACACCACCGTGCCAGGGTAATTTTTGTATATTTTGTAGAGACGGGGTTTTGCCATGTTGCCCAGCCTAGTCTCGAATTCCTGGGCTCAAGCAACCCATCTGCCTCAGCCTCCCAAAGTGCTGGAGTACAGGAGTGAGCTACTCCACCTGGTCAATTTTTCTTAATTCAGTTTTGTTAAACCATGCTCTTCACTGAATTTGCCTACTCTAAGTTGTCAGATGTATTGAGATAAATATTTTCATAAAATCCTCTTATTGTGATATCAGTGTGTAAAATCTCAGTGAGGTTTTTTCATTCCTAATGTTGCTACATTTTATCTTCTGCCTTTTCATTTTGTTTCAATTCATTGAAGTTTTATTGTTATTCTTGCTTTTGTGTGCCGTTTTTAGTTTCTATTGCTTACGTTTTCTAGTTCATTGATTCCTGTTAACACACACACACACACAAACATACACACACACACACACACACACACACAATGCACACAGAGTTGATCTTGAACAACATGGGTTTGAACTGCATGAGTTCACTTACATACCAATATTGTTCAGCCTCTGCCACTCCTGAGACAGCAAGACCAACCCTTCCTCTTACTCCTCCTCCTTAGCCTACTCAATGTGTAGATGAGAATGAAGAACTTCATGATGGTCCATGCTTCAATTTAATTAATATGTTGTCTTATGATTTTCTTTATAATACTTTCTTTTCTCTGGTTTACTTTATTATAAGAATACAATATATAATGCATATAATGTACAAATAATGTGTAATCAGCTGTTGATGTTATTGGTAAGGTTTCTGGTAAACAGTAGATTATTAGTAGTTAAATTTCTGGGGAGTCAAAAGTTACACACAGATTTTCACTTGAGGGAGGGAGCCTGGCTCCTCTAATACCTGAATTGTTCAAAGGTCAAATCTGTGTGTGTGTGTGTGTGTGTGTGTGTGTGTGTGTGTGTGTGTGTGTGTATTTATAATTTTATTTTTTAAACTTTTTTAAATTTGCTTTTCTGTTTCTAATTTGTTAAAATGGAAGTTTAAATCATTTAATTTAGAATTTTATTTTTTTCTAATGTAACTTTTTGAAGTTACAATTTCCCACTAAGCACTAATTTAACAGTTAAATTATGTTATGCTATGTTATGTTTTCATTATCATTCAGTCAAAATATTTTCTAATTTCCCTCATGATTTTTTCCTTTGGTCCATGGTTTATTTAGTAGTGAACTGTATAATTTCCAAAGATCTTTGGCTTTTCCATGTGCCTTATTGTTGTTGCTTTCTGATTCAATTCTTACATAATTAGAGAACATATTCTATGTTATTTTAATCTTTTTAAATTTATGGAGAATGGTATTTTTCTATTTCTCCTTTTAGGTATGCTAATTTTAGCTACATGCAATTAAAAACTCTTTTATAGCATATTCAGAACCTAGAATTGTGTATCCATCTAGTCTATATCTCCTTTTGTCAGTAAGAAATTTCCCACTCTGTGGCTAGTAATAATTCTTTTTCTAAAGTCTACTTTGTGTTATACTAGTATAGGCATTTCAGCTATACTATTGGTTAGTGTTTGCACCATCTTGTTCTATTTGTTTACCTTTAGATTATGTGTAATTTTATATTCAAACCACCTTTTATGTAGTCAGCTGGTTGGGTCTTGCTTTTTTATTTAGTTTGTTAATATATGTCTTCTAACTAGAATGCTTAGATGATTTTATTTAGTGCAATTATTGATATGATTTGATTTATAACTAACATCAGATTATTTGCTTTCTCTTCATCCCATCTGTTCTTTGTTTCTTTTATTTTCTTGACCAAAGGATTAATTTAATATCTTTAAGATTGTATTTGATCTCTACCATTAACTTATTACTTGTAGCTTTCTTTTCTTCTGGTTGCTCTGATTTTAAAGAAATCCACCTTTAACTTTTAACATTTGCCTTCGAATGACATTATACTACTTTCCCTATAATGGACTTTCAAATCCTCCTCTGATTTTTAGACTATTGACTTTTCAATACGTTATAAGCTGCATAATACATTGTTATTATAATTGCTTCTAAAACTGAGTGATCTTTTAAAATAATTTTAATATGAGAAACGTATTATATACTTACCAGCGCATTTATTGTATCCCACACTGTAATTCTTTTGTATAGACCCAGGTTTCCAACTGATAACACATTCCCTTTTATTTAAAGAACTTCATTTGATGTATTTTTTTGTGGCTTAGATTTGTTGTCAATGGCCTCTTGCCTTTTGTTTGTCTGATTCACCCTCATTTTTACAAGAGATGTTGACAAGCTATAGAATTATAGTTTAATTTTATTATTTCAGCACTTTAAAAATATCATTCCATGTCTTCTTATTTAATAGTTTTCAGTCATTCTTATTTTTATTTCTCTGTACAGAAACAAAGCCGTTTTTAAGATTTTTGTCTTTATTATTGGTTTTCACCAATTTGAATGTAAATGCGCTTTGGTGTGGTTTTCTTTATGTTTCATCTTAGACTTCATCAAACTTCTTGGATCTATAGTTTCACAGTTTTCACCAAATATTTCAGCCATTGTTTCTTTAAGTATTTCTCTGCTCCTTCTTCCTTTCTGAAACTCAATTACACATTCCGAATGGCTTCACATATTCTTATATCCTACTTCCACAAATTATGTTTACTTTTGTTGTTGTGTGGTCTTTTTTTTCCTAGCATTTCATTGTCAATAATTATTATTGCCCCATCTTCAACTTTGCTGAACTTTTCTTTTGAACTATTTAATCTGCTGTTAATACAACTTTTTAATTTTTAATTTTTGAAATTTCAGATATTGTATTTTTATTTCAATAAAATAAAATGAGTGGGTAGCTCCTATCTGCAGGCAAGTCGTCTCGTTGAGTGAGTGACTCTGGCTGAGGCTGGGGTCTTATGTGCTCAGAGTGGAAGTGCATACTGATTAGTCCATGGGTGGCCAACAGTGGGCCTGGAAAAACCACCATTCAATTGGCCGAAATGTCATCAATGAAGTTCTCACTCTGGGCGTGGACTTCACTGGAACTGGCGGCCTGGCCCCCAGGCTTCAGGAGGTTGCTGGCTTAAAGGAGGAGTTTCACCAGGGTCCCACCCCTTTCCATCAAGGAGCCTGTCTGCTTCCCGCAGCGGCCATCAGTATGCTGTCCACAGCGCCCCGCCCCTGCTGATGGGCGCCTGCAGGCCTGCCCTGCCTCTCTCCAATGCTTGTCAGTGCCGGGGCCAAGGCAGCAGGGGGCTGGTGTGTCAGTGCCGCCTCAAGCACACGCACACCCAGCTGGGTGACAGCAGCACTCGCGCTCAGCCACAGCTTTGCTTCCTAATGGAGCTGGTGCTGTGAGCAGAGAGAGACCAGGGAGCAGGAGCCAGCACTTCTGAACCTATGGGGGCAGGGGACTTCCTGGGTCCCCGAGAGCACAGGGATGCCCGGGTCCAGAGCTGTAGCTGGGTGAGTGCAGCTGTGCCCAGGCTGCCTCCAGCCCTACCAACTCAATAGGGGGCAAGGCTTCTGCTGGGATTACTTGTTCTTGGCCCCCAACCAGCTCCGTGGTGGCGCCTCCCCCACAGCAGCCGGCATCTTTGCAGCGGCTGCTCCAGACGGGCTGAAGCTGTCACCAGAAGGAAATATAATAAAAGCAGAGACTTGAAAAGAATATATGCATTATTATATGCCCTCTCTTAATGATCTTGAGACTTTAGGAACAGGAGAAAAAGATCAGGCTACTCTGTCCGACAGTGAGAGAAATGTCAACCAGTCATCCCTGTCATCCTGATCGACAGCTTAATGGCTGCCTGATAAGTACATGAGGCCATCATATATCATACAGCCACAACCTGACCTGCCAGTTGACCACAGATATATGAGGAACATTAGTAGATATCTGTCAAGATAGCCTAGACCCAAGGGACAATCTGGCCAAGGGCTGAATCACAAGCTAAATAAATGCTTAATTTTATTTTTTAATTTTATTTTTGAGATGGAATCTCGCTCTGTCACCCACGCTGGAGTGCAATGGCACGATCTCGGCTCACTGCAACCTCTGCCTCCCAGGTTCAAGCAATTCTCCTGCCTCAGCCTCCTGAGTAGCTGGGATTACAGGCGTGCGCCACTACGCCCAACTAATTTTTGTATTTTTAGAAGAAACGAGGTTTCACCATGTTGGTCGGGATGGTCTCAGTCTTCTGACCTCGTGATCCACCTGCCTCGACCTCCCAAAGTGCTGGGATTACAGGTGTGAGCCACCATGCCTGGCCAATAAATGCTTACTTTTAAAGCCACTAATTTAGCGGCAAAAGCTATTTGATATAAATAGAAAAGAGTCAAAAATCTCGATTGTCTATGCATTTCCAGTTAAATATTTAAGAAACATTTATAGAGCCTAAATTCTTATAAGCTCACCTCAATTTAATAAATATGTATCAAGTGCTTATTTTTACCTAGAAAATAAAGTCATAAAGGCAGATAAGTACCAAGCATTCTATTTACATTAATATAACATGAACAATCCATCATTTTATGAACTATGTTTCCAAATATATTCTAATATGATTTTCAAAGTCACTATCCGTGTTAAAGATCTGCATGAGACCCCAGTGAAAATGTTTAAGTAGCTCATGGCTTTGGAAGAGAGGAGGTAGAACACATGATGTATTGAAGATATTCTTCCAGTAGGACAGAATTTCCATTTCATGTTTGCATTGTTTAAACATAGTGTGCACTAAATACAGAGTGCATTATTACTATTGTTTTCCCCTCATTAATAAGCAAAATTATCTTGTAAGAAATTGGAAAAGCTGTAAAGAATGCAAGTGTGCCAGATTGTGCTCAGTGAAGCCCCACCATCACCTCTTTCTGGGTTCTTCTTGGTATCACAGGAGAGAAGCCAGGAATGTTAATTCTCAAAATCCCTTGTACTTTAGATTCAGCTAATGAGTCGCTAGAATGCTATTTAGAAACAAGTGAGAAAGAAACGCTCTTCCCCCACAGAAGCTGCAGGCCGCTTGTAATAGTCACGTTGGATTCCTTGACTTACTGGAGTCCTCTCTGTTGGCAAGCAACAGAAATCATACCTATTGCTTGTAGGAAACTAAAAACATAGACGGTGGCTTCTCTTGGCTTCCAGGGACCTCCTGAAGAACATCCACTTTAGTCCTGGGAGCAGATGGTATCACCAACTACCTCTGATCCCTGTACTTCTACATTTCTTAAAGGCAGATTCCTAACCTTTACATCCCCAGCCCTCCAAATGACTGTATGAATTTCTAGTTCCATATATTAAATCTCTATCCAATAAAATTACCTATTATGCTTTTATTCCTGAAATACTTCAACTGATAATTTTTGTAACTGCAAATGATTCCAGGAAAATAGAGCCCCTCCACAATGACTGTGGGACTAGATTCTCAAATTCAGTTTGAAATGAAGGCAGAAATGACCACAACACCCGCAGAGAATGGGGCATATAACTACTTATAATATCACGGAATATAGTTACTTATAATTTCCCCTGTATTTACTTAGAAAGGAGAATCTATTGAAGGCAAGGTATAGAAAGAGCACATGTTGTTAAAACAGAATGTTATAAAGTATATATTAAGTGAGCTGCTTCTTACTGCTCTGAAGAGCTTGGAGAAGAAAGAAATGACATGGAGTTCTGTAACTTCTTGACCACATGTAGATCTACCGAGTCTCATGACTAATGTTAGAACTTGCAGGTAAGAAATATGAAAATTTTGGGAACATGAGAATTCAGAAGTTTAAGTAAGTGATAAAAATTACAACTTTTTTAAAAAACAGAGGATTGACCAGTCTTGCCTGAAATAGAGACAGCAAATTCTGATTCATGTTTTGCCTCTGTTACTAATTGTTGCTGTATGCCCTTGAACAAATTACTCAATCATCCTGTGCCTATTCAAAGGAAGTACAGAGATGAAGCTGGAGAAGTCCTCCTTTGAGCTCATAACAGAGAGCTTAAAATGAGTGAAAGCTTCACTCTAGTCTGGGTCACAGTGAGACCCATGTCTCAATCAATAAATACATAAATTAATTAATTAAATGGAATGAAAAAAGTAGCCTCTGTCATGTGTTTGAACTTAAGTGATACTATAAAGGTTTTCCACAGAAGGTCAGTTCTGTTTCTCATACACTCATAATTGGTTGTCTGCCCCTTTGTTCTAACTTGCCAAACCTGACAGATTAATCCTCTAGAAAGGCAGAACCTTTAAACCATTCCTCTCCTCAATACATGTCATGCTTTCCTGCTGCATACTAAATTAACCTAAACTCATCATCTTGGCATTCAAGGCTTCTAAGATGGGAATTATTGAATTAAAGTGCTATTATCTAACCCAGTTTTTTTTTTACATTGGAAAACAGCTGTTTTATTAATTGGTTCATTCAGTAATTCATTCAATCATTCAACAAACCTTTATTGAATGCTTTCAGTGTGCTAGTCACTGTGTGAAATACTAGAGAACAATGTAAATAAAGCACAGTTCCTACTCTCAAAGAGTTTATATGTTAGTAGAGAAGATATAAATATTGACAAAGTAGTATCACATGGTGTGATAGATGCTAGGATGTAGGCTTCTGCAGACAGGTATGAAAACCAAATGGAAAGCTAAGCAAACTAAAAAGACATGCAAAATGAAATTTTCATAAGGTCCGTAAGTTTTAGGTAAAGGAAAAGGGGACTAAAGATTTTTTAGTAACTAGGATATGACATATGTAAAACACAAAGACCAGAAGATCCTGGAATGTTTGCAATCTACCTCCATATGGCTAGAATTCAAAATGCTAAAAGGGACATAGTAAGATAAACTCATTAGGACATAAAACATAAAGATTGTAGCATATCATGTTAAGGTGTTGGAACATTATTGTGAAGATAATAAACAACCATCCAAGGGCTGTAAGAAGGGGAGAGAATCATGAAGACAGTAATTTCAAAATACTTGATAGCAATATGAGTAAACACAATTAGAAATGACAAACATTGCAATTGATCCCACAAAATTACAAAACATCCTCAGAGACTATTATGAGCACCTCCATGCACACAAACTAGAAAATCTAGAAGAAATGGATAAACTCCTGGAAACAAACAATGTCCCAAGATTGACTCAGGAAGAAATTGAAACCCTGAACAGATGAATAATGAGTTCCAAAATTGAATCAGTAATAAAAATAAACCTACCAATTAAAAAAAAAATCCCTGGACCAAATGGATTCACAGCCAAATTCTACCAGATATACAAAGAAGAGATGGTACCAATCCTACTGAAATTATTCCTAAAAAATCAAGGAGGAGGGATTCCTCCCTACTCCTTTTATGAAACCAATATTATCCCGATACCAAAATCTGGCAAAGATACAACAAAAAAAGAAAACCACAGGCCAATATTCCTGATGAACATAGACACAAAAGTCCTCAACAGGATACTAGCAAACTGAATCCAGCAGCATATCATAAAGTCAATTCACCATGATCAAGTAGACTTTATTCCTGGGAGGCAAATTTGTTTCAACATACACAAATCAATAAATGTGATTCACCATGTAAACAGAATTACGAACAAAAACCATATGATAATTTCAATAGAGGCAGAAAAATCTTCAGATAAAATTCAGCATCTCTTCATGTTAAAAACTCTTAACAAACTAAGAACCAAAGGAACATACCTCAAGAAAAAGAGACATCTATGACAAACCCACAGCCAACATCATACTGAATGGGCAAAAGCTGGAAGCATTCCCCCTAAGAACTAGAACAAGACAAAGTGCCCACTCTCACCACTCAACACGGTACCAGATGTGATAGCCAGAGCAAGTAGGCAAGAAAAGGAATTAGAAGGCATCCAGACAGGAAAAGGGAAAATCAAATTGTTCACTGATGATATGATTCTATACCTAGACAACCCTAAAGACTGCCAAAAGGCTCCCAGACCTGATAAATAACTTTAGTAAAGTTCAGAACACAAAATTAACATTCAAAGTATTTGATAGCAATATGGAAGGTAAGTGGGGGAGAGGGATAATGAAGACAGTAGGAGAAATTGGGACGTTTTACAACCTAGAAAATAAATGAAAAGCCTTGAATGAAGAAAATGAGAGTGAAGATGGAATGAAGAGGTCAAATTCCGTGACACTTCCCTGTACACATGGTTTTCAGTAGTCACTGGGCTACACTGCTGATGACATGGAATATCAAGGTAGATTTTCATTTCACTCTAATGCTAGATAAGACAAGCACTTCTTTTTTGGATCTCCAGAACTTTCACTGGAGAAGGCCCTGTGCCTTAAAATATATCATTCTGTTCCTCATTCCTGCCAAGGTATAATAAGTAATAAAGGAGGACCTGTACAATTTAGAGGCCTCAGCTTAGAGTGTTCAGGCTCCCAGATTGTAAACCTTAAATCATCTGATTTTTCCTTCTGCTTGCTAAATTGTGTATGAACATGTTGTGGGTGCAGGATTTCAGAACACTAATCTCTATCCCCACTCCAATTGTGAAAATAGCAGCTTGAGGAAAGGGATGAGGGGGAGTCAAGTAGCAGAAATTCCTCAGTTAGAAAGAAGAAAGTATTTGAAGGAATAAAAAACTTTACATTGTTTAATTCCATAAAAGGAATAAAAGAATCACTTGCAATTTTTTAAAATAAAACGTTATGTATTAAGCACCAAGCAAAGTCACTAATTACCATGTCACATAATATATTAACTTTAGAAATGGTCAATTAAAAAAAGCATTACTGTTGAGAGGTGATATTGAAATAATACTGCCATTTATTTATTCTTCTAAAGGAAATTGGGAATCTTAAGCAAACTTATACTCTTATTTTTATACACATACTATTATATTTAGTACTTAATCTGTGCAAATCCCAGAATGAGTTTTAAGCCTGGAATTTGAAAGCTTCATGGCCAAGAGCAAGGAACTGAAGAATGGGCTCTTGGGTCCTCAACTGAAACGTGGATATTTGAAGTAGGTAATGAACTCCAAGAGCCAACTTGCGGCCTACCCAGGTCTCATGTGTAATTTCACTGTCGTAAAAAGATGTCCTTCCTCCATATTTTCTTGAAACTGAAGGTGCTGTATGTCCAACTGCATTATAACCAAAATAATGTCCAGAAGATCAAATGTCTGGCCAGAGCTTTCTGTGATTGAGGGCCAGACAGTTGGATAAGTCCCTGAGTGCTTTAGTAGACTAAGCTAGAATATTCATACACTTCTGGGATAAAGATAGGATTCTTATTTCCAGAGAGACCTATGAAGAAAGTATAGGTCTCTGAGAGGCCACCTCCCATATCTTGCCGAAACCCCAGAGTCTTTTTCCTCCCATTTACACCCCGAGAATCCTACTCAGACCTTTACATTTTGTCGATAATTGTGACGTTTTTCACCCTTTTTGCATTTTCCTTGTCTAAAAAAACGTTCAGAATCAGATATGAGTCTGTTAAATTCCCTGGGAAGCTATCAAGATTCTTCCCAGTCTCCCTTTCCACCTGTACTAACTATATGGTCATATACATTACAGAATATTACAGAATGACATTTATAACTATGTTCTGAATGAATGTATAAATAAATACATCAATTCATTAAAGCATTAATTTTAAAGGTTGGTGGAGAAGTACTAAAAAATGAAAATAAAGTAAAATAGAAAGATACTTATTTCACTCCAATAAGACCCCTCAGAGGTTTATGAGCTCATTTCCTCATAGCAGTCATGGGGTCTAGAGTATCTCAACCTCATGTTAAGTTACAAATGCAGCATGCAATATCTTTTCTTTTTATTATCTTTGGCTGGTCTCATTGGGGGAATGCCTCTTTTAGAAAATATTTTTTGAAATTTTTCTACAAAATGTCACTATTTGGACATCAAACAGCCACATTCCAAAGCTAGTTTGTCACCTCAGAGGTGCAGCTATTTACAGTAAAGAAACTTCTCAATGGGAAAAATGCTTTTGAGTTGTCTAGGTCTTTTTGAGTTAGTTTATAATTGATCTTACTAATGAAGTATTGTGAACTTTGTAGGTACAGAAGAGGGTACAGAGAGACTTTGTGTCTTTGTAACACTGTAAACCTACCTTTTCTGTAGCACTTCTCATTTCCTACTATGATTATACATTTTTCTTTCTATCACCATACACTGTGAGTATGTGAGAAACATCTGCATGTCTTACTCCTCTCTTCCCAGCTCTGTAACCGAGAGAGTCAATGCTCAGTAACTGTTGAAGGAATGAACAAACTTGCTTATTTAGAAGAATACACATTATGGGATATTGTGATAGCACCAAGTATAAAAAGCAACATGTTCTCAGAGAAATGCCCTTTTTCTGAAGATGATTTAATCTATGTCTGCTTTGAGGGGGAAGTAGTTAAGGGAGAGGATGGAGTTAGTTTTGATGGAAAGTGTATTAGTCCATTCTCACCATTGCTATAAAGAAACACCTGAGAAAGAGTAATCTATAAAAAACAAAAAAAGAGGTTTAATTGGCTCACGTTCCACCGGCTGTACAGGAAGCATGACAGCATCTGCTTTGGGGGAGGTCTCAGGGAGTTTTACTCACGGCAGAAGGCAAACAGGGAGAAGGCAGCTTATGTGGCAGGAGCAGGACCGAGGTTTAAAAGTGTTTACATACTTTTCAACAACGAGATCTCATGAGAACTCCATCATGAGATAGCACCGAGGGGATGGTGCTAACCATTCATGAAGGATCCACCCCCATGATCCAGTCACCTCCCGCCAAGCCCCACCTCCAACACCGGAGATTCCAATTCTCCATGAGATTTCAGTGGGGACACAGCTCCAAACCATTTGAGAAAGATTCTGTTTTCTGACTTCAAACAGGAAAGTGATGATTAAGATGGTGACTCTGAGGCAGACCATCCACCTTCAAACCCTGGCTCTGCTGCTGATGACTCTGGTCCTCCAGCAAGGTTTTTAGCTTTTCTGTGGATTAATTGTCTTATTTATAAAATGAGATACTAATAGTAACTGCCTCATAGTATTGCTATATCAGTTAAGGAGATAATATATGTAAAGCACTTAAAATAGTGTCTGGTACATAATTCAGTACTATATGAAGGTAGTTGTTACAGTGGTGGTGTTTGTGGTTATGGTCAGGGTGGTTTTTATTATTATTTCACAGGTTAAAACTTGTGACATCCAAGAATACATGAGTTGAAAGGGCCTCAAAATTTATCTCATCTGAAACCCATGTAATAGGTTTGTTTAGTCCTTAAGATCTGAAAAATGTTTTGCATCCTCAAATTCTGTGGGTCCTTCAGGCCCCAACATCCAGTTTATTTTTTATCTGGGAATAGTTGGTCAGAATCACTTCCAGAGACTGAACAGTGAATGCTTATTTCAGTGTCTGTCTTTCCTGGAAGGATCATGACACATCGGTCCATGTGCTTTCTCTGTGGCCATGCTCTAGGGCTGGTGTAGGATAATTTGAATAGAAAACTAACAACTTCCCTTTACACTCTGCCCCCGATCTTGAAGAAGATCCTGCAAGTTGGATCTTCTTCAAGATCGGGGGCAGAGTGTGATGAGAAGTTGTTATTATTACAGTAAGTAGCACAGTAAATTTTACCCATTCTATACTGAGCACCCTCTGCTACTTACTGTAATAACAGTTAACAGTGTTAACAATCATCAATAGCTTTCAAAGTTATACAAAACTTCACTACTTTCAAAGTGCATTTATATAATGATCATATTTTGTATTCAAAGCCTTTCTGCAAACCTATGATTGGATTCCTAGTTTTGCAGAAGAAGGAATGAAGCTCTGAAAGAGTAAAGATTGAAGACAAAATGGCAGAGCCATATCTACCTGCTCCCTATCCAGTGCTCTCTCACTATAGCATATTTATTTTTTGATAACCCGAGAAAGAAAAGGAACCCATTGCCTGAATATTTCTTGGGCATCTGGGATTTGGAAAGCACTAATGAAAGCCTGTGATATGCACAGTGTATGCTCCGACTAAAGATAGAATACAGCCTCATGTCCACAGCAGGGAAGATCCATTGCAAATCCTCTAACTGATCATTTGTGCACATTTTCTTCAAGGACAATTCGTTGCATATATGAAGGCCTCCTGCCAGGGTCAGAGGTGATCCAAAATTAACATATTTGATGAGTCTGATGCCCTGGTGGGGAATGCCAGACAGGAAGGAAAAAGACCAGGAAAATAGCAGGAATCGTTCTAAACACTTTACATATGGGAACTCCTTTATTTCTCAGAGCACCCCTGTATGGTACTATTGTAGTCTCATTTTACAGATGAGAAAACTGAAGCACAAAAGTTAAGCACTTGCTCAAGATAATATTCTATGTAATTGGCAGAGTCTTACAGAATCCTTTAACTGTGGCTATTTCTATAACAGAACTCTAAATAGAAGCACAGCTGGAATACGCTGTCTTTTGGGCTTCTGTGATTCAGACATGGCCATCACATGCCATGTGTCCAGCCTGTTTTCTTTGGTATTTTAATTTTTGTGGGTTTTTTTAAACATTATGGGTAGCCTACTGATGGAGGTATCAAAAAAAAAAAAAGAAACTTCCCAGAGCATTTCATTATCATATTCAATCGGTATTATAATTAAGTAATTAAATGTTAACATTTTAAATGTATTCTAATTAGAATATCTACTTATATAACAAAATAAAATATTACATAAGAAAGCCTTTTCAGTTTGAGTTCCTTAATTGCTCTTAAGTGTCTTGTCATCGGTCATTGACAACATCAACTCTCTATGACTTGCTTTCCACTCACTAAGCCCCCAAAACCCTAGGATGCTCATGCCAGTCCTGAGAGCTTCACCTTAATTAGAGATGCGAGATGCATGTGCTGAACTGGTGAGATTTTGGCATATGAATTTAGATTCCCTCATCTGAGCTGAGACAGTGCCTTGCAGGGTATGAGTTCATTCATGCTGCAGCTGCGAGTGAGGCAACAGGGAACTCACCCCAAGATATTGGACAGTCAGGGAGGCCAGGCTCCAAAGAAGGCAGGGCACAGGAATGGTGTTGAAGAGAAAAGCTTAAAGGGTAGCTCTGGTTATGTCCCCCTTAGAATTCTGAATATGTAGAATAAACACGTAAAAAGCAAACAAAATGTTACTTGGAAGGTAAGAAATGAATTGATGAGAGCTCCAAGTGCCTTAGGTCGGAGGATCCAGATTGCAGCAGGCAACAAGCACAGGTTGATGTTGTCATTCATCAACAGAGGAGCAGTCGGGTAACAGACAGCCAAGGTAGCTAAGC
Organism: Homo sapiens; assembly: GCF_000001405.40. Taxonomy (NCBI): domain Eukaryota; kingdom Metazoa; phylum Chordata; class Mammalia; order Primates; family Hominidae; genus Homo; species Homo sapiens. The sequence continues at coordinate 14,265,392 of NC_000002.12, forward strand.
AATGTGGGAACTGCTGAAAGCCAGTTGAGCCCACAAACCTTGAAGTCAGAGTCATCAAGAAGAAGACCTAAAGAAGGGCTGAAATATTGACAAATGAACAGGTAAATAGACAGTCCTTTTTATTTACAAGGACTACCTGCCTAGTCAGGTGTCTGTATGTGTATCTGCAAACTCATATATATATCATATATTTTATTATATACATATTATATATGTTACATATATTATATATTATATCTATCTTAATTATATACAATATACATAGTATATTGTATATTACATATACATATAAAAGTAATGTGTATATTATACATATTGTATACTATATATACATGTTTTATAATCATATAATATACATATAATATACATATTATGTATACTTGTAAATCTTAATATATACAGATACACATATTATATATCTTGATATGTACTGATACACATATTATATATTAATATAATATATTATATATAAATACTATATTGTCAAGCATATGATGAAAAGTAAACATACCTATGGCTACTGAACTATTGAAGTAAAATGGTCTGTTGGCAGAGACAGAATAATTAGATAATTACACCATAAACTTAAGGTAAAACTGCAATGCTGATAAGTGCTATACAGGAGAGGTCAAGGTGCTGTGAGAATACTTGATTGATAGAAGATTTGACCTAGGCAGAAAGGTCATGAAAGTGTTTCTAGAGAGAATAAGATTTGTGCTGAATCAGAAGCATGATTAGAGCTTACCTAAAAGGGGGAAAGAGGACCCTTGGATAGAGAGACATTTAAGTGCAAAGCCCGAGTGACAAGAAAGGGAGCAGGTGGACGGCTTAGACTGCTGGAGCAGAGAGATAAGAGGGCTGCATGGTTAAAACTGAAGCTGGAATCATATCTAGGGCCCTAGTGGGCACAGTAAGTTTTTCATACTGAGGAGTTTGTTCTTTATTTGAAGTGCCATGGAAGGCATTTAAGTGTAAGCAGAAACATGGGAGGAGGGGAAAGACAACTAATAAGATATGTGATTTGAGCAGAGCTCTCTGAACTGTGCATGCTGGACTGAAAGAAACCAGAGTATGTGTCCAAATGCAAGTTGAAAGGCAATCGATCTCGATGACAGGAGCTTCGCTAGGAAGACGAAAAGAATTGGACAGATTGAAAGCAACAGAAATTCTGTCATCTCTCAATTTCTGATGTCAAACCACCACAATTTAAACTAGCTGATACAATTTGATCTTATTGAACTTCCCTTCCCTGTAGTTTAGAAAAAATGTCATGGCAAAAACATGGAATTATGACAAGAATTTATGAGAATAATACTTCAGGAGCTGCATGGGTCATCCCAGACCTAGAAGGAAACTGAGAAAGAACAGCTAATACTTACGTAGCCCCAAGAATGACAGAGTGAGTGCTGTGAATAGTTTGAGAAAGGAAAAAGAAAAAGGAAATTGCTTTGAAACACTTGAGACCTTTGGCATTACTTGAGGGTTGAAGAGATTAGATTACAAGGAATTGAGAAGAGAGAAATTAATAAAACTATAGAGACAACATGGATAAACCACCCTCGGGAGATAATACTTTAGGGAAAGGGAGAGCTTAGTGAAAGGGCATCAGGTCAAGGGAAAGTAATAGGAAGGAATATTATCTTTAAGTCTAAACAGAATCTTTATTAAGTATGATGTTAGCCATAAGCTTTTTCATAGATGTTCTTTATTAGACTGAGGAATTTCCCCTTTATTCCTATTTTGCTAAGAAGTTTTATCAGGAATGAATGTTGAGCTTTTTTAAATAGTTTTTTCTGCATCTATTGAGATACTCATACTGGTTTTCCTTCTATTCTGCTAATATTATGAACTAAACTCATTTATCTCTCCAAATTTAAATCAGGCCGTATTTCTGTAATAAACCCTTTCTGATCTTAATTTATCTGCTTTATATATATTCATTACTTTGATTTACTATTTTCTTGGATTTTTAAATATGTGTTCATGAGAAGTGTTTGCCTTTTATTTGTTTTCTTTTACTTCCTTTTGTTTTATAATGTCTGTGTCAGGTTTTATTATCAGAGTGGGGTTGGCCTCTTAAAATGAGTTGAAGAGTGTTTTTCTTTCTTTCTCTTTCTTTTTCTTTTCTTCTTTCTTTTTCATTTCATTTCCTTTTTTCTTTTCTTTTCTTTTCTTTTCTTTTCGATGGTGGAGGGGTGGGAGTGCAGTGGCACCATCAAAGAGTGCTAAACCTCAAACTCCTGGGCTCAAGTGATTCTCCTGCCTCAGCTTCCTAAGTAGCTGGGACAATACATGGATGGCACTGCATCCCACCCCTCCATTTCCTGAAAAGTTTTCTGCAGACAAAGAATGCCGATTCTTTCTTCCTAAGATGTTTTATAAAATCCACCCATTAAAACTTCTAGGCCTTGAGTTTTCTTTATGTAAGTGTTTTCTCTGTAGAATATTAATCTATTTGATATGGTTGAACTTAAGTATTTCAGTTTATTATTAGTCATTTGTGATTTTCTTCCTCTATTCTTTTTTCTACCATCATTGAGATTTGAATATTTTTATAACTGCATTTTATTTTATTGATTTGACTTTTATCTATACCTTTTATTTTGGAATTTTTTGGTAGTTGCAAGATGTGAAATATATTGAGTTTTCAGTGTCAGCTTACAGCTAATTTTGTATCACTTAAAGGAAAAATAGAAACTTTCAATCACATACATTAAACAGGTCCATGTATCCCAACCCTCTTCTTTATGCTGTATTTGAAGATTATCTGGAGGTTTCTGGTAGGCATCAGCTTAGGAAATAAAGAAGAATATTTTTATAAAATATAACTGTAACAGTCATCAGAGAATTACATATAATTCTCCCATGTCACGATTCAGAGATGTAGATTGATTTTTCCAACACAAAACAATTAGCTGCTTGCCAGTGATGATTTTGAATCCAACCTTTATCAAGCTCCAACATTTGATAAAATTCTGTGGTGGCAGTACCTCCTCTGCCATAAGAGGAAGTAAAGGGTAAATAAAGATTTGGAAATATCCTGAGGTGGAGCAGAAAGGGAAAGAGAGACTTCATCTATCTGCCCTGATGCAAGGTGACAAAAGAATCATTCCCAACTCACACCTTAGGGAAGAGTACAGGCTCTGGAGACTGACAGGTTTTGGTGAATTTGTTGATGTAATGATATTTTTACTTCTCTTTTGTCCTCAACAGCATCAAGAACAATTCTTTATACAGGTCCACAAAAAGGAAATGTTCTTGGTTAGCTGACTGTGACAGATTCTCATGGGACAAACTGAAATGATTGAATATATGTATTTTATTGTTCTCAGAAGGTCAAATTTTGCTTGTTTCCAGCTACTTTGAATGAATGAAACAGACACTCTTCAGAGCATATTTTTTTTTCCTCTTTTTTCAAATTATTCACAATTCACAAAATCATTCAAAATGAAACAAGAAGAAATATGAATAGGACCAGCCCTCTTTGACTCCTACAGAGGGTATCGTTAAGAACCAGGGCTATAAAGAAGCATGATGCATTACAGGAAACAAACTGTCCAGTAACAACTTTTTTCATTAAGTTTAAGTGGCTCCCCATGTGGAGGTTTTCAGTGAGCCTTGCAGGCACCCCAGCAGTTAGATCCCAAGGAGGGATGTTTCCTGCCTTAATATTGACTATTGATCAGCTTTGGCCCGGAGTAATTCAGGGAATTTCTGAACTATGCAAGGAGCTAAAACTATGCTTTGTCCAATTACATCTGAATCCTAGTTTTGGAGAGGAACTGCTCACTCCTTTCCAAGTTTGTTCTTTCCATGTTCTTCCCATCAAGTGTAAAATATTTTAAAGTTCTCTTTAATTCTGTGAAGTTATTCTTGTTATAGTCATCAATAGTAATCCTTTATCTTTTTTTTTTTTGATGGAGTCTCTCTCTGTCACCCAGGCTGGAGTGCAGTGGCATGATCTCAGCTCACTGCAACCTCCACCTCCCAGGTTCAAGTGATTCTCCTGCCTCAGCCTCCTGAGTAGCTGGGACTACTGTCACGTGCCACCATGCCTGGCTAATTCTTGTATTTTTAGTAGAGACAGGGTTTCCCCATGTTAGCCAGGATGGAATGATCCTTTATCTTAAAATTATCTCTTTCAATTGCTTTGTAGTTTCTTTATCTTTATTGGACCCTGACTGATACAGAGCCATAGAACTGAGATTAACAGAAAAAGTCTTGATTAAAACTAGTGACTGCCAAGCTATTTACAGAGAAGCATTATGGGGAAAAATCAGAATATAAAATTAATTCAAGATTGGGGAAAAAGAATCAGATGAAATCAGAGGCTCTTGGGATACAGCCCAAGACTGTAGCATGAGCAAGAAAAATCCAATCAAGCCTGGGAGAATTGCAATTGATAGATATGTCTCAGCAAACTGATGATGTATTTCCAAATCTCAAGGTTTTTCAAACTGGCAATAATAAGATTTCCTATATTTGCCTAGGACAGGTATAAATAGCATAAAAATTAACAATCAGATTAAAATTGTCTGGCGTAAAAAAATAAAAATGGAATTAATCTCTACTAGAGTGTGTAACAGTTAAAGAAAGAGAAAAGAAACATGAAAAGCAGCTCAACAGTGAAAGATAGATTTATTTTGGAGAATAAACCTGAGAGGGGCTTCTGGCCGATTTTGGTTGGGACCATTCTCTCTTACAGACTAAGAGTATTTATTGGTGAGAGAGCTTATCACAAGCTTGGAATGTTTCTATTTGGGGGAGAAGTTTATGGCAGGATTGGAATGTCTCCGGTCAGAGGGGAGGTTATCTTGGAGCTGACATCTCTCTGGCCGGTGGGGGCGGTTATCTCAGGGCTGGCATGTCTTGGGTCAAGGAGGTTGGAATGTATCTGGTTGGAGATGTCATTTGTGGTTTACGGTCATGATGACCTTAGCCATTAGGCTGATGCCCTTTGGATTTAGGCAGTTTTTGATCAAGGAGGACTTTGGAATGGCAGTGCTTGTCCAAGATGGCAATGTTCCTGCTCTGTCAGAGTGCAAAGGAAAGCATACAATGCTATAGAAATCACTAGCAATAGGGAAGATTCAAACCAACTCAGGAAGGAAACATATAAGCAAGTAAGTCATAAAACTCAGCAATACAAAGCCTGTGTTTTATATTTTTGTTAGTTATCTGATTATTTAATTCTAGAAGAGAGAGCACTCATAGCATATTGTAACCATGACAGAAATCTGACTTAGGTGATACAGAAACACTGTGGTGATTTCAGAAAGGGTAAGGAAAGATAATACAGTCCAAGATGGGGCCCCTTCCTATCACACAGAGGAAAATCTTAGAATGCATAGCTGCAAATTCAGAAAGGTGGCCTCTGAAGATTGGGGAACTTAAGAACATTTATATTCACAAATAACACATCTACCTCCTGGAGAAACTCCCACTGCTGGTTTGAATATCACCTGAAGAACAGAAGGCTAAAGATTCCAATGTGTGGATTTGTAAAGTGACAACTTCCAGAGCTTCATCAGAAACTGAATGAATGAACACTAGCATAATAGGCATGCTGAGAAAATTCTTAAAAACATTTTTAGGCGGGTGGTCACCTGAGGTCAGGAGTTTGAGACCAGCCTGACCAATATGGTGAAACCCCATCTCTACTAAAAATACAAAAAAAAATTATCTGGGCATGGTGACACAGGCCTGTAGTCCCAGCTACTAAGGAGTCTGGGACAGAAGAATTTCTTGGACCCAGGAGGTGGAGGTTGCAGTGAGCCAAGATCGTGCCACTGCAATCTAGCCTGGGCTATGAAGTGGGACTCTGTCTCAAAAGAAAAAAAAAATAAGATTTTTAATGGATTCTTATTACCTTGAGTAAAATGCACTTCCAACTCCTTTTCAGCATTATTTTTTTAATTTGAAAAGCACTGTCCTTTAGTGTCATCAAGTTTTACAAATATTCAGATAGGGGCTTTAAAAATACCAGCTTTCATATATGACTTCTTGGAGTCTTTCAAGTGCGTGCCTGATGTAGGTAAATGCTGGAAATGTTCAAAGCTGTGATTTGTGTCAGAAGAGATACTGTTCCCCTAGCCAATTTCATTCTGAGCTGCTCAAACCCTTGTCCCTGGAGCCATCAGGTGATCAAAAATAACCCAGATGCTGAACCTCCACTTAATAACTCCACAGGGTATACAACTTGTCAAAAAATCAACCAGAATGATCCTTTTTACTATTTCTTTGCTTTTTATTCTTTTGCTTTTTAAAAACATTGACAGATATGTGATGAAATAAACATTAACCCAAATGTCAAGAGACCTAGGATTACATCTTGGCTTTGTGGCTATAGTAATCTGAGACTTTGGGGTTCACCTTACTTCTCTGGGCCTTAGTTTTCTTAACCAGAAATATGGACAGTGATGACATTTTCACGTAGCTATAGGTAGAAAGTCCCTTTAAAACACATGGTAGTGTGGAGAGAAAAGATAGTACTCATTTTTCCCGACAGCAAAAGAGAGTACAAAATAAGTCATTTAAGAAGACCTCTATTCTTCAGCCAATCCAAATTCAGTTGCCGAAGGCTCATTATGCAAGAAGAAATAAATAGTTTGCAGAGACAGAGACTTCACAAGTTTACAGGCTGAAGAGTTACCACTCTCTCCTTACACTCAGGTCATGGAAGGATGGCTAACTATGATTAGTGGAAAGAATTGGAGGCTGCTTTTTTCACCAACCAATAGAACAATGCCCGTGTTCACAGAGCTTTGCTTCTCACATGAACGTCGTGATAACTGACAGGTGGTTTGCCCTGTGTGGTAGCTCCAGACACAGCCCCACGTGTCCAGTGCCTGTTTCCATTCAGATTTAGGCTGAAATGTACAGGTCCTCCCCTTGAGTCTGCTCAATACCATCACAGGTCCAATCTTTGTGTTGGTTGGTCAATACAGCGGCAGATCTCTGTCCACTCAGAATATCATGGTAACCTTTACTTCCTGTCTGATACTATCCCACTGCATTCCTCAAGGTGAATTTCACCTGTGATCCCCTTCCACACTCATATGTATGGTAAAATCTTTAGAAAAGTACCTAGGAAGTATCATTAGCAAAAGAGGAAAATGGTGAAACTCACACATACACACACACACACACACACACACACACACACACTCCAAAATAGAGGAAAACAGCAATCCAGAGACCACATCCAGAAAGTACAAAGCCCAGGCACAAAAGTAAAGAAACTCTTACTCAAAATGTCCTGTGTTGTCACATGGTAAAAAGAGCAGAGGCTTTAACTCAGAAAAGATTTAGTTTCTACCCTTACCAGCTGTATCCCCTCAGATAAGTTAATTAACTTACAGAGCTGGTTAACTCGTCTATAAAATAAAGACGATAATACATGCTATAGGGTCATTTTGAAGATTACATGTTTTGTAAAGCAACTGGAATAGTTCCTGACACTTAGGGAGTGCTTGTAAATGTTTAACCTTTCTCCATGTTTTAGTACTCAAAGCAAACAGCAGTCTATGAAAAAAAGCAAATAGACCCTGTTATAACGCAAAGCGATAAGTGACTATATCATAAGTAAGAACAAGGTATTATGAGAATCAAAAATTTAGTCTTGAAGAATAAAGTCTCACCAGTGAGAGAAAATACATCTAATAAAGGCCATAGCAAGAGCCAAAAGTCTTTGGCAAGGCTAAGAGCACCGAGTTGCAGGGTAGTTGAAATGAAGGTTTTGTTTGAGTTTTCTCATAATGGGGTAGGGGTTGGCTTGGGGGTGGGATTGGAAAGGAGATTGGCTTGCCAAGAGATGACATTGCAATGTGGCATCCTCTACCGGGGCTACCCTGTAAAGGATCTAAAACATACCTCAGAGGCGTGGTAAAAAGAGGCTAAAAATGTGGATGTCCTAAGTTTATGAAACAAGATGGGCTAGAAGATAAATACCTTCAAATTCTCCATTATTCTCAGTGTTCTAATCACTGAATTTTTGGTTTGTGACCTCTATGATTAATCTTTAATACAGTCTTGGTGAGTTGTACATGAATTATGTATTTCCTTTTTATTTAAACATAACCACTTGAAAAAAATTTAGGTCTCAAATTTTACCATCGCATTGTACCTCTAGGAATTTGTCATCTTTTCTTCAATTTTTCCCCAGTTTCAAAGAAACCCCACTGAGTGTCATAATCAAAAATCTTTGTATTTTTAGGACCTTGAAAAAGTGGGATTGATAAAATACAATACAAATACAACTGTATTTTATTTCTCTTTTTTCTTATAACAATATATTCAGCAAGGAAATTCTTCAATTGCCCTGTATAAAAATCTCAGGAAGTTCCACAAATTTTCTGATTACTCACAGATAATATATAGATTCCAGGGTCATTTTTAACTGTCAGCACAACTCCAATTCTATTAAAAAGTCATTCTCTTCCAGGTATTTATTATAATTAACTACTCAGCAGTTTTAGGCCTCTTTCCTTAGCTTAAACTGAACAAAAAAAGAAAGGAATTTCATCTTTTTCTTTTCTCCCTTACTTGCCCCTCAACTTGCTAGGGGCTACAACAGACACTTCCGGGGCTAAAAAGTGAGAAACAAAGAGGTAAAGGAAATTCAAGTTTTTCCTGCCATAATATAACCTCATGAACTCCAGGTGTGATAGTCATTTATAGCCTACTATTTCTCTGGTTGATTCTCAAGTGAGTTCTTTGGAGGATCTCTTCCTGAGCCCCTCAACTTGCTACTGTCAAAATGTGAGTGAAGCAAACTTCTTCCAGCCTCTGCTTCTTCTTCAGCCTCTGCTGTTGTGAAAATATACTAGGAGTTCACTAGGCAAATTATGCAAATGAAAGAACTTCAGGAAAGAGATACATATGTGGAAAAATACTCCAAGTATGTTGAAGTCCAAGACAAGGGCAGCGAGAGATGAGGTTGAAGGCTAGCCAGAGGACAGCCCATGAAATAGTAAGCAAAAAAATAATGGCCACTCTCTGTTGAAGACTTACTGTATCTCAGATACTCTATTTAGATTTTTCACATATAAAATCCATTCAGTTCTTATAAACACATAAAAATATGAGGAGGATGAAGACCTTTATGATGATTCAGTTCCACTTAATGAACACTAAATATATTTTCTCTTCCTTTTTAATTTTTTTAAGTTTTATATGCACATATAATAGATGTGCTTCGTGATCCATGTGATATTTTGATGCAGGCATACAAAACTATAGAATGTTTCAAGAATGTGTCTGTCATCCTTGTGCAAGAACCATGCTAATCTCTGTATCATACTCATTTTAGTGTATGTGTTGCTGAAGTGATGACATAATTTTCTTAATAACATTTTTTCTCTAACTTATATAATTGTAAGAATATAGTATGTAACACATATGACATAAAAATATGTTAGTTGACTGTATATTGATAACGCTTCCAATCAACAGTAGGCTATTTTTTTGTTAAATTCAGGGAGAGTCAAAGTTATTCTTGGATTTTCTTTGTTTAAGTTTAGGGGTACAAGTGTAGGTTTCTTACATAGGTAAACTTCTGCCATGAGAGTCTGTTGTACAGATTATGTCATCACCCAGATATGAAGCCTCATACCTATTGGTTATTTTTCCTAATCGTCTCCCTCCACCCACCTTCTACCGTTCTGTGCATGGGTCAGTACTCTTCACTCTCCACATTGTTCAAGGGTCAACTATATATTAATTCTCTCTCTTTTCTACTCGTTCCCCTTTATAAAGTGCTGGAGGCAAGAAATCATCGATATTAACTGTCAAACAAGTTGTCTGGACATTGTTGATCCTCATTAAATGCTGGTTTCAATTCCCATAAATGAGGGGGGATTTACGATCCCAGAGTGTTCTTTAACAGCTACTAAGTCTTTACTGAAGAGTATTAAAGGTAAATTGGCCCAAACACTTGTATCAAACTTATCTAAATAAATGTTGGGCGACAGATTTTACAGCTAAACCTCAGATGTTCTATAAAACTACTCGTATGTGTGTGTGTGTATATACACATATTTTAATAAGAAAGAGAGAGCAGCTATTTGCTTTTTAACAAAGCTCATTTAAACAACTATAAGCTTTGGCCAATGTATTTTCATTGCATTGAGAATATGCAAAATCTGCTTTATGCTATATTCTAGCTGGTAAAGTATGTATTGAATATAATTACAATACTAAGCCTGAACACACAATGTTTCCCTTGGTTACCTTTTAATTATCTTGCCCATTACCTTTAATTATAAATCTGCACGAGCATTCAAAGCCCTGATCATCCCCCTTGACCCTGTTTATATAGAAGATGGGATTTCCTTAATGCCACAGCTACTTCTTGACTCTGACTTTAAGTAGCACCTAGAAGCAGTGATGTGCTGATAGATTGTTTATAAATAAGCTGGAGGGGAGGAAGGGGAATGATTTGTAGCATTTGCTGATTTCTGTGGTGTTAATATCCTCTCCTTGGCCAATTTCAAGGTACCAGTATGATGCCAATAAGCACAGAGTTGACAAAAGATGCCCAGCAGTACACATGTATGGCATTTTATCATATGGACACAATAACTGAAATTATCTAAAGAACATGTAAAATGATGCATGTAATATAACGTTTAAAAAGTGATGAGTTTTGAGTATCTGTTCATTTTATTTATTTATTTATATTTTGAGGCAGAGTTTCACTATTCTTGCCCAGGCTGGAGTGCAGTGGTGCAATCTTGGCTCACTGCAACCTCCGCCTTCCAGTTTCAAGCGATTCTCCTGCCTCAACCTTCCAAGTAGCTGGAATTACAGGCACCCGCCACCACGCCCAGCTAATTTTTGTATTTTTAGTACAGACAGGGTTTCACCATGTTGGCCAGGCTGGTCTCAAACTCCCGCCCTCATGATCCACTCGCTTTGGCCTCCCAAAGTGTTGGGATTACAGGCGTGAGCCACCGCATCTGGCCTCATTTTATTTTTAATGTAATTTATTTAACTGTAAGTTTATATAACTTACGTTTAAATAATGGTTGTATTAAACAACCAGATCACAAAATTCCTAAAAATTTTACAACTGGATCTCAGATCCAGCATACAAAAGCCTACAATTGTGACCTGGACATTGTAGGTACACAGTAAATACTTACAAATGGTTTGTTGAGAGTACTAAATAAAAATATTTAGCAAGTTGGCTCTATTCTCTTTCCTAGGGTATGTAATATAGATCAAATAAAACAAAGTCAAATGACTGAAGACCGTATAGAAGGTGAACCTCAAACTTCTACAAACGAAAAGAGACTGCAAATGCTCTGTAATTTGTCCAATTTTTTGACACCTAATTTAAAAAAAACACATCAATTTGACATGGAACAACTAGGTATACAGAAAGCATGATGCATAGAAGAGACTCAGAGCTTAATAAATAGAAGACTATGAGAGAAGTCCTGAACAGGACTCAGATAGGCCTGTCCTTTAGCTATACCTGAAAGTGAACATCTACAAATGCTTAAGATAGATATAAAAGTTATCAACAAAATCACACTATACATTATAGTTTATATTTAAATGTAAAAGAATATATGTTCTATTAATAAATTAGAATTTAATCAATTGCATATAACTTAAAAACCTTCTGGTACATATAGCAGATATATATATATATTTTCTAACTTTTAGTTTAGGTTCAGGCGGTACATGTGCAGGTTTGTTACGTGGGTAGATTGTGTGTCACAGATTTTTGTGTCCGATTATGTAGTCACTCAGTTAATAAGCACAGTAACAGATAGGTAGTTTTCTGATCCTCACCATTCACCCTCAAGTAGGTCCTGGTGTCTATTGTTCCCTTCCTGGTATCCATGTGTACTCAATGTTTAATTCCCACTTATAAGTGGAATATGTGGTATTTGGTTTTCTGTTCCTGCATTAATTTACATAGGATAATAGCTTCCAGCTCCATCCATCTCACTGCAAGAAACATGATCTTATTCTTTTTTATGACTGCATAGTGTTCCCTGGTGTATATGTACAACATTTTCTTTATCCAGTCTATGATTGATGGGCATTTAGAGTGATTCCATGTCTTTGCCATTGAGAATTGCGCTGCAATGAACATGTGCATACATGTGTCCTTATGGCAGAATGATTTATTTTCCTTTTGGCATATACTCAATAATGGGATTGCTGGGTCAAATGGTAGTTATATTTTCTTTGAGAAATCTTCAAACTACTTTATACAGTGCTGTACTAATTTATACTTCCACCAGCAGTGTATAAGCATTCCCCTTTCTTTGCAATCTTGCCAACATCTTTTTTTTTTAAATAGTACCCAATCTGACTGGTGTTAGATGATATCTCATTGTGGTTTGAATTTGCGTTTCTCTAATGATGTATGATGTTGAGCTTTTTTTTCTATCCTTGTCTGCCTGTGTTTCTTCTTTAAGAAATGTCTGTTCACATCTTTTGCCCATTTTAAAATAGGGTTGTTTGTTTTTGTTAATTTGTTGAAGTTCCTTACACATTCTGCATATTACACCACTGTTGGATGCATAGTTTGCAAATATTTTCTCCTATTCTGTAGGTTGTCTGTTTACTCTGTTGATAGTTTATTTTGTTGTGCAAAAGCATTTTAGTTTAATTAGGTCCCACTTGTCAATTTTTGTTGTTGTTGCAATTGCTTTTGGAGTTTTTGTCATAAAATATTTGTCAAGGCCTATGTCTAGAATGGTATTTCCTAGGTTTTCTTCGATGGTTTTTATAGATTGAGGTTTTGCATTTAAGTTTTTAATTCATCTTGAATTGATTTTTAATTAAAGGAGGGGGCCCAGTTTTAATCTTCTGCATATGGTTAGCCAGTTATCCTGGCACCATTATTGAATAGGGTGTCATTTCCCCATTGCTTGTTTTTGTTGACTCTGTTGAAGATCAGATGGTTGTTAAGTGTGTGGCTTTATTTCTTGGTTCTTTAACTTATTCTATTGGTCTGTGTGTCTGTTTTTGTACCAATACTGTGCTGTTTTGGTTAAAGTAGCCTTATAACATAGTTTGAAGTTGGGTAATGTGATGGCTCTGGCTTTGTTCTTTTTACTTAGGAATACTTTGTCTATCTGGGCTCTTTTGGTTCCATATGAATTTTATAATAGTTTTTTTTCTAATTCTGTGGATAATCATTGGTAGTTTGATAGGAAGCGTATTGAATCTATAAACAAATTGCTTTGGGCAGTACGGCCATTTTAACAATATTAACTCTTTCTATCCTTGAGCATGGAATGTTTTTTCATTTGTTTATGTCATCTCTGAATTCTTTCAGCAGTGTTTTGTCATTATCATTGTGGAGATATTTCACCTCCCTGATTAGGTGTACTCATAGATATTTTATTTTTTGTGGCTATTGTGAATGGAATTGCACTCTTGATTTGGCTCTCAGCTTGGACAGTGTCAGTGTATAGAAATTCTACTGATTTGTGTGCATTGATTTTGTATTCAGCAACTTTGCTGAAGTTGTTTATCAGATCTAGGAGCTCTTAATTTTATGTTTAAAAAAAACTTCAGAGCTAAAAAGAACTTAAGAGGTCATCTAGTTAAACCTCTTCTTTTTTATATAAAAATCAATGATTAGAAAAGTGAAATGATTTGTCTAAACACACTCAGAATTGAGCTAAGCTCAGAAGTGGAGCTGTACTAACTATGATAAGTCTCAAGTTATAAGAGGCTGAATCACTTCTACATATACACTCCAGATTTAAGGAGACCAAGTAGCTTATTATTATTAATTAATTTATTTATTTATTTTGAGACAGAGTCTCACTCTGTCGCCCAGGCTGGAGTGCAGTGCTGCAATCTCTGCTCACTGCAACCTCTGCCTCCCGGGTTCAAGCGATTCTCCTGCCTCAGCCTCCAAAGTAGCTGGGACTATGGGTGCATGCCACCATGCCCAGCTAATGTTGTATATTTTTTAGTAGAGACAGGGCTTCACTGTGTTAGCCAGGATGGTCTCCATCTCTTGACCTCGTGATCTGCCCACCTCAACCTCCCAAAATGCTGGGATTACAGGCATAATCCACCACACCCAGCCCCAGGTAGCTTATTTAAGATGGCATAGTGGATTATAGCTTGAGTCAATGTTAAGGGCCAAAAATCTATATTATACTTTTCTGATTTCTTGTTATCACGAAGTCATTATATATGTCATCTTTCCCCTCAGTGAGAGTTAGTGTTGCTATGTTGCATATGCATGTATTTATCCATTGAGTACACATCATTGTCCACCTATCAAGAACCAGGGAATAGAAGTTGGACAGGAGCAGAACCTGCCCCTGTCCTTCATTGCCATGCAAGCCTGTAATGGGGTTTAAATGTACATTGTCAGTAAGGGCTGGCAAGACTCCCATCCATCCTCCTCTTTGAGACCCCCAATCTGCAAACAAACAAACCTGGTCCTTGAAACACTCACTGGTAGTATCTCTCCTCCTAACCAGGCTCTAAATTTCATTGTATAGTCATTGTAACTAGAGCTTGTCAACAGGTCTTGGGACTGAAAAGGAAAGACACATTGCAATATTCTTCTCATAGCTAAGGCTCTAGCTTCACCATCCAAGTACATAGGCCATTGTTAACTGCTAGGCTTTGTCTCCCCTATAGGAGTCTCCTGGAAACCTAGCAGAAGGTAGGGATGTTTAATCTCCCATGTTTATAAAAAGTGTATTCTAGACACAGGGAGAAAAAAATATGAGACTATATTAAATCAGGGAATGAACACGTTTCACCCCACTATCCACACCCTCTCTGCCTCTTGCTCCAAGATTTTTGTCAGCCTGAGATACTCAAGTAGAAGAATAATTTATTCAAGCTATAGCACAAGATATAACAAATTTGTTTCTTTAATAAAAATCAAAGCATCCATCAAAAGCAATGAATGAAGTTCTATATATGTAGAAGCAGACTACTTCATGTCAAATGTTAACCTTAGAAGTAGGTAAAATCTATTGATGAGGGGATAACAAGTGTGAAAAAAATTCATACTGTAAATAGTTTCCATTCCTATTTACTGCTCATATTCCATGTTTCAGGAAGTGTGCTAGATTAGGGAAACTTTCTTTACTTGACTACAGTTATACCCTATACATTGCCATCCTTTGAAACTTATCCACCTAAGAAATCACAAATTCAGACTTTCATGCTCAGAAAACAATTGCTATACTGCAGACTTATTTTCTCAGTCAAGTCCACTGCACCCGAACTAGGCTAAGCCACCCTGACATATCTCTTTGCATACCCTTAATCTATTTGTAACGCTCACCAGAATTATGTCATACCCTTAATCTATTTGTAACACTCACCAGAATTATGTTCCTACTGCATTTTCTAGTAGACTATAAAGCATGATGAAGTGGAGGAATGTGTTTGTTTTGCCCTCATTGTAATTTAGCACTTAGCACAGTGCCTGGCACACACTAAGTGTTCAAATATACACATATGTATGATAAGTAAATAAGTAATGTATATGTATATGTATAAGTATGTATATGTATATGTATATGTATGATAAGTATATGTATGATAAGTAAATGTATACATGTATATTACATAGTCCTTCCCTCAAGATCCTTATGGCCTTATAGTAGGATACAGATAGATAAATGTAGGTTCTCCAATATGTAAGAGATACAAAGTAGAACTTCATAAATCTGTAACATGAGCATATAATTCACATAGAATGCAGAGAGAACTAATTTGACCTCAGTTAGTGAAAGGATCAGCAAAAGTGTTAAAAAGAAACTGATGCTGGAATCTAGAAGGAGTATTTGATGTGCTTTAGAGGAATAAAGAGTGGAGATAGATTCTTCCAGACAGAAGCAGAATCATGAACTTAGATATCAAAATATGAGAGCACTGTTATATCAAGGGAAATGCAAGCGAGTTAGCAGAAGCCACTAAAATTCATTAGGCAGCAGAGAAGCACGAACGGTGTGGATAATAGAAAAGAGCTAATAATTATAACAAGAATTATTAGAGAAAGTTTTATATGCAGATAATCTTTGAGATGAGTCTTAAAGGAGAAATCTCTGGAGAAAATGGGTAAAGGCATTCTAGAGAACAAGATATCATGTATACAGAAAGGAGGGATATGGAAATTTATGATGCAATTGGTATGAACCAATCAGGAAATGGTAAATAGATTGATGGGTAATTTAGGGTAGACTCTGTTTGGGTCAGGAGGTATGAATGAAAATTGAGCCTAAACTTGCAGAAGTATACAAATTGTGAAGACCTAATATAATGTTAAATTGTCTGTGTTCTAACCTACAGGTACTAAAAATGATCAGATAATTATGAGCCTAATGGGATATACTATATTTAGATTCTCTTATGGACTATGTTTGAGGTGAGAACTATATAAATCTGGAGAAGAGAGAAAGGGAAAAGACAATTAAGAGGAGAGTAAAGTTGAAGGAGAAGTGTACCCTATCCAACAAGATAACCCTGGGGGTAAGTTGAAGCAGAAAGAAAACTGTAGAAGGGGAGATAGGGGAATATGGAGAAGTACACTAAAAAGCACATAAGGGAATATGGAGAAGTCAACAGGAAAAGTATGTAAAGGAACAAGGAGAAGTGCAGAGCAACACGGAGAAGAGGAGAGAAGGCTGAGTTTTGGAGGTGGATACGTTTGAGTTTTACACAGAAACAAGGTCATATTTGTTTTTGGAAATATAATTTATCCAATACCGATTCTTTTGTTGTTTACTATTTTCTTCTTTGTTGTTGTTGTTTTCTTGAGATGGAGTCTCACTCTGTCACCCAGGCTGGAGTACAGTGGTGCAATCTCGGCTCACTGCAACCTCTGCCTCCCAGGTTCAAGCAATTCTCATACCTCGACCTCCCGAGTAGGCAGACTACAGGTACACACCACCATGCCCAGCTAATTTTTGTATTTTTAGTAGAGATGGGGTTTCACCATGTTGGCCAGGCTGGTCTCAAACTCCTGACCTTAGGTGGTGATCTACCTGCCTTGGCCTCCCAAAATGCTGGGATTATAGGCGTGAGCCACCGTGCCCGGCCTGTTGTTTACTATTTTTGAACCTAGTGTCTTACCGTCATGTGTACTGAAAAAATACTATTTTCAATAAATACTGTTTCTTTTGTTCCTTCAATTTATTTTTCTCTTTACATTTCCATAGTAACAGTTATCTCAACATCTGGGGTCCGTGACTAAGACAGTGACTTTCTTATCCACTAGTGTATTCTCAGTACCTCAAGGAAGTATCTTTCATGTGGTAGCTGATCAATAAACATTTAGTTTATTAATGAATGAAAAGATGTGAGCAGTTGATGGAACTGGTCCTAAATCCATATTTTGTATAGAAAACTCTGCAGAAATGTCTCATTTGAATTTATTTGTTGATGCATACTGTGTTAAGTAGAGCATTATCCCAAAGAAATGACAGTGTCAAAATGGGATAAAAACCCCAAAGCAAAAGTCCCTACCAGTTTAAGGCTAGATGATGATGATGGTAAATACACCAGAAAAGAGCTCAGAGAAAGAGAAATTGAGGCACAGTCTATCATTCTCAAGTCACTGGATGGACAGGGATCTTCCTGGTTCTGTTTGCCTGAGTGAATTGGCTGCAACCCAGAAAGAACACTCAAAAATGTACTGAACAAGGTCGGGGGTGGTGGCTCATGTCTGTAATCCCAGCACTTTGGGAGGCTGAGCTGAGCAGATCACCTGAGGTCAGGAGTTCGAGACCATCCTGGCAAACATGGTGAAAGCCCATCTCTACTAAAAATACAAAAATTAGCCAGGTGTGATGGCAGGCACCTATAGTCCCAGCCACTCGGGAAACTGAGACACAAGAATTTCTTGAACCTGGGAGGTGGAGGTGGCAGTGAGCCAAGATTGTACCACTGCACTCTAGCCTGGTTGACAGAGTGAGACTCCATCTCAAAAAGACAAAAAAAAAAAAAAAAAAGTACTGAATGTAAAAGAATGAAATATATATTGAGAGAATTTGGGGTGAGGAAAACAAAGCCCCCAGAAAGAGCAATGCAAAACTTAAGATCCAAATTCATTTTATACCTACCTGTAGAGAACTTCTGAAGATTTGTTAAATCTACTAAACAGTAGATTTAACTGCAATCACTAGACAGTCAGAAAATTAGCTTCTTCAATAGGTACCATTTTTATCTTCGCTCAAAAAAATGAAATGTTCTTCTTGTTCACTTTATAGATTCCTGACTGCAAATTCAGCAGGTTAGTGTGCCAAGTTCCAAAATACAGCGATCATAATCATTCTCTATATTTGTATAACACCTTTGTTTGGATGGAAACACATATATGAATTTTACATTTATTATTACTTCCCCCTGTGGTAAGGCAATATTTTATTATTAATCACACTACATCACTTAGAAGTAAAGGAGAAAAAGAGTTACCAAAAATGGAAAGAAAGAGAAAAAAAAGACACTTGAAAAGGAAGCTCACCAGTGATTTTTGATAGCAAGGGCATTTGATCCCAAGAACACTCAATTTAATAAGCAATAATGTGATTAATCAGAAGCTCTGCATTTTAATTTTCAGGACACCACCAAATTCACTGTAATGTTAAATTATTATTTAACCAGGACATGTTGCATAGGTTAAATATGTAAGATCCTAAAGTCTTTAGGAAGATTAACTAAAATTTTGAACTTAAAATACCTCCTGTTATAGAATCATACGTCTTTTGATGGAAATTTTTCTCAAATTATTTAAATACGAGTAACATGTGGAGATTTTCAGGATTCCCAAAACAGCTAGTCATACATGTTCTCTTCATCTATAAACTGTTCTCATTAGTTATTTATATAGCCCATTCATGTTTTTATGGAAATAATAAATTCTCTAAGATTAATAATTTATAAATGCATTCAGGATATAAGAAAGAGATGAGCAGAATCTGGTAGTTTCCTTTTAGGTTCTACTAAAATAATAATCTTTCCATTACTGCATCTATGATTTCCCCTGTGTCCTTGGATTAAGCACCTATGCCATCCATCCCATTAAATCTCCCCCATATATCACTTCTTGACCCTTTCACTAACTCTGCTTGACTATTATAACTGCTAATTTATAACCTTGCCTTGCCCTTCTAATTTAAGATGTGATGAGTCACTGACATTAATTTCCCTCCAAAAGATTTTATTTATCTCTTCATTGATTGATTGACTGGTTGATTCAATAAAAGTGAGTAAATGCCTTTATGTTCATCAATAAGAAGGGAAGAAGATAAATGGGATACTATCCCTCTCCTCAAAAATTTCTTACTGTAGATTGAAGTCCTGCATATAAACATTGCCAGCAGAATTAAGTTAACTTCAATATACTGAATTTCTAGAAAGTATTCCTCCCTCAAAGGAAGGACAGTAGAATGTCTTCATCTGAGAAATGGCATTTGAGCTGAACCTTGAAGAACTAGTATGAATTTTCCAGGGGCAAGAGAATTTAACTAGAATATTCTGCTTAGACAAAAGCATGAACTAAGGCATCAAAGCTCAAATTTCACCTTGTCTGGGGATATCTGAAGTTTCTTCTCTGGTTGTTGGGACAAAAAGTGGGGTAATGAACACTATCTCTGATGAAGTTGCAAAGGTTTTTGCAAAAAATAATTCCAATGAATGTGTGATATAAAACATATACGCCAGCCTTCTAAGCCCCCTCACCCCAAACTACATGTTTACTTGCAATTTCCATTGTCTTCCTATGCACATTGCATAAAAATTATATTAATTAGGAGAAAGAGTTATCTTTTTGAAATCAATGTCCAAAATTTTACCCCAGACTAATATGCTTGTTTATGTGACACAGGAATCCCTGTCAAATTTCACATTTGGTTGTACAGTCTAAGAGTCAATATTTTAAGTACCACAGCAAAGTTACACATAGGAAGTTCCATATGTGGAAATGTGATGTGGTAAACTTCTTAACTGTGTTTCTTAAAAGTTTGTTGGGAAAAAAACACATGGATAGCCAAAATAACAACTGCAGCTACCATTTGTTGAGGTCCACATTAGGCATCATATGACTTAACAGTAAAACCTCAAATCCTCAAATCCTTTCTGAGATAGATATCATTAATTCCATATTTTTTAATTAAAAATAACTGAGGTTCTAAAGGTTGGAATTGACCTACATGACACAGCTCGCAAGAGACTAAGGCAAGATTTGGAGGATGTTCTGACTCCTTCTACTATGCACCAAGAGCTCACTGACTTTACTAGACACGTTTTTATGTGTTTGTAAGAATTACAAGCTGAGTTAAAGGCTTGTCAATACACATTTACTTTAATATATTATTCTCAGTCAGTTGACCAACATTTTTGGAGGATACTAACATTCATTCCAAATTTAGTATGTGCCTGGTTCTGTGATAGATAATGTTACCTCTTGGATACCATTTTATCTTTATGCCAGCCCTGTTTAAATAATACTGTCTTATTTCATTCTTAGGAAAGAAATCAAGCTCAGTGAATTTAAATATGACTACATACACCTGAAGCTGAAATTTGAAAATATGTAATTGAATGGATCTAGCTTCTGAAGCTAGATGACTCATGGCTAATGAGTAGGGAATCACCTGCATTGTTGGCCATTGAAACTCTTATATAAAGAAAGTACTTGTTTTTCAAGGATTGTATTTACATTCTCTATTTGAGAAAGTACTGACCTTTGATAATGAAAGACTGCAATTGTTATATTCTATTAAGGAACTTTAGTCAACAGTCTGGCTTACAACGGACTGGTAATATTTTATGAAGGAAATGTACCTGATTGCTCTTCTTTCTGTACTGAAAGTGGCACAGGACTTATAGTCAAAAACCCAGGACTGGCTGAAAGCAGTGGCTCATGCCTGTAATCCCAGCACTTTGTGAGGCTGAGGTGGGCAGATCACCTGAGGTCAGGAGTTAGAGACCAGCCTGGCCAACATATAAGGAAACCCCTTATCTACTAAAATAATACAAAAATTCACTGGGCATGGTGGTGCACACCTGTAGTCCCAACTATTCAGGAGGCTGAGGCAGGAGAATCGCTTGAACCAGGGAGGTGGAGTTTGCAGTGAGCCGAGATCGTGCCACTGCACTCCAGCCTGGGCGACAGAGCAATACTCCATTTCAAAAACAAAACAAAACAAAACAACAACAACAACAACAAAAACAGGACTGAGCTTTTATTTAGCTTACTGTTAATTATTACTAGCATTAATTAACCTCTTCAGGGTACTATTCACAACGTTACATGCTTTTATACTTTTTGTCATTTAATCTTCAAATTCAGGTTCCTTTGTATTGTGTCTTTCCATCCCCATTTTCCAAATACAGAACTGAAGAAGAGACGTGTTAGTAGCTTGTCTTAGGTAAGTTACCCATTGACAGGCCAAAAAATTTATTTCAAGCCTGTCCTTGGAGACCCCATTGCTGCATCTCAAAATATTCACGGTTACCTTGAGCAAGCCACTTAACTACTCCAACCTTTTGTTTCTCAACTTATAAATTGGTAATAATAATATCTGATCTGAAGCTAGAATGAAATGAGGTCATTCAAGAAAGAATGAAATCATGAAGGAAACAGTTAATATTATTATCAGATACAGAAGTTGTTAACAACAAATCTTGTCATCTCATCTTGTATGAGAGAGAGAAGGCAACAAGATGTGCCTCCGAAAACTTGAGAGTATCCTTCAGATTCTCCTACAAGAAAACTGCTGATGATGGAAGAACTCCACCTTCCATGAATCTGCTGCTGATTTAGGCATTAACGATGTGACTCAGGCCTATGAAAGAGGAGCAAGAAGCACTAAGACAGAGAGGCATGGAAATTCTCCCCTGGGCCCAGCACAATTGTATGGGATTTCCATGTGGATTTTAAGTCTCCTTTTATCTTCCATGACACATAAAGCATCTCCTGGACCTATCTCCTCTAAGACATGTAACCTGACCCACTAGATCACTATTTACCAAATTCCTAAAATCTGTGGTTAATTTGAAAAGAAAGTTATCTCGTGGTGGCACAATGGGACACAATGCTAAAAAGTCTACATATAGCATTTATATATAGCTCAAAGCCAGAAATTGAGCTATATTGTATCAGCACAATTAAGTGGTTATTATAACTTTTTTTAATAAAAGAAAGGCAGGGAATATCACAGAAGTGTGTCTAGAAGACAGGAAGGGGTGTTGTGGGACTTCCCAGTGTTGGTAATCGTCATGGTTCAAAAAATCCCCCAAAACTCATGTTAAAATTGTATTGCTAGCTGGGTGCAGTGGCTCACACCTGCAATCTCAGCACTATGGGAGGCCAAGGCAGGTGGATCACCTGAGGTCAGGAGTTTGAGACCAGCCTGGCCAACAGGGTGAAACTCCATCTCTACTAAAAATACTAAAAATACAAAAATTGCAACGCATGGTGGTGGGCACCTAGAGCCCCAGCTACTCGGGAGGCTGAGGCAGGAGAATCACTCGAGCCTGGGAGGCAGAGGTTGCAGTGAGCCAAGATCGCACCACTGCACTCCAGCCTGGGCAACAAGAGCAAAACTCCGTCTCAAAAGAAAAAAAAAACTTGTATTGCCATTGTTATAATATTAAAAGGTGGAACCTTTAAGAAGTGATTAGGCCATAAGGACTCAACTTACTTTTCCTTGAAGAAATCTAAAAAGGTATTTATCCAATATTCACTGCTGCTTCTCTGCTTTCACCACCCCCAGGCACTAGGGAGAGCTCTGCATCTTCTTCTAAGGTCTCAGTAAGATCACCAAACAGGTTCCCTCTGTGTGTGCACAGTGAAATCCAGTGCCTTTGCCTGGACATGCACAACTGACAAAGAATAGCCCAGTCATGCCTCAGACGGTCCTGTCTCCAGGGAGCGAATGAAGGCAAACCTGTCTAGCACTCCAGAAGACTTGCAAAACCCTGGGATCCTCCTGTAGCAGCGTCTAGAGGACTTGCCACTGGGGGCTGAAGGCTTCATTGGTCTTTTGCACCTCCCAGTTATCACTCTCCCATGGGAATCCTTCAGGTCCTGCTGCGGCAGGTGGGGTTTTGAGAAAGACGTTCATCTGGAGATTAGCCAGTACCCCAAGCATGTGCATACAGGTCAGGTGCTGTCTTCCAGCAATGGGTGGCTGGGAGACCAGATTATGTCAGCCTTCAGTGCCACATGCTGGGCCAGGTCCCGTGAAGCTCATCAGAACCATGTTTATCCACGCGATGTGGGGAAAAGGAAACTCAGTCTCACTTTCACAGCTTCTCCCACAGGTTTTGACAACACAGGAAATGGGAACATACGACATAACCGAAGTTACTTTTTGACTCAAAATATCAAGGGTTGGTGGGGTAATCCTGATGAAATGTCTTCTTTCAGGCC
This sequence comes from Homo sapiens, assembly GCF_000001405.40. Classification (NCBI taxonomy): domain Eukaryota; kingdom Metazoa; phylum Chordata; class Mammalia; order Primates; family Hominidae; genus Homo; species Homo sapiens. The sequence goes on from NC_000002.12 coordinate 14,288,781, forward strand.
CCATATCCTTCCTGGTCTTCAAAGTGCCAGTCATTTTTCAGTGATTCTTGTCCTCTGCCATCCTTTCCCTGCCCCACTGTCCCCAGAATCACAGGAAACTCAGCACAGCAAATTCCACTTGTATCCTCTTTTTTCATTCATCCTCAGCTCAAATTTCACCCCTATTATCTATACACAATCTGGACACAATCTTTGCTTCTAGTCTCACCACATATGAAATACAGCAATGCTTTCATCCCTGCAGAAATCTTGCCATCTCCTTCTCATACTTCCATGTCATTGCCCACCCAGGCATGGCTCTCAGCTTGGAGTTCTATTCACCCTTATCTCCATGTTACAAATCTGGACCATCCTTCACACACATGTCAAATGCCAGCTTCTCTAAGATGACCTCTCAGATCCCCCAGATAAAAGTGGTCTTTCCTCCTTCTGCCCTCCAAGACTATAGTGTCTGTCTCCCTCATGCCACTTCCTTCTAGAAGAATGTGTTATAGTTAGTAGTTTAATTATTTTTATCTTCTATATTATAATATGCATTTCTGTTGGATAGGGAGCAAATGTGAACTTTGTGAAATGTTACATTGAACAGGTTGTTAGAAATCATCCTCTTATGTCCTGTCCACTAATAGATGAGAAGGCTGAGCTCTAAAGAGAGTATAGAGAGAGAACAAAAGCACAAGTGCTCCCTTCCCATTACTCATCAGTCTTCCTCTCCAGATCTCTGCATAGAAGACAAAGCATTGAACACATCATTTTGAACTTGTACGAGAACCCCGAGTGATTAACAAATTTCTATATGGGGTTTAGAATAAATGTCCTCTGTTCTGTACATATCACCCATTCCCCCATCAACACATATAGCACAAACACAAACAAGGCCAATTTCATTGCACCATCTAGGGTAATATTTTTGAATTTTAAATATCATTAAATCATCAATTGAGCACCTAGTTGTGCTAGTCACAGTATCTGTTGACTTTGGTTTATTAACCCATTCCCTCTTCCTGACAATTCAGCAATTAGAAGAATTATTTCTGTTTTATAGCTGAATAATCTGAAGTTTAGAAATACTAAACAAATAAGCAAAAATCAACTTACACATTCCATGAAACCCATCAATGTTTCAACTACTCCATTCATGAAAGCCGGTTTATTTTTACAGAATTAGGTGTATAAGAGATGCTAAATAATCGCAGCAAGGAAAATTTCAATATTTGTTGAAAAAGTAAATCAGATCAGCCTTCTCTGTGGTCTACATGCACAACAACATCTGGATAAAGTTAACAACCATTTTCCCCTCAAGTCTTGGAAGGGGGACATGCAAATCTGCGAGAGGATCACTCTGACAAGCTAGAGAGTATGGTATCCTATCTATAAATGCAAATGTGACTCTTCTGGAGATGCTGAATCAGATCAGCAGTTAATGAAATGAAGGACATTTGGAAATGCAGAAATGATGAGCATTACTTTGCTCAGAATATCATCATTAAGATCAATTTTTGGTTATTTATGCCTCTCTATTTCCTTCTTGGACTTCTCTGGAGTAATTCTCATTAACTATGTAATTGGTTGCTACGTCTCTTCTTAAGGTAGACAAGCAGACTGCTTCCTGGAAAGGCCATGATCCACTCATTCTTTCTATTCTTCAAGTTTTTGCCGATTTGGGGAGGTTGCGTCATTCCTATTTTAACTCAGATGGACACTCCATTGAAGAGAGAAAGCATTTGCTGCAAAGGGGAGGCTACTGCGTTGGAAAGAAAACTCATTTGACTTAGAATCAAAACACAAAGGAGACTGCATAGACTCTGGGTGACGGGCAAGTTGCTCGACATCTCTGAGCCTCGGCTTATTTGACTTTAAAATAGATGTTATGACGCTGACCTCCAAGGATATTTTGAAGGAAATGCTGTGAACATTACGTAAAGCAGTGCTATCTAATATAAATATACAAGCCACGAATGAAATCTTACATTTTCTAGTGGCTGAATTAATTTAAAACCAGCTAACTTGATTTTAATAATATACTTTATTTATTCTAATATATAGCCAAAATATGATCACTTCAGTGTACAATCATGAAAATATTAAGTTCCATTTCCAAGATCCTTCCAGAGGTGTCTGTTGTAATTGGTGGTGATCTGAATTTAGTGCTTTCTACAATCTTAGTGGCATTGTCACACAGAGGTTTGAGATTGAACTTCGACCAAGTCAACACAAAAAATGGATGCCCTCAATCTTCTGCCTTTTCCAGTGCGGCTGATCCCTTTCATGTTGACTCCAAATGTAATTGTGTTTCTCTCTTTTTCATCTGAAGGCCTCCCTGTGGTGGTTTTGACATTTTTTTCAGTTATGATTTCACTTAAAAGTAAAAACAAAACAAGTATACAACAAGAGAAAAACATCTAGGAAGAGCTGGAATTAGGCAACACCTTCTGAAGCACAGCAGCATGTGTGACGGGAAAGGAAGGTAGACACTGGCAGGGAAATTATTCTGCAAACTTTACCTTGTGAGAAAAGTCCCCAAAACTTTTTTTTTCTTTTTTTTTTTTTGCCACCCAGAAACAGCCTTGCAGGCAACAGGAATTCTTCTACATTTAGGCAAGAGATTAACCAGGTTTTTCTAATTAACGCTTCGCTATTGAAAAAATGTATTAACCTTTACAAGATTTTCTTCCAAAATATACAAAGAGAACCTGGTGGCTTTGGGGGAGGGTGACATAGTGATGGGGCATAAAGCACTTCCCACCAAGCTAGCAAATCACTGTTTCAGTCAGGAAGACAAGAGAGTTCCACGGCAGGCAGAAAACACTAACACAGTCCCAACATGGAGGTCAGACACACTGAAAAATCTCAAATTTTTTCTCAGATTTTAAAAAGTTGAGCTGCTTGATTTGGCGAATCCAAATTGCATTTGCTGTCTCTGTAAGGGTCATATGAAATGTTCAGCTCACTTTATTTTAAATTATGAATAGAGGACATAATGCTTTCTTCAAGAAATGAAGTAAATTTTAAATGAAAGACAACTTTCAAATCCAAATTATAGTCAAATTGAGATGGGCAGTGGGGGAGGGCATGGGGGCAGATAGTAGAGAAAAGGAATGACCCAGGGACAGACAGACAGTAAGAAAGAGATAGCAGAAGGTGTTTTCGTACACATAGGTTTATATTTAATTATGTTTATTATTATTTGAATGCAGTATTTGCATTATGTGTTTCATACATGTTTATATTTATTATTTGTATGTATGTTTACATTTATATTTACACATGTATGTATATATTACATGTATATACATATGTGCATGTGTTTATATATGCATACATGCATGGGTATGCATGTATATACATGCATACATATATGCATAAATATAAATATAAACATACATGCAAATAATAAACATGATTAAATATAAATATACACACATACCAACTTTTTTCAGCCTTCTAGAGGGATAGAGGGATGGGTCTGTAAGGTAATAGGAGAGATTCAGGTTCAAAAACAGAGAATGCTGTTCTCACCTTCTCGCTGCCCAGAAGGCCCACGTTAATGCCCCTCTTTGCAAATTTCCACTCCCTTCAGGTCTCAGCAAAAGTTTCTTTCTGCATAAAATTTGCCTGATTTGCCCCCACTCCAAAATGGCTCCCTTGTCTATCACCCTTATTATCTCATACACGAAAGTGGTTTCTTAACAGTTACCACATTCCATGGAAACAGACACTCTTCATAGCAAATTGCACTATTATTTTTTGTAACCCTGAGAAAGAAAATCCCCACCAATTAAACTATGAAATAATGCTTTCTTATCATTTAAAAGTAGTATTTTAAACTTACTGAAAGAGGCTTTAGACTTATTTAGAGCTAGAAGAAATGACAAAAGGAATGGCTGTGGGTGACCATGTCCGTGATGGTGCAGGTCACCATAGCCACCTGACTGCTTGCATTTTTAAAAACAGCATTAATTGTAAGATTTTAATTTTAGACATATTAAAATGTAGATCAATATTGTCTCAAAATTGACAAAACGTGGTATTTTTCTGCTGTAATAAAATAGATTCTGAGCTTCCTGAGAGTATGGTTAGCGTGTTTGTCATACATACTACAAATTTATCCCTACAGTTCCTTAAAAATGCTGCTTACAAGGCATCATGATGTAGTGGAAATCTAGGCTTTGGAGCCACTCACTATCTGAGTCCTTTAAGCAAAGTCTACTTAATAGTGCTAATATGTAGTTAGCTGAAACAATGTACCTACATAATTTAATTCAACGCCTGTCACATGGTAGTCACTCAAAAATTATTAGCTTGTTGAAAAAACTGAATTGACAATAGAACTCAGCTGGGAGGGGGGAAATCATCTTTCTTTTCACCCTTCTCCTGTCACCATGTCTTGATATTTCTGAGGCTGAGCTGCTGAAGAGCTTGTTCCCAAGGGCATGTAGAAGGATAATGGGGTAAATTAGTCAGGCTCGAGCAATCCCTAGATAAACTTTAAACCCAAGGCCACAGGTGCCTTGTGGCTCTTTTGATCTCATGGAAAGGAAGAACAGAATATGCAGTAAACATAAACTATCCGTTGAAGCTTCCAAGGTCTGTGGACAAGAGTCCAGCAGTGTCCAGTGGCAAAAACAGGACCAGAGGAAGTTACACAGAAGGGTAAGGAACAAATAAAGGTCACTTTCCTGGCTTAAAAATAAAAAATCTCCAGCTGTCCTGATGTGATCCAATTTAACGAGGTGTAGAAATCCAGAGCTCTTTGAAATTTTAAAGCAATTACAACACAAATGACTCCAAAGCAGGACGATCTTATTATGGTGAGGCCATAAAATGCTAACTTCAGAATGTCAGGAAAGCAGAACTGTTCTTTGCTGGCATGTCAGAATATATGGGAAGTTTGTGGAATTGTCAGCACCTGATTATTCTTGGAGGCTTGTTTATTGCACCAAATGCAGGATTTCTTTTGGGACTGTTTTTATTATTATTACCAAGGATGGTGGGCACCTGTTTCTATGCATTCTGAAAAGTTTATTTCTGCATGGTGCATAGTTCAATGGAGGGAAAAACAATGACATTAGAGAATTGTATTTTCTGTTGATACATTGGGCTAAATTGGCTTATGAAAACACCTATCAGCTGCCCCACCCTTCAGGTGGTTGCACTAATAAGGTGGTTCGCAAAGTGTGGTCCTTAGCAGGATCAGCATCATATGGGAACTTATTTTAAAAAACAGACAATTGGCCTCACCCCAGATGTACTGAATTAGAAACACTGAGGGTGGCACCAAGCAATCAGTGTTTAAAAAAAAAAAAAAAAAAATCCCCTTCCCCCCCAGGGGATTCTGATGCCTGCTCAAGTTTGGGAACTACTGTATTAATGCATCCACAGTAAGACCAGCCTGATTACCAGACCCCTAAGCCTGCTTTGTTTAAATGAGGAACAGGCTCTTGGTTCCTCCACAGATGTCCAGTTTCTCCCTGGGGTCTAAATTTACCCCTGACTTCAAATGGGATTTAGGGATTTCTGGTGCATGATATCAAAACCAAGATTGTGTTTTTGCAGAAGAAAGAAGCCTCCTCAGTCACCCAGGGCCATTTAGAAAATGTTGCTGGAATAGGTAATATAAAAGTTCATAATAAAACATAACCTGAACTGTTTAAAGAGAATATTCTTCAGGAATTGTAGTGTTGTTCTGGTAACAGAATCTCTAACTTATGCCCTGTCTGAGATTCCCTTCTGATATCCAGACTAGAGTTTCTGTTGCTGTAAAGTTGGGAACTCCTTTCTCTTTGCAATTTATCTTCCAAATCCAAAACAGAACCACACGAAATTAGATAGGACTCGGCCCTAAGATACCGAGCTGTAGCCGCCCCTTGCACCTGGCCCTCTGAGGCTGTCTGATGCACCTGTGAGTGTTGCTCATGGCTGCCCATGAGTGTCCCACACCCAGACACTGGGTGCCGTTGTCACCCCCTGAGGACCCTCCCGGATGATACAGCTCACTTGAAAGACCATTTGTTTTCTGTCATTCACAGATATCATTTCTGTTATCTGTGGATAATGTGTTCTGCCTTTGAGAGCACATGCTCTGGTGTGACCTCTCCTCTCTCAGGTCTGTATTCAAGGCAGGAGTTAGTACTCAAGGCAGGAATTAGTCTGAATCCATCCATGTGCTAGGAAATATTTAACAATAGCTTTCCAGAAAAAGAAAACAAAGTCACCAGTCCCAGTTTGTAGCATTTGCTAGTAGTAGCATTAGTTTCATGTTGTACAAACTTCTATTATGGCTGATTTTAAGTAACCGACGGGACTAACTGACGGGACATCACAGCAACAGAGCTGGGAAGAGAACAGCACATATGGCAATCCCCAGTACACCCACATACCCAACCCAGAAATCTGCCCTGTCACATCACAATTAACCTTTGTTTGCCTTTATGTATCAACACATAGAACATGCAAAGCTGGTCCCTAAAAAAAATACCCCAATTGGATTTTCTGAGATTATCAAATGCATAGCTTATTTTTGCCAAAAGAGAAGACAATGGAATTCAGTGGTACCAGAGCAAGAGTTTTTGTAGCCTAGGCACTGCGTACAGCAAATGTTTATTTAAGTCTTCATTTTCCTTTGTTTAGCTGGCAGTTTTGAAGGGCTTGTGCTCACGTTATCACTGAAATAGGTTTGCGAACCCTGAAAAAGACCTGAAACTTTTGGTTTTCTTTTATTCAAAACTGTGTGGGGATGTGAGGAGGGAAGAAGCAGTTCTGATGGGAGGCAGGAAGTAAATGTGCAGCATGCATTGGGTACTCCTCTCCAAAAGTCTTAGCAGGGGCTGTTGAGGATAATCTCCGTATCGGGCCCTGTTTGTCCCTGATGCTATAAATGGCCAGCTCATATTCAGGTGTTGTCAGATTGAATCTATGATAAGAATGTAGGCATCTCACAAAGAGGCGATACTGCATAAGAGTCAGAGCATTGGAGTAGAGGCTATTGCAGGGAACAGGAAGGTTATATAGTTTCAAAGTCTCTCCAGCAGATTACTTCGTATTCAGAAAGGAAAGGTGTGCCTTTGCAATGGAGAGATTTGATAAAGCCCGTCTTGACCAAGTAATTAAATAGCAATAATAATGAGACTCTCTGACTTAGGAGCCTCCTGGTGATGAACAAGTATATGACTTAATTTATAAAATATTGTTGCCAAAAATGTTTAAGCTCAGTGGAATCAATGGGAAGCAAACAGATGCATTCAGATTGTGGGACAATCCAGAAGACAACCTGCCTGGACTCAAGAAACCAATGTCAGAAAAACAGACATGAAAAGTAGGAGAACTGTTCTAGAATGAAAAAGATAAAGAGACTAGAGACTGGAGACTGGATTGGAAAACAAACAAACAAACAAAAAAAACGGCTTGAGAATATTTTGAGATAATTTGGGAAATTTGTATGTGAACTCCGTATCAACTGATATCGTAGAGTTATTGCTAACTTGGGAAGGGATCGCATAATGGTTTAGTGGTCAAGTGTGAGATGGCCTTATTCTTAGGAGATACATGCTCAAGTATTTGGTGGGGGTTGGGGGTGGGTGCCAGGGATGGGGTGAGAGGAGCACGGCCTGATGTCTGTGAATGTTTCTGCAGGGAAGCCTTTCTCTAGATGAAGTCAGGCTTTTCAGCTACTTATTATTCATTATTCATTATAGTTATTCATGGTGGGATGCATCACATTTAGCGCACTAGAAGGCAAACGCGAGGAGGGCAATGTCGTAGTTTTCTTCCTCACTGTGCTCTTGGCGTTTGAAACAGTGCCCAGCAGAAAGTGGACACTCAATCAATATTGTTGAATCACTGAAGACATCATATTGCTGTTTCAGATATTGACCCTATGTTTGACACTGGCACATACTTTGAGCCTGATCAACATCAGAGGCTTTCTGGATGAATTAGATGAACTTGAAAAGAAAGAATTAAGAGTCAAGATGGAAGACTTAAAAAGGTTTTAGTTCATTCAAAGAAATCGTTGGCTTCTGCAGCTCCCACGGAAGTCCAGGAGACAATAAGCTCTCTTTTTGAGGTCTCAGAGATCCAAAATATTTTGCCCCCAATGAACACATGATTTAAAATCCATATAGGTAGCAATTATTTATTCATAAACCCTTTTTTCCTTTGAGGAATGTAAAAACAGAGATTTTAAATGTGATTTTAGATTAAACAAAAATATCTTCTAAAATTATTAAACTGGAACAAAGTTAGATCAGTAATATTTTCAGTTCCAGGTAAATATTGCATTTAAGAGTTGGAAGGAAAGTCTGAAATTGTTTTAAAATATTTCAAATTGTTCGATTCAGAACAAATGAATTGTTTAAAAAGTTTGAAATATGTTGAGCTGCAGTAGCCAATAATTTCTTTGAAGAAACTAACACCCTTTTAAGTCTTCCGTTTTGACTCTTACGTCTTTTCTTTTCAAGTTCATCTAATTCATCCAGGAAGCCTCTGATGTTGATCAGGCTTAATGAATTGTGTCATTCAGCAGTTTGCAAAGTGGATACCCTCCTTACGGATCCAGTAGTTCTTTTAATACAAACTTGTTTGGTTCGGACTTTTTTATAAGTCAGCAATATGACACTTCAAGTACTGTTTGCTCTATTAACTATTGTCTTTTGAGATGATTAAATTGTAGGTGTGTATTGTTTGCATTTTTGTTTGAGGCTGATGTATAAAACAAGGCTGAGCTTGTTTATAGAAAGAGTTTTTCATCATGAACTCTTCACACACCCTGGGTTTCTCAACCTGAATGTTTCTCAAATCCTTTGTTACATCATCTACCACAAGCTGGTAAAACCGGATTTAGGTGTATGTTGCATGATAGGTTAGATGATGTAGTCAAGTCAAAGTTTATAATCATTGAGACTGAAATTTTTATTCATTTATTTGAAAACTCCTTATCATGCATGACATGATTTATTAAGTTTTATAAGGCAAATAATGGCTTTGTAATTCACCTTTAAAAATATTTTAAAATTTTCAGTCATGATAGCATAATTTTCTGAAACATGCTTTTAAAAAATAAAGAATTAAAAATGTTTTAGGAAATCAGTCCCAGTGTGTGAAACATTTTAGCAAAATAGCACAAAAATAATTAATTTCCCACTCTTGGTTGGGTTTCTCCCAGGACAGAGTCTAGGGTTGAGTGTGTCTAGTTTTGGGATTGAGATTCACAAACACAGCTAATAAGAGGAGTATTATTAAGTTGACTACCACCAGCTTAATCCGACATGGAAGTTCTGCATTGCTGGAAAACACATGATTTAGAATGATCCCCATCAAGAGTAAGAGAGCTGGGGTTTTACATTCCCAGTCACTGACTAAGAGTATTTCCTTGAAAGAGACTATTTTCAACCAGTTCATGCATTCTGAGGACAGCTATCAGTCAGAGACTCAGATGGAGGTGATAAAAGAAAAACTTCATTCAAATTAAATTTAAAGGAGTTTAATTGATCAATGAATGATTTGCAAATCTGAGCAGCCCCCAGAATCACAGCACATTCACAGATACTCCAGCAGAGCCATGTGGTAGAAGAGGTATAGACAAAACAAGGGAAATGACATACAGAAATTAGAAGTGAGGGACAGAACGGCTAGATTGGCCGTTGTGCTGGGCTTAAGAGGAAGAGGAGGAGATACGATGCCTACTTGGTGCCCAGCCCCTGCAAAGTCTCAACTATTCTCTCTTAGGCTGCCTGTTCCTCTGTGAAATCTCACTGTCTGAAACTCTGGGGCCAGGAAAAAGTTCTATTCTTCATGAGGGTCAATTTAAAGATTTGGTAACTGTACAACCAAGGGGCCTTGCTATCTTCTCTGCCAGTTTAATAACCAGCCTCTGTCTCTTCCTTGTGCCCTAAGTTCCATTCTTTCACTTGGCAGGAACTTTTATCTGTCCCCTGCCTCCTGCTCCTAGTTTGGCTAATTATGGTCAGACACTGTCCTCTGTGCATGACTGGGCCTAGACTTCCTTGTATTTCTAGACCTGGGGTCCAGCTCTCTTATAGGACTCCATCTATCACCTCTGTTACCTGGTTTTCCTAAATCTTGCATTTCCTCTCAACAAGAAACTCAAGGCAGATTCCACACTGCAGGTCCTACCATATCAAACCACTGCCAATATCAAAGGTTCAGGGCATCTGGTGATCAGACACCAGCAGTACAAGGAAGGCTCAGAAAAAAGAGTAAACAGAAACCAGACCATTTTGGGACCAAGCTTAGTGGAATGGGATTGGCAGATTTTTGCCCTTGCATGGATGCAATTAGATTCCACCTTTCCCCATTCTTGTATTAGAGACACCTTAAGGGAAAGGCATACGCTAACATATGTTTGGGGTGAGAAGTTCTGATATGATTGATGTAGGCACATACTTTGCATTTGACTTTTATTCCCAGGATTAACATATCAGGTATAAATAGATTTTCTTTTGAAAGCTTTACCTTGACAGCATATGCTCATCACTAGAACTCTTAAAAACATGAGATTTTATGTCTCCCATCTAATAGTCGCAAGCAGCTCAAAGACCAAACTCAATGGAATAAATGTTATATTTTACATTCATCTAAGAAGTTTTAAAACTTACCTGCTTCTCAGTCTAATTGACAAAACTGTGAGACAAGAAGAGCACAATTTCAAGACACCAGTTAGGCCTAAATGCATTTAAAAAAGAAACTCAACAGTTTGTAAGCCTTGAAATTACCCTCCTGCGAGTGCTCCCTCATACCTCTGCTAAGGCAGCCAGTTCAGGTCAGACCTCTGGAGTCCCTGATTGTGTCCCCCAGTCCCAGAAAGCAGTAGGCTTTTAGCCTGAAGGCTTCATCCTAGTAAGTGTCTTAGCAGAATTAGATTTAGCTGGATTATTTCTTTAGGCAGCTCAAAACCACCAGAAGACCTTGTCTGGAATTAGTCTTCTTGTACCCAGCTGGTAAAAGGTGTGTTTGGATGAGCCCTTGGGTACATCTGTGCCCGATGAGCTGCACATTCCCTTTTACTCTAGTCCTTCATGGTTCTTCCTTGGCTCCTGACCACATCCAGGTCTCTCCTGGTGTTGGGTTCCTGTTTTAAATTTCATTTCCTTTCCTCTAGGGCCTGGGATATATTACCTGGCCTTTGCTATAATAGGTTCTCTTTCTGAGAGCTAGGATGTTCTGCATGCTTGTCTCTCACTAGCTCCCAGTTTCTTCCTTGTCTCTCCCTCTCTCTCCCCACTTCTCTCTGACCCCTTCTTCTCCCTCTGTCTTTCACTCACTCATAAGCACATACAGACTCACACATATACACCCACACACACATACACACACAACTCTCAGGTGCTGGCTAGGATGTTGATCAAAAGAGACAGGCTAACTGGAAACACTCTGCAGATGTCCAGACACGTGCAACCCATGAGCATGACAGCATGATTACATCCCGAAGGGCGTTGATACTGTGCACCATGATCTTGACTGGACTCCCTGGAAAGTGACCCAAGCTCAAAAGACACTCAACTTCTGTGCCTCCTTGGAAACAGTAATTGTGACGGTTGGTCCCTACTCATCAGCCAGTAATAGAACCAGGACAGTTCCTCCCGCTCAGGTCTGATTCTGCCTCCTCCCCATCAGCTGCTAATGCAACACCAGAATTCCTTGTGGATAAACCCACATGCACTTCAGTTGCATCCTTTCTCTCATTGCATCCACTGCAAGAGCCTGACAGGACATAAGAAGAAGTCTTATCAGCTTTACAAGTAATGCAACTGAGGCACAGAAGAGTACTCCAACATGCCCAACACCATTCATTGACAGTATGTGACCACAAACTGGATTTGGAAAAATTAAACAAAACAATTTCTTTTTTTTTTTTCCCCAGAGCCACCTGGGCCCTCAAAGTCAGTAGGAGTAAGAACCATTCCCTCTAGCAAAACCCACAGACACCAATTACTATTAAATATTTACAGGTGAAATAAAGTCTGCCCAAAAGCAGCCAGCCATTTCATATGCAGAAGCAGTTTAATTTAAGTTGGTTTATATCTTCTTTCCCATCAACACCTGCTCTTTCTAGGAAATATAAATCCATATGTCGGCACTGACTTGTGTTCATACCTAATGACAGGCTGGAGAAGAATAGCTAAAAAGAGCTCTATTTCATTTTTTAATTATGAAGCAAAAGTGACAGTTCATCTGGAATGTTGTCAAGCCAAGATAAAAAAAAATGATCGAGATTTGGTCTCTAAAATTATTTTTGGGAATGAAGAGGTTACTCTGAAACACACAAAGGCATTAAAGCCAAAGAGTCGTGCAGCAAGTTGTGCAGAAAAGTTTATTATTTGTTTGCACATGTGTTGTTTTGTTTGATTTACTTGTATTTTTGCATGACACAAACATCAGTTTCTTCCTGATCAAAGATTTTGCAGCCTAATGACTTAATGTTATACAGAGTGATAATGGTCTTGAAATATAGAAGCAGAATAGTGAGGCCTTGTGTTGTTTTATGCCTACTTTTACTGCTTATGCTCAGATTAAAATCTCTTAGCCAAGGCATCGGACACCATTTGCCTATTAGTGACTGCTGTTAAATGAGGATTGATCTAAAAAGATCTCCTGCCTGTGGTAGGTGCAATTCTCTAGCCTTTGTTAACAAAGTTAATAAAGGGTCTGTGCCTTCAAAAAATTTAGAGCTTAGGAGGAGAGAAAATAAGCAGCCTGGTGGAATGCGAAGCTATGGTGTGAGTGCATTCCTGGGGTATGTGGTGAGAACACAGAGAGTTTCAATGGAAAGTGAATGCTCAGCCACTGGGGCCAGGAAAGGCATTGGAGGAGGTCATCCTTGAGCAGCTTTTCCACTTTCCCTTAAAATCTCCATCTGTAAAAGCAGGTGGCAATAGATACTATCAAAATTCACTTCCAGCTACAGGGTGATAGGACATCAAGATTATACCTTGATGTCCCAACAGCTCAATCTGAAAAGACCTCTCCTAGTAAAAGAAGAATTGCACCGTTTTTGGATTTTACTTCTCGACACTTGATTCAGTTACTGACTCGACAGAAAGAGGGCCGTAGAGGGAACAGGGAAAAAATGAAGCCTAAAACAAATTAGAGGTGGTAAGAGTGAAATGTATGTAGATTTTTCTGTAATCCTCCTTATGGGAGAAGCTATGGTTGGCCATCTCCCCAACTCCTTAAAAAAATCCCCGTTAAGCTCTGAAGTTAAGTACATGATTTAGAGTATATGAGAGGGGGTCTAGGAGGAAAATAGAAGTTTTATACTGTGAGAAGGATTTGCCTACCATTTAAAAATACAAATATGCCCCCCTTTAAAAAGTCTATCTCTTAATACATGCGTGAATATAAATAAGCCACAGTAATAGGATTTATTGTGTTTCCTAACAGGACACCACAGCATAGTTGCCAGAAGTGGTACAAGGATTGCAGAGTGAGAGATGGAGACTGCCATAGGTTACGATGGACCACCAATAGCCACAGTAGCTATTATCTACAGGCCAAAACTCAAATTTGTTTTTCTGTGAATAGGTCCCGTTGCTATACAACAATATAGACAAATATGGCAATAATGCAACATCTCAATTTTCAAGACATTGTTATATCAATTATCTGAGTTGTACTTCACAGTTACTGTACCTCAGAGCAGCGTAAATCTGAACAGGACTCAGTTACTCTATCTGTGATATTTACTGAGGACAATTCTCCTGAGTAAGTAACACAAGTAGAGTAACTCTGAGTCCCCTACAGTTAGGGTGATTTGATTGAGTTCAGAGGTCCATATTGGGAGTACATAGTCTCTCGATATGAAGCCTAGAGATCATTTGACCAGAACTATCTCTAGATTTTTCCCAGGGGATGGTAACAGGTGAGAAATTCAGCAGATGTGTACCTGCTGAACACAACAAATTGAAATTTGGTTTACCCAAATGTGCAGCCTCTGCCAGAGACAAAGAAAGTGCCTTTAATAAATAGTTTCCTTACCTCATTTCTTTCCCCTTTCAAAAATGTCTACTCACTAATATCAGACTAAACATAAAATGATTCCTTTGGTATGTTTGCCACCTCCTTCACCTTTTGGAAATTAGAGCATTTTATACTGTCATCCTATTAATATGTTTTCATTTCCCTTCCTTTTTTAAATAACAGTTTTATTGTGATAAAATTCACACACCATAACATTTACCTACTTAGAGTGAAAAATTCAATAGTTTTACATTCCATAAAATTCACTCCTTAAAGTGTGTAATTCAATGGTTTCTATCATATTTACAGAGTTGGGCAACCATCACCATAATCAGTTTTAGAACATTTTCATTACCTAAGAAAGAAACCTTATACTCATGAAAAGTCACTCCTTAATTTTCCCCACTTTTTCACCTCATCGTTTGGCAATCAGTAATCTACTTTCTGTCCCAATAAATTTGCCTATTCTGGACATTATATAAATAGGATCCTACAATATGTGGGCTTTTGAGACTTGCTTCTTGCACCCAGGATAATGGTCTCAATGTTTGTCTATTTTGTAGTGGGCATCAGCACTTTGTTCCTTTTCTTTGATGAGTAACAATTCATGGTGCGGATTGACCCATTTTATTTACAGCCATTTATCAGTTTGTAGACATTGTGGTTGTTTCTACATTTTGACTATTATGAATAGTGTTGCTGTGAACCTTCAAGTAAAAGTTTTAGTGTAGATGTGTGTATCCATTCCTCTTCAGTAGATAACCAGAAGTAGGATTATGAGATCATATATGAAACTCTATATTTAGCACTTTGAGGAACTGAAAAACTGGTTTTGAAAATGACTGCACAATTTTACATTTTCATTAACAGTGGATGAGGGTTTCAAGTTTGCGACATCTCTATCAGCATATATCATTATATCTTTTTTTATTTTAGACATTCTATTATGTACAAAGCAGTATCTCATTGTGGACTATCAGTTTTTAAAAGTTTACCAAAAATCTGAACACTACAGGATACTAACAATATTAATTATCACTAATGTTTATAGGCTTAGTGATGATCTCAGAAGTTTTCTTTTAATAATTGGGAGAAAGGGAAGAGGCTGGGAAGAGGAGTTGAAATGAAGCAAGATGGATCATGAGTTATGAATCATTGAAGCCAGGTAACAGTCATTTAAGCACGCATTATACTATTGTCTCTGCTTTATTCAAGGTTTAAAGTTTTCTGCTCACAAAAGTATTTTTCTAAGTTGACTGGGATCTCTTAGTAAACACATTCAGTGACCTACTGTAAAATTCTTCTAGATTTGGAGAACTGGGCTTATTTAAAATGACTATATTCTCTAACATATTTCTTATCCATCTCATGTTAAATTTTTCTCCCCTAAAGCATTTGTTTTCTATTTCCAGCAAGCTTATCAAGTTATTTAAAGAAGTTAGTGGAAACAAAATGAGAATTGAATATGTTTTCCTTATTTCATTATTGTCTTTTTTAGATCCCATGGTCTATCTGTAGTTTCAAACCTTTGAAAAGATAGTGTTGCATGGATGATATTTAAGATAGGCAGAAGCTTTTATGCTTCTAACTGAGATGACTGTTGGAAATGCACTGTTCCTCACAACCCAGTACTCAAAGATACATATATTAACATAAAAAACATTTTCACATTGCTTTTCTATTATTTTATGTTCTATTATGTTCCATTCTAATACATTGTTTTTTTCTTAGCTCTGGTTATGACACACTAAGTTGACTTAATAAACAGAGTGACTCATAGTTCCAAAAACAGTGGCTTAAAAAACATTGTCTTAGATGGAGTAACA